>NC_000009.12:42230335-42560946 GCF_000001405.40 Homo sapiens | reverse complement strand
TGTTTTTTTGTTTTGTTTTCATTTTTGTTTTTTTCAGATGAAGTCTCACTCTGTTATCCAGGCTGGAATGCAGTGGCACAATCTTGGCTCACTGCAACCTCTGCCTCCTGGGTTCAAATGATCCTCCTACCTCAGCTTCCTGAGTAGCTGGGATTACAGGCATGTGCCATGATGCCCGCCTAACTTTTTTTTGTATTTTTAGTAGAGACAGAGTTTCACCATGTTGGCCTGGCTGGCTTTGAACTCCTGACCTCAAATGATCCACCTGCTTCACCCTTCCAAAGTGCTGGGATTGCAGGCATGAGCTACCATGCCCAGCCATCATCTTCGTGTATTCTTATAAGCCTTCCAAACTGTTCCAACCTCTGCCTATTACCTAAGTCCAAACTCGCTTCCACAGTTTCAGGTATCTTTGTAGCAATGCCCTACTTCTCTGGTACCAATTTTCTGTATTAGTTTGTTCTCACATTGCTATAAAGAACTACTTGAGACTGGGTAATTTATAAAGAAAAAAAGGTTTAATTGGCTCATGGTTCCACAAGCTGTACAGGAAGCATGGCTGAGGAGGCCTAGGGAAACTTACAGTCATGGCGGAAGGTGAAAGGGAAGGAAGCATATCTTCATATGGACAGCAGGAGCGCAGGGGAAGTTACTATACAGTATTAAACAACCAGATCTCATGAGAGCCCTATCACAAGAACAGCAAGGGGGAGGTCCACCCCTATGATTCAATAACTTCCCACCAGGGTCCTCCTCCAACACTGGAAATTACAATTCGACATGACATTTGGCTGGGGACTCAGAGCCAAACCATATCACCAACCCTATAAAGAAAGCGAGGCACTGATGTCACACTGCTGGTGGATCTGAGACTTGATCTCAGGCCAGCCTGATTCCTAAGTGGCGTTCTTACCCTATTGCCTCAGGAGCAGCGAGAGCTCTATGGAGCCTGTACATTGCTAAAGAACAAGTTGAAAGAATTTTATTTCCAACAGTAGGGCTGATAAGGACCAGCTGAAAACAGCTAAAGCTTCTGGAATACATATCAAGAACCTCTTAAAAATGTGTCAATGAGCTACAAAATAAGAGTTCCAAAAAGCTAAAAAAGTTTTAAAATGGAAGTGAAACCCAAAGAAGTAACTAAGGCACTGATGCCACTTTTCACCCTTAAGATATTTGCCTGTCAAACTAAACTTTGCTGTTTTTCACAGCCTGAGGTGGAAAAGGGGCAGCAGAACAGCAGACAAAGCTGAGGGCCTGGCCAAGTGGGAGGGGCTAAAAGGAGACATCATAAAGTGAGATCCAAAAGGACAGACTTAGTGTAAGGGTGAACTATGAATAAACCTGTCCGCCTCCCCCTGTATGCTGCCCTTGACCCCTGCTTCCCTAGGAACAGTGAGGAACATTGGGTATCCTGAGAGAAAACATCTCCCCTGAGAGTTTTATGTGTGTGTGTATATATATATATATATATATATATGTATGTATATAGCCCTTTAACTGGTTTGTTCACACAACCTGGGTGGTCTAAAATGTCTCAAGCTTCAAATTTACCGCAATATCAGCTTTTTGGTGCCTTCTAGGTGACTGACAGATGCAAAATGGATTGTCTGTGGAGGAACTCTGAGATACTTTCAAGGAATATAAGTTCACAATAAAAAATCACAAATGTAAAATTGGCAAGAGCCACCAGAAACAATGGACAGAAGGAGCAGGCCTGCAAAAACTTAAGACAGTCAAGTTAGCAAAGACAGTACAAAGTGTGTTTTATACTTAAAGAAACAAAGGAGTTGAAATAACTTGAGCATGAAAATAAACAAATACATTGGGGAAAGTACCAAGTGGAAACGAAATGAAAAGTATCATAATTGAAATGGAAAGTTCAATGGATTGGTTTAACTAACGGTCATCAAAAAGAGAATAATAGATGAAGAAATAAAGAAGTTTTCAGACTCGAAAAAGCTGAATGACTTTACTACCTGCAGAACTGCACTATAAGAAAAGTTAAGGGATGTCCTTCAGGCATAAGGAAAACGATACTAATGGCAGCAGTGTGCCATCTGGAGCAGCCACTGTTATCACGCCAGCTGCAGTGTGGAGGCACAAGTGGTGGTGGCAGGAGTGGCTGTGGGAGCAGCAGTGGTCATGGTGGGTCCCCTGTGCCCTACATCCCTGAGGCAGCTGACTGCACCACCCCAACCCTTGCACAACTGGGCAGGACCCACTGCAGGCCCGGAACCTCCGCCGTGACTTCAACCTCGCTGTCTGCTGCGTCTCAGGAGTCTGTGAGCTGATAGTGCAGCCAGGACTCTTGGGGTGGCCCCAGGAGCATTGGGTTTGTTTGCACGGGGTTGGCTGAGGCCACCAGCCACCCGCACCTTGCCTGCTGCCACTAAGGGGAAAATGCAGACCAGTGGTATGGCCAGGGCTGCATGCTTTATGGAGCCAGAAAGTTGGTAGAGTGGGAGCTTCCCAGGTGCAGCTGCAGCCACCCAAGCTGTGGCTGCTACCAGGGCACTCCTGTGCTCTTGGGAGCCAAGAGTAGGCAGGAGCCCTGCCCTCCCAAGTGCAGCTGCAGCCACCCAAGCTGCAGCTGTGGACCCAGGAATCTCTGTACTCTTGGGGGCCCAGGAATGCACCCCTGTCCCTGCAGGCTAGGAAGTGCCTGCTCCCACTGTCTGTGTTCTCCTCACTGTTAGCATCTGCTCCCGTCACAGTTCACAACCTGGGGCACTGTCTCTCTCTCAGCACTTTCGCATCCCAGCTGCATGTGTGCATGCTTGGAGTAGTGCTGACATGCCAGCCCCTTGGCCCCCTTTGGACTGTGGAGGCTGACAAGCATGGGGAGGAGGCTGAAGTGGGGCTGAGGACAGCTTGGCACTGGCCTGCAGGTACTCCTTGGCATGGATAACGTGGGTGCCATGAACAATGCCAGGAGGCAAACAGGCTCTTGGGTGGAAGGGAGCAGGTTCCCAATGAAGCCCCACCTGCAAGCTGGGGTGGGGATGAAGCCTGGGGGGTGGGCCACCAGTCTTCAGGGAGGAGCTACCCTCTCTGCTGAGAGCTGAAGAGACAACAAGATGACCTGCCTGCAGAGAGGAGCTGCCCTCTCTGCTGAGAGCTCAGTACTCAACAGGACACCCTGGCTATGGAGAGGAGTTACCCACTGCGGGTCTCCTCTGAGCTGTCTTATCTCTCAGTAAAGCTCCTCTTCATCTTGTTCACCTTTCACTTGTCTGCATATATCATTCTTCCTGGTCGCAGGACAAGACCTGGAGACCTGCTGAATGGCGGAGCTAAAATAGCTATAACACAAACAGTGCTGAAACATGACCCTTGTTTGTCACATTGCAAGCAATGAGAAGAGAGAAGAGAAGAGCTGTGGCTCTTCATGGAGCCCAGACCTAGGAACTCTGAGCCAGGGCTGTGACACCCTCTTTAGGGCTCTGTGGGTTCCTGGCATCTCCAAGGTTCTGGGCACCACCACATTTCCTGGTGTCAGCCGTGGAAGCTGCTTATGGTATGCCTGGTCTAACTGCAGCCTTGCATGGAGCTGGCACCCGTGCCAGTGCCTGAAGCTGCCTGTCCATCGCCTATCCCCCCTCAGCCGGCATGCCTGGCTGTGTGCAGTGGCTGGACCCCATGCTTGCTCACACACCCCTTGCTGCTCTGTGCCTGGCTCACCCTTGGCAGACATGCGATCCAGGCTCATAGTGGGAACTGAGCACAGCCTGCCAGGCTGAGTGGGTGGAACAAGACCAGAGATTCAGAGCAAAACTCGGGCAAAGGCGCCACTGGCCATAGAGGCTTTTGGCTGATGAAGTGATACCCCAAGGATCCCGTAACAATACCAGATGGAAATCTGGATCCACACAAAGAAATGGTCTACACCAGAAATAGTAACATCGTGTATCTATACCAGAAATAGTAACAACATGGATATATACTTTATATTATTTAAACTTCTCTAAAAGATAATTGTTTAGAAAATAAAGTAATATGCAGTTTATAATATATGTAAAAGTAAAATGGATGACAATAAGAGCTTAAAGACTAAAAGGGGAGAAGTTTACTATTCTCAGATTCTTAAACTGTACCTGATGTGATCTACTGTCACCTGAAGGTCGGCCGTGATCCGTTAAAGATGTACACTGTAAACCCTGGAGCCACGACTAAGATAACAAACCAAAAGATTATAGCTATTAAACTAACAAAGGAGATCAAATGGAATCATAAAAATATATTGGGTAAATCCAAAAGAAGACAGAAAAAGACGTAAAAGAGAATAAAGGACAGATGGGATGAGTAGAAAACAATAGCAAGATAAGAGACTCAACCATATTAGGAATTACATTACATTTAAATTGATTTAGAAGACAGGTTGTCAGATTGGATTTTTTTTAAAGTTGGTTGTATTTTGCTTGCAAGAAATGTACTTTATTTATTTACTTATTTTTGGAGATGGAGTTTTGTTCTTGTTGCCCAGGCTGGAGTGCAATGGAGTGGAACAGCGTGATCTCACTGCAACCTCTGCCTCCCAGGTTCAAGCGATTCTCCTGCCTCAGCCTCCCAAATAGCTAGGAATACAGGCCCCTGCCACCACACCCAGATAATTTTTGCATTTTTAGTAGAGACAGAGTTTCACCATCTTGGCCAGGCTGGTCTCAAACTCCTGAAATCAGGTGATCCACCTGCCTTGGCCTCCCAAAGTGCTGGGATTACAGGTGTGAGCTACAACACCTGGCCAAGAAATGTAGTTTAAATATAAAGATGCAAATAGGTTAGATGTAAAAGGATGGAAAAAGATATACCATGCCAAGACTAGTCAAAAGAAAGCTGAGGTGGCTATACGAATGCCAAAATAGACTTCAGAGCAAAGACTATTACCAGGGAATAAAGAGATTATTTCTTACTGATAATGTGGTTAGTTAACGAAGAAGACATAACAAACCTATGTGTTTTTGTACCTAACAACAAAGCTTCAAAACGTATGAAGAAAAGTAATAAAACAATACGTAGAGATAGAGATAACCATCAGAGATTTTAATCCCACTCTCAACACTTCATAGAATAAATAGGCAATAAATCAGCAAGAATGTATTAGACTTGAACAACACCATCAACTAACCTGACCTGATTTATATTTATAGAATACTCCACCCTATAAAAGCAAAATACACATTTTGTCAACTGTGCACGGAATATTTATGGAGATAGACCACATTATAGACCATTAAAAACCTCAATAAATTAAAAAGTATTCAACTACAAAATATGTTCTCAGGTCACAATGGAATAAAATTAAAAACCAGTAACAGAAAGATCCTTTAAAAATTGGAAATTAACTCACTTCTAAATAACTCATAGGTCAAAGAAGAAATCTAAAGGAATATTAGAAAGTTATTTGAAGTTACTGGAAATAGAAAAACAACATAGAATTTGTCGGTTGTCACTGAAGAAGTACCTGAAGGGAAATTTATGATATTACTATATTAGAAAAGAAGAAGGGTCTCATATCAGCAATCTCAGTTTCTAATTTAAGAATATCGCCCAGGCGCAGTGGCTCACGCCTGTAATCCTAACACTTGGGGAAGATCGAGGTGGACAGGCACCTGAGGTTGGGAGTTCGAGACCAGCCTACCGAACATGGTGAAACTCCGTCTCTACTAAAAATACAAAAATTAGTTGGGTATGGTGGCTGGCACCTGTAATCCCAGCTACTTGGGAGGCTGAGGCAGGAGAGTCACTTGAACCCAGGAGGTGGCGGTTGCAGTGAGCCGAGATTGTGCCACTGCACTCCAGCCTGGGCAACAGAGCAAGACTCTGTCTCAAAATATATATGAGGAAGAGCAAATTAAATCTAAAGTAACCAGCAGAAAAGGAATAATAAAGATCAAAATGGGAATCAGTGAAATAAAAAAAAAGGAAAAAAAATCAATGAATCCAAAAACGTGTTCTTTGGGAAAAATCAATGAAAACGACAAATCTCCAGCTGGATTGATTGGGAAAAAAGAGAAAATTATGAATATAAAAAGGGGATGACTGACATCACTAAAGACCTGGCAGAGGTAGTGCTCATCAGGATTCTCCACTGCAGTTTCTCTTTTCCCCCTCTTCCATACCGTCCTCTTTGGAGAATAAGTCACTGTGTGCAGCCCACACTTAAGGAGTGGGTAGTTATTCTCGCCCTCCTTTGGGATGGAATATATAACATAATTCATTTGAAATCCTGCATGTGAATTTATCTCCTTTCCCTCATTCATTAACTTATTTAATCATTTATTTATATCAGTATGCACTCAAGAATATTTATTTTATCTAATACTGCTCTATTTTGTTGCCCTTTACACACATGGAATCTTCCGTATTGCCACAGGTGCCATCAGATCTCCAGCATTTGCACATACTGTTTCCTCTCTGGGATTCCCACATGCCAGGCATTAGGTCAAGCTCCACGGGACTCCCTGAGATGGATCAGACATAGATCCCACCATGAATACCTCACAGTCCGGCTGGGAAGATGAGACAGGGACCTAACTATCTACAGAACAGAGTCACCAGCTTATAGGTACAAAGGAAGGGCATGGACAGCACAGGACACACCTGCCTACTGCCAGAGGTGTCAGGGGCAGCTTCTGAAGTTGGTGGGTCTCATGGGGCTCAGTGCAGAGGTGTGACCACAGAAAACAGAAAGGAGGCATTCCATGCAGAAGGAAGCTAGAGTGACAGGAGCACACAGTACAGAGGTAGGGAGCATGGTAGGGGACTAAAGACTCGGACCAGCCCCCCATTGGTACATTTTGTGCTAGGTGTCCACACTCAAACATCCTGCAGCTCAGCTCCAACGACTGAAAATTCTGCTAATGAGAATTTCTCTTCTGCGAGCTTTAGGCCTTGGCTGGTTGGACCAGTGGCTGCCTCTTATGTCCCCCACCAGTCGAAGCTCAGTTCCACAGGAAGAGCTTTGTGTTTTGCTCTAAGTAGCAAGGAATCCACTGGTGGGGAGTCCAACAGGGAGTGAGTGAAGGACTTACATTCCATGGGAGGCCTCTGGCTGTGGGCACAGAAGGGGCTCTGGGCTAAAGAAGGAAGCTGGGAACCCCTCAAGTAGCAGAAGGACATTGGGGTCATCCCTGAGAGAGGAGACCTAGTGAGAATGAAGTGATGGCCGGGTAAGGTGGGGTGGGAAGGGGAGGGACAGGAGCAGATAGGGAGAGGAGGGAGTAATAGGGGAAGGGAGATGAAGAGAAGGGCAAGGAGGGGAGGGAGTAGATAAGGGACAAGGAGGGAGGAAGAGGGAGGAGAGGAAGATGAGGAAGGGGGAGGGTGAAGATAGGGAAGGGGATGGCCCAGAGGTATTCATTTGAAAGCAGCCCCAGCAGGACTGATTGTAGCAGTGGCTGTCCAGTGAGAGAGAAAGGAAAGAATCAAGAACAAATTCTAGATTTTTGACTTGAGAAACTGGGAGAAGATGGGGACTTTTCCCAACTCAGTGCTTTTCACTGAGAGAAGAAAAGGAAGAGCCATATTTGAGTGTGAAAACAAGAGTCGCCTTTGAGATCTATTAAGTTTAATATGCTTCATTAGGAAGCTCCCTCATTTCCCCCGTAGCATCAACATTCTTTCTAAAACATTTGGAAAGCATTATGATTTTTATTGTAGAGTCCCCCCACCCCAGCGATTTTCTCTACTTTTTTCCTATTCATTGGTCATGGAAGTTGCTTCCAATTTTCAACTATTGTGAATAATGGGTTCTTTAAAGCATAGAACAGAGCTGGTTTGCAACGAACATTCTGTACACAGGTCTTTGTCAGTATCTCTGAATATTATATTCCTAAAAATTCCCAGAGGTACAATTTGTAGGTCAAAGGCTGTAAATATTTTACAGCTTCTTAATACATATTGCCAAATGATGCTGCAAAAAATGGCACCATGTACATTTTTCAAGAGAAGCATCAAAGGATCTCACTGGTCCTCGCCACCTGGACTATTGTAATGGTCCTGAATTATTGCTAATTAGATGTGCAGAAAATACTATTTTATGTTCATATCTGGATAAAGTACCCATGAGGGTTTTGACTAATGTATAGAGGAGAAGAATCCTTTTTGAGGATTTAGATGTGATTTTACTGAGTTGCAGATGTCTTCTTCCCCACAGTACCTTGGGGGACTGAATACAGGTGTGGAGGCCACCCAGCTTGTATCTGTGTTTACTGTCCTTCTCTGATTGGAAGCCTCCCCGTCTTATTCCATTAGACTTTGCTACTGTTCTCCCACTTAGCTGACCTGTCACCTCTTGCCTGAGAGTCTCAGGGTTAGTAATGGATTTCATGACTGTACACTTTAGTAATGAAGAACTCCATTATCACTGGAAGGGGAGTGATCCTTCTGTGGTGTCTGAGCCAAGACAGGACAACATGGAAGCCCAGCACGTCAAGGTCCAGGAGCGTGTTCAGTGGCTGGGCCTGGGGGCAGGAGGAAGAGAAGAGACAGATGCATTGGACAGCCCCCCCACATCCTGCCCCCACCATGATTACTCATCCTTCTTTGTAGTTACATTACTTCATTGTATTACCTGGAAATAACCTGTCTCCTTGGTTGATGGTCTATTCTTTGAGAGACAGCTTTAGAGGCCGGCAGACCTAAATTCTAATCCTTCTGCCTGATGTTGGGCAAGTCATTTGTGGCTTTGGAGCCTCAGTTCCTAATCCGAAGTGAATCTCACAGTGGCCACCTCCCAGGGATGCTGTGCTAGATGAACTGCCTGAGTTGGGTAGCTGGGCCAGGCTCTAGGTCACTGTGAGATGCTGCAGCTGTGGCTGTACCCTGTTAGTGCTGGGTCTGGAATCCCAGCCTCCAACACAGCTGTGATTAAAGAATGCCTGGAAGGAGCAATGCACGAGGAAGGAGAAGGATGAGAATTTCGAGGTTAGCATCAGATGACTGGGGACTTGGCTTTCCTCTGGCTACTTCCCAGCTACTTGGGGTTCTGACACCTCTGGCCGGCCACACAAGCACCCTGAACATTCACCATCTCCCGGAACTCAGTAGCCTGATGGCCCAGGATGACTGAGTGCCGGCAGATCTGGCAGGAACAGCTTGTGAATGGCATGGGTGGCCAGGGTCTCTGCCTGATAAAGAGAATGTTCTTCCCTCAGGAAAGCGGCCCAGGTGTCCTGGAGCAAAGGACTATACTGGAATAGGTTGGTGCCTGCAGCCTAGAGCTTGGACAGTTTCAGCAGCCAAATGAACCCTGGGGTTCCCAGTATTTGGGAAGAGGTTAAGGTATGTGGGAAGAGGCCAAAAACATAAGGAACCTCCCCGTGGCGTCAGGGTCCTGCTCCACACAGACAGAATCTGAGACGCCCTCCCCGGGGCACCTGGTTCTTCTCCAGTCCTTTGTCACCTCCCAAGCGGGTCTCAGAAAAGGCAGGTCTGAGGATGCGGACGGACGCAGGACCTAGCCCAGGCTGGTGGAGCCCCCTCCACGTCCTCTGAGTACAGCTGCCGGTCGCCACCTCTGAGGCAGAACTTGAGGAAAATGGGGTCAAATGGAAGGTACTGGTATGGGGACACACGCGGGGAGGCCTCCAAACACCCTTTCAAGATGGTTCGTGTTGACCCCGATAGGTCTCGTGTTGGAGGGGCAGGCACTGGGGGTTGCTGGTCGACCCGCATGTTGCCCCACCACAGAGCATCCAGGGCTAAGAGCCTCCTCCGAGCTTAAGCTGCAGGTCCAAGCTTCCACGAACAGATGGGGAGCGAATGCTTTGCCAGCGGGCGGAACAATCCTGCTAACGCTAGGGACATCCTGGAACTCGACCCGGTGCACAGTGGCCACTTCTCTCTCGCGGGAGCTCCAGAGAACAAGTGCAATAGGTAACATCGACCGCCAGGTGGAGCCCGACAACCGGAGCAAAGGGCTGCAGTCCATGTCGGATCGCATTTCTCAGACCTGGGTGGGTGGAGCGCGTCTGGCTCCTCTTGGAGCTCCAGGTCACCACGACGCATCCCCAGCAGCATAAGGGAAGGCTGACTGCTGGGAAGAATACAGACTCTCCCTACGTGACTCCCAGTCTGGCCCGTGGAAAAGCTAACCGCGAGCCTGCGGGCCGGGCGCCCTGCCAGGCCGGGCTTTCCAGAGCCGCGCAAGCGGACTTAGAAAATACCGCGCCCTCAGGTATGGGATGAAAAACTGCAACCATGAAAGCTTTGTTGAAAACACTTTAATTCTAAAATTTCTGAACAGAGAAGATCTTTAAAGCATAGAACAGAGCCCGTCACGGTTGTTCACGCCTGTAATCCTAGCGACTTGGGAGGCTGAGGCGAGAGGATCGCTTGAGGCTAGCAGTTTGAGACCAGCCTGGGCAACATAAATAGACCGCTGTCTCTTAAAATAAAAATAAAAAGGCATGTATACAACAAAGACAACTCGAAAGCCATCAAGGACACGATTGATTAACTTGATAGCATAAAGTTTAAAGAAAATTTATCTGTGCACGTACCAGGACAAAGTCAAATGACAACAAATGGGTGTGGGGAACATCGGTGCAAATACATGTATGATGTTAAGAATACTGATTTCACCATTACTTGTAATAACAAAAAATAAAGAAAACATAGCCATTCAGAGGAGCCAGGTTTAAAAAATTCTGGTACATCTATACAATACCGTTAATTTACGTTTTGGTTTATTTCTTCAGGGCGGTAGACTTACATGTAGTAACATGGAAAAATGTCCATGATGAAATAGTAAATGAAAATAGCAAATTCATGAGAATGCAAATTAGAATCATAGTGTGATACCATGAATGCCTTAGACAAAATAGTCTTCAAAAGTGAAGGAGAAATAAATACTTTTTTTTTTCTTTCTGAGATGGAGACTCACTCTGTCACCCAGGCTGGGGTGCAGAGTGCAATGGCGTGATCTTGGCTCACTGCAACCTCCGCCTCCCAGGTTCAAGTGATTCTTCTGCCTCAGCCTCCCGAGTAGCTGGGATTACAGGCACACACCACCACGCCCAGCTAATTTTTGTATTTTTAGTAGAGGTGGGTTTTCACCATGTTGGCCAGGCCGGTCTTGAACTGCTGACCTCAAGTGATCCACCTGCCTTGGCCTCCCAAAGTGCTGGGATTACAGCTGTGAGCTACCGTGCCTGGCAGAGACTTTTGTAGAAAACAAAAATTGAGGCAATTTGTTGCTGGTAGACCTGCATGCAAGAAATGTTGGAATAAGTTAAAAGAAGTTCTTAAGAGAAAAGTAAGACATTTGGATCTACATAAAGGAAGAATATAAAAAATGAATATATGAATGTGAAGTAAAAACTTTGCATTTTCTTATTTTCAACTGATATAGCAGCTAATAAATAATTTGTTCAAAATAATGATAGCAATAGTTATTAGATGTTTATAATTTATTGATAAGTGAAACGAATAATAGCAATGATATAAACTATAGGAGGGAAGAGTTAGAAATATTTTGTTATTATAAAATACTTGCACTACTCATAAAGCAATACAGTATTACTTGAAAGTAGACTTGTACTAATGGTAAATGTACATTGCAAAATCTAGGGCAACCAATAGAAAGGTTTTTTAACAGTAAAAAGAAAGGAAGAATTTACATGCTTAAACGGGAGAGAAAATGGAACCATATAAAATGCTCAATTAAAACCACAAAAGGCAGGAAAAGAGTGGAAGGCAAAAATAGGAAGAAAAAAGCAGGACAACAAATAGAGAATAATAACAGACATGATAAATACCAACCTAACTGCATCTGTAATCATCTTTAATGTCAATGGTCTACATACACCAATTAAAGAATGAGTTCATCTGAGTTGATCCCCCACAAAAAAGACCCAACTATACATTGTTTACAAGAAACTCACTTTAAATGCAAAGACATATAGATTTGAAGTAGGAAATGGAAAAAGATATACAAGGTTAACAATAATTAAAATAAAGCTGAAACAGCTATATTAGTTTTCAGACAGAGTAGACTTCAGAGAGAAAAGATAATTCTGGATGAATATAGGCACTGCTTGATAACGAAAAGTGAATTATCTGAGAAAATATAACAATTCTTAATGTGTGTGCACCTAACAAGAGTGTTAAAATACGTGAGGCAAAAAACTGATAGAACTGCAAGGATAAATAAAAGAATTCACAATCATAGTTGTAAACATCAACACCCTCTATCAGAAATGGAGAGATCCAATAGATAGAAAATCAATAAAATATGGTAGAACTAAACAGCATCATCAAAGAACTGGAAATAATTAACATCTATAGTCTACTTAGTGTAATGACAGCAGAATACATATTCTTTTCACTCTCACATGGAGCATTCACCAAGATAGGCCACATTCTGGGCCATAAAGCCCACCTTAACACATTTCAAAGTATAAAAACCATGCTATACCTGCTCTCCGAAAACACTGGAACCTATTATACAAACCAGTAATAGAATGATAGCTGGGCAATCTCAAAATACTTGGATATTCAGAAATATACATCTAAATAACATAAGGGTCAAGAAGAAATCTCAACAGAAATTAAAATAATTCTTTGAACTACATGAAAACAAAAGTACCACTAATGGCTCCAAGAGTTTCTCACTTCCCCTATGGGAATGTCTGTATTTCCTACAGAGATCAGTCAAAGCTGCACAGGGAGCCTCCAGGAAGGGTCTCTGACATGGCTACAGTTTTGCGTGGGGCACAGTTGCATACAGCACTCCCGAAAACGTTTCTCTTTCCCAATTAGCTAGCTGAGACATTCCCTAACTAGTCATGGAGGCCAGGAAGGGCATCCCTTCCACCTGGTGGACTGAGTGGGGATTGGTCATAGGAGGCACCCTGCAAAATTGTATCTAAACCCCTCTCTGGAGGCCAGGACAAATCTGAATGGACCATGGAACTGGGGAGAGCCTGGATGGGAGCCAGTGGTCAGGAAGGCCTTGGGGGCTGCTCAGATGGGGCCAGGTATGAAGGCCTGAGAAGGGTACCTTGTTGCATGGGTCTGGTTGGCCCAATGAGTCTCCAGAAAGTTTCTTAAGACCCGTGGTTGGGGGGAGGACTGCATCTGGCTATAAAGTGAAGGCCCCAGGGATGGTTTTGGTGCCCTACTTTCCACTCCAGTCCAAAGCAGTGCCTGTCATCAGAGGCACCAGAAAATATGTTCTAAGTACTCCCTGTTTGTGGGCACCAGGTAAGGATGCCCAGTAAGGCCTGGGAAGGGCTTGTGAATCCAGTCACAGTTCTTCCTGGCCTTGTCGATGGCATGCAAATTCTTTGAATGTTTGCAAGTCCCTCTCTGGAGGAGCAGCAAAGGCCTGAGTGGCTGAGGAGGCCTATTATTTTTGTTTATATTATTTTATATGAAATTATTACTTATGTTATTTTTGTTATTATAAAAAGATGTAAAGTGTGACATCAAAAACATCAAACATGGGAGAAAAGGAAGTTAGAGTGAAAAGTTTGTGTATGCAATCAAAATTAACTGTTATCAGCTTAAATTAACCTGTTATAACATGTTTTATGTAAGCCACAGGGTAGTCGTAAAGCAAAAGCCTGTAATGGATACACAAAAGATAAAAGGAAAAGAACCAAAACATACTACTACAGAGAGCCATGAAGCCACAAAAGAAGAAAGCTAAAGAGGAAAAAAGGACCAAAGGCTCTACAAAGCAACTAGAAAACACTTTAACAATGGCAAGAGTAAGTTCATACGTGTCAATAATAACCTAGAATGTAAATGGATTAAATTCTGCAGTTAAAAGATACATAGTGGCTAAATGAGGTATTTTTTTAAAGACCCAGCTGTATGCTGCCTACAAAAGACTCACCTCACCCGTAAGGACACATGAAGATATTCCATGCAAATGGAAAGCAAAAGAAAGCAGGAGTAGTTGTAGTTTTATCAGATAAAATAGACTTCACATTAGAAATCCTAAAAAGAGACAAAGGAGGTTATTATATAATGATAAAAGCATCAATTCAGCAAGAAGGTATAACAATTATGAGTATATACCCACCCAACACCAGAGCAAATATTAGATCTAAAGGGAGAGACAGACTGCATTTCAATAATAGGAGACTTCAACACCCTACTTTCAGCACTGAACAGATCATCCAAAGAGAAAATCAGCAAAGGAACATTGGACTTAAACTACACTCTAGAGCAAATAAACCTAACTTTTACAGAAAATGTCATTCAAAAGCTGGAGAATGTGTATATATTCTTCTCATGAGCACATGGAGCATTCTTCAGCATAGACCATACGTTAGGCCACAAAACAAGTCTCAACACATTTTTAAAAATTAAAATCAGATCAAGTATCTTTTTTGACCACAATGGAATAAAACTAGAAATCAGTAACAAGAGGAACTTTGGAAAATGCACCAATACAACATGCTCCTGAACAACCAATGGGCAAATAACGAAATTAAAAATAAAATTTAAGAATTTCTTAAAACAAATAAAAATAGAAACACAACATACCAAAATTTACGTTATATGTCAAAAGCAGTAGCAGTACTAAGAGGGGTAGTTTATAGAAATAAATGCCTATATAAAAAGGTAGAAAGATTTCAAATATAATGATGCACCTCATGAAACTAGAAAAGCAAGAATAAATCAAGCCCAAAATTACAGGAAGAAGAAATACTAAAGATCACAACAAAAATAAATAAAATTGAGACTAAAAATATGAAAGATCAACTAAATGAAAATATTGTTTTGAAAAGGTAGACAAAATCAACAAATCTTTAGGTAGACTAATGAAAAGAAAAACTCAATGGAATAGAATCAGAGATAAAAAGGAGACATTATAACTGATAAAACAGAAATACAAAAGATCATTACAGACCATTATGAACAACTTACATCAACAAATTGAAAACTTATAAAATAGATATATTCTTGGACACATATAACCTACCAAGATTGAACCATGAAGAAACAGGAAACCTGAATAGAACAATAATGAATAATGTAATTGAATCAGTAATAAAAAGTCTAACAAAGAAAAGTCTAGGACCATATGGCTTTACAGATGAATCCTACCTAATTTTTAAAGATAAGCTAATGCCAATTATTCTCAAACTATTTTGAAAAATCAAAGGGGAGAGAATGCTTCCAAATCTTTTTTAAGGCCAGCATTACCCTGATACCAAAACCAGACAAGGACACAACAAAAGAAAACTATAGGCCAATATTTTTAATGAGCATAAATGCAAAACTCTTTAAAAAAAAAACCCTAGAAAACAAAATCCAACAGCACAGAAAAAAGATTATACACCATGATCAGGTGGTATTTTCCCCCAGGGATGCAAGGATGCTTCAACCTACAAATATCAATAAATGTGATACATCACATACATCACATCAAGAGAAAAAAGAACAAAACCTTGTGATTATCTCAATAGACACAGAAGTAGTGTTTGATAAAATTCAACTCCTCTTTGTGATTAAAAAAAACCCTCTCAACAAATTAGGTATAGAAGGAACATACCTTAAAACATTAATGTTAGTATATGATAAACCCACAGTTAACATCGTACTGAATAGGGAAAAGTTGAAAGCCTTTTCTCTAACATAGAACAAGACAAAGATATTCACTTTCCCTAAGATCCTTCCTCTAAGATCTAGAACAAGACAAGGATATTTACTTTCACCACTTTTATTGAAAAGTGGTCAATCACATCGTTTTCTTTTATTGAAAAGTGGTGAAAGAGTCCTACACAGAGCTATTAAAAAAGAAATAAAGGGCATTGGAAAAGAGGAAGTCAAATTGTCACTGTTTGCAAATGACATGATCTTATATTTAGGATAAGCTATAAAGACTTCACCAAAAAGCTGTTACAACTGGTTAACTATTTCAGCAAAGTGGCAGAATACAAAATCAACATACAAAAACCAGTAGCGTTTCTATATGCCAATAGTGAACAATCTGAAAATCAAGGAAGCAATCCCATTCACCTTAGCTACACAAATATAAAATGCCTAGGAATAAATTTAACCAAAGAGGTAAAAGATCTGTACAATAAAAACTTTAAAACACTGATAAAAGAAATTGAAGAGGACACAAAAAATAAAAAAACTCATATTCATGAATTAGAAAAATTAATATTGTTAAAATGTCCATGCTACCCAATGTTAACTATAGACTCAAGACAATTCCTATCAAGTGGCATTCTTCACAGATATAGAAAAAGCAAGCCTAAAATTCATGTGAAATCACAAAAAAGCCTGAATATACAAAGCAACCCTGAACAAAAAGAACAAAGCTGGAGACATCACACTATCTGACTTCAAAATATACTACAAAGCTGCAGTGATAAAAAATAAAAAGCATGTTTATGGCATAAAAACAGACATATACACCAAAGGAATGAAATAGAGAACACAGAAACAAATCCATGTATTTATAGCCAACTGATTTTCATCAAAGGCCCTAAGAACATACACTGGGGAAAGAACAGTATCTTTAATAAATGGTGCTGGGAAAACTGAGTAACCATATGCAGAAGAGTGGAACTTGACCCTGATCTCTCACCATATACAAAAATCAACTCAAAATGGATTACAGAGTTAAATGTAAGCCTCAAAACTGTGAACCTACTAGAACAAAACTTAGGTAAAATCCTTCAGGACATTGGTCCGAGCAAAGATTTATTGAGTAAGACCTCAAAAGCACAGGAAACCACAGCAAAAATTGACAAATGGGATTACATCGAGTGAAAAAGCTTCTGCACAGGAAAGGAAAAAATCAACAACGTGAAGAGACAACCTACAGAATGGGAGAAAATATTTGCAAAGTATTCATCTGATAAGGGATTAATAATCAGAATACACCATGATGCTCAAACAACTCAATAGCAAAAAAAAAAAAAACAACAACAACAACAAATAACCTGATTTTGAAATGGATAAAAGATCTGAATAGACATATTTCTCAAAAGAAGAAAATCAAATGGCCAATACATAAATGAAAAAATGCTCAACATGATTGATGATCACAGAAATGCAAATCAAAATCACAATGAGATATCCTTGCACCCCAGTTAAAGTGGCTATTATCAAAAAGACAGAAAATGACAAATGATAAGGAGGATGTGGAGAAAGGGAAATGCTCATACACTGCTGGTAGGAATGTAAATTCGTACAGCTACTGGAAATCTCCACACTGGAAAACAGTGTGGAGATTTGTCAATAAAACTAACCATAGACCTACCATATGATCCAGCAATCCCACTAGTTGGTATATGGCCAAAAGATAAGAACTCAGTGTATCAGAGAGATATCTTCATTCCCATGTTTATTGCAGCAGCACTATTCACAATAGCCAAAATATGGAATCAACCTAAGTATCCATCAGTGAATGAATGGGTAAAGGAAATGTGGTATATATACACAATGGAATATTATTCAGCCAGAAGAAAGAATGAAATTTTGTCATTTGTAGCAACATAGATGGAATTGGAGGACATTAAGTTGAGTGAAATAAGCCAGGTACAGAAAGACAAATATCATGCTCTTACTCATATGTGTGGGCTAAAAAAATGGGAGGTAGTGAACAGAATGGTGTTTAGCAAAAACTGGGAAGGGTAGTGGGAGGAGGGCATGAAAAGGGGTTGGTTAATGGATATAAAAATACAGTTAGATAGATAGAAGGAGTAAGATCTAGTGTTTAGTACCACAATAGGGCAACTATAGTTAACAGTAATTTATTTTGTATTTCACAACTTTCTCAACACAAGGAAACAATAAATGTTTGAGGTAATGAATATCCCAGTTACCCATATCTGATCATTACACACTGTATGCTTGTATCAAAATATCACAGGTACTCTATAAATATGTACAACTATTATGTTTTCATAAAAATTAAAAATAAAAACTAAACTATTAATTGTTCTACTTTGTGGACATAAAATATCTTTCCATTTATTTGTGTTTTCTTCCATTTTCTTTCATCAGTGTTTTATAGTTTTCAGTATACAGTTCTTTCACCTCCTTGGTTAAATTTACACCTAAGTATTTTATAAGTTTTTTGTTGCTATTGTAATTGGATTGCATTCTTTTTTTTTTCTGCCTCCCAGGTTCAAGCGATTCTCCTGCTTCAGGCTCCCGAGTAGCTGGGATTACAGGCACCCGCCATCATGCCCGGCTAATTTTTTTTGTATTTTTTAGTAGAGACAGGGTTTCACCATGTTGGTCAGGCTGGTCACTCTAACTCCTGACCTCAGGTGATCTGCCCACCTAGGCCTCCCAAAGTGCTGGGATTACAGGCGTGAGCCGCTGCGTCCAGCCGGGATTGTATTCTTAATTTCCATTTTGAATAACTCACTATCAGTTTATAGAAATGGTAAATCACCCTTTGTGGATAAAGCATGGGTACTCAGCAATTAGGAGTAAACCCTTCAGCTAATGTCTAAGTTGCTTTCATTGTTACTTTATCTGTTTGATTTCTTGTCTAAAGTTTGATAATGGCAACTAACCCATTTTTAAGAGAAATTAAAATGGATAACATGCATGTGATATTCTGTGAAAATTGCATGACTTCTTTTAATTAATTTAAGGAAACTATAGATGTGTAGTTAGGGCTTTAAACCAAACTGGTACAATTTATTTTCTGCTAAATTACAAAGTTATTTGATTGAATTGACAAGTAATATTGCTTTGTTTTATTTTTAATTCGTTACTGTGCAAATTCACATTTGGAGAATGTAAGATTATATACAAAACCTTGAACCACCTTTAAATAACTATATTTTTATTTATTAAGCCACAAACAGTTTAGTTATGTTGTTATGAGCAAATATATTTACTATTTTTTCTCTGCAATAGGAATAGAGATTTCTTTTGCTCTTCTATCTCAACTGAAAAGGATATATTTTCTGGATCACTGCCATTGGCTCCTTCTATAGTATTTAAAAAATATATGCATATCATAGTGTTAGGCTTCTATAAATACACTACTAACTTCTCTTCACTATAAATGAACTTGAGCAACTCTCATATCTACAATTTCTAGCACCAGGAAAGTGACATTTTCCTTTGAGATGGGGAATAGGCCTTTTGAGGTCATGGTGGAGTCATATACTCCCTTTTATGACAATTATTAGCACCACGTGAGGGCAGAGAGGAATGTAAAAAAAGTATCATTTCAAGTTAATAAGCTACAACCTGCCACCACTGATGGCATGTCCACTTACAGCTCACGAGCCAGCTCTTCATCAATAAGTGCTGCTTTGCAGTGGTTTGTAATTGAATTGTATGATGTAAATGTGGAGACAGCCAATCATGATGTTACAGGATCTTTGGGGTGTCGATTTTCTTGCCCAGAAACCTCTGTGGACAGTGGCATCTTTGCCTGAGTTCTTGTCCTGCATCCAGGAAGAATGAGGTATGCAAAGGAAGGGCGAAGAAGATTAAGAGGAGTTTTATTTAGTGTTAGAACAGCTCAGAGAAGACCCACAGTGGGTAGCTCCTCTCTGCAGGCAGGTCGTCCGGTGGAGTGTTCAGCTTTCAGCAGAGAGGAGGCCCTGGCGAGCCTGGCTGCTCTCCGCAGGCTGGTCATTTGGAGGTCTCTGCAGGTCTCTGAAGCTCTCAGTAGAGGGGAGAGTTCGTCTCTGCAGCTGGTCATCCCATCGTCTCTCTGTCCTCTGCCCTCTCTGGTAGAGCCCAGGGCTTTTATGGACCTCAGAGGGGAGGAAGTACCTGCCAATTGGTCCATGAGCAGCCATTGGCGGCCCAGAGGAGGGACAGATCCCCAGTCCTGTCCACAGGATTGGCAGTCTGGCTCCCAGCCTTCAGGCCCTCCCTGGCTTGAAGGTGGGGCTTTACTGGGGACCCATCCGCTTCTGCCCAGGACTCTCCCTCCCCCTGCCATTCAAGGCCCCAGGGCTCGACCAACCCTGTTGGGAGATTAAAGCTGGTGACAGAAGAGGAGAGAGGCCAGGCAGTGAGAGCAGACATCCCAGAGCCAGTTGGGGGTGGCAGGTGCAGGCTGCCAAGATGCCAGGGTCCTGCGCCTGAGACGGTGGCCTCAGTTGCACCCAGGGAGCTCCCACCCAGCCAACTCAGAAGGGGCGGGGCTTCTGCTTGTCCCGGTCTCCTGCCTGCTCCATGGAGCCGGAAGCCCAGGTCTGCAGCAGTGGGTTGGGTGGCTGCAGCTGCACCCAGGAGGGCAGATCCTGTCGGTTCCCAGCCCCCTCCAAGAGCACAGGGAAGCTTGGATCCACAGCTGCAGTTTGGGGTGGGCTACAGCCTGCTCCGTAGAGCAGGAGGCCTGGGTCTGCAGCCGCACCAGGGAACTCACCCCAACTCAGAAGGGGTGGGGCTCCCACCAGCTTCATGGAGTATGCAGACCCAGCCATACCTCCCTGCTGTAGCCTGCATGATGGCAGCAGCTGCTGCCATCAATGAGAGAAAAAAAGACAAAATTTACCAATATCAGTAATGAGAGAGGTGATCTCACTACATACATTACATATATTAAAAGGCATAATAAGAGATTACAATGCAAAGCTGTATGCCAGTATGTTTGACAGCTTAGAAGAAAAGACAAATTCCTTGAAAGATGTAAACTACTAACACTGACTCAAGAAGAAATAGATGACATGAATAGTCTATTAATTAGATTGAGTTTATAGTTAAAAACCTTCCCACAAAAAAAATTCCAGGCCCAGATGGCTTCGCTGGAGTTTTCTAGCAAACATTTAAGGAAGAAATAACAAATAAACATAAACTCATTCAGAAGATTGAAGAGGAGAGAATACTTTTGAACTCATTCTATAAGTCCAGCATTATTCTGACACCACATTCAGACAGACATTTTTTTTTTTCTTTTTTGAGATGGAGTCTCGCTCTGTCACCCAGGCTGGAGTGCAGTGATGCAATCTTGGCTCACTGCAAGCTCCGCCTCCCGGGTTCAAGTGATTCTCCTGCCTCAGCCTCCCGAGTAGGTGGGATTACAGGTGCCCACCAGCATTCCCGGCTAATTTTTTGTATTTTTAGTAGAGACAGGGTTTCATCATGTTGGCCAGGCTGGTCTTGACCTCCTGACCTCGTGATCCACCCACGTTGACCTCCCAAAGTGCTGGGATTATGGGCGTGAGCCACCATGCCCAGCCTAGACAGACATTTTAAAAAAATAAAAATACAGTCCTTCATGACCACAGATGCAAAAAAACTTAACAAAGTTTCAAAAAATTGACTTATACCAGTAATTCAAGTTTAGTTTACCATAATAAAATCAACCAAAGCAATTTGGCATAAAGACAAACATTCTGCAAAACAATTTGGCAGTTTCTTAAATGTTAAACAGATACCTACCATATGACATAGCTATTCTTGTCTAGGTATTTACCCAAGAGAAATGAAAGGATATTTTCATATGACCATCTGTGCATAAATGGTCATAGTAGCTTATTTATAACGGATGAAAACTGGACACAATTCAAATGCCCATCTTCAAATGAATGAACACACAAACTGAGCTATATTCACACAACGAGATACTACTCAGCAATAAAAAGGAATGAACTATTGATACATATCACACATTAATGAATTTCAAAATAATTCTGTTGAAAGAAAAAGCCAGATAAAGAAAAGTAAATACTATGTGGTTCCATTTATATGACATTCTGGAAAATAGAAACTAATCATGAGAGAGATCAGATCTGTGGTTGCCAGGGATTTGGGGGAAGCAGGGAGGTTATGGGGGAGGGGTTATCAAGAGGGAGGAGAATATTTTGCTGGGGTGATGGATATATTCCTTATTTTAATTGTGATGATAGTTTCATGGTTGTATACATAAGTAAAAATTTAACAAGTCCTGCACTTTAAGCATGTGTATTCATTATATGCCAATAAAGCCTCAATATGGCTGTTAAACAAAAATTAACTACCGAACTACTAAATATGTGTATCACCCTAGGAAATGAAAGACATCTCTTCAACTGCTTTTGTGTCTTGACTTTTTTCCCAAAGGAAGACCTATATTTTGCTTCATTTCTTTCTACTCTACATTTCTTTTTACTCTGCTTGCATTTAGTTTAAAAAAAAAGCTCTCTGTTGGTGATTTCTAATCTGTTTTAAGGTAAATAATTGTACTGTCCAATTAGAGACTGAGATAACTCATGAATTATCACACAGGTTGTTCTCCTGTACAATATATATGATTTTGAGTACTAATATTACACAGTGAATTCAGAATTGTGTGTTTGTATATACATACCATAGTCTTATAAATAACTTCAACTTGCAATAATTAACTTGCAGTTAATTCTTACAGTAGCATGAGTTTGGGCCTCTTAAAAAAAGAACTAAAACCAACTCCCTGCCTGAGAATAGAAACAACACACACACACACACATACACACACACACACACACACACACAGACCAAATTGAATAATCTTGTTTTCTCACTTACAGTTGTGGGCATTCATTTATGGAGTTCTTGGCAGCTATGTTAGCATAAAACCCCACCTATAATTATCATTCATATTAGGATAATATCTCACAAATGTGGTCAGTATTGTCTTCTGCAACATTACAGTTAGTTGGTGGAATAAGTTCTAGTGTTGTACAGCACTATAGGGTAACCACAGTAAACAACAGTGTGTTGTCTTTTTTTTCAGATAGCTGGGAGAGAGGATTTTTCATGTTACCAACACAAAGAAATGATAAAGGTTTGAGGTGATGGACATGCTAATTACCCTGATTTGGTCATTATACATTGTATACATATACTGAAATATCCCACTGTACCCCATAAATATGTACAATTATTATGTGTCAAGTAAAATATGAATATATATAGTAAATAAATAAATGAAGTAATTTGCCATTACTTAACATTTCATTAAATGTATGTTTCCAAAATTATATTTGTTCTTGAGACCTTTTGAGTGATCACAGTTTCTGCTATTCTCCATAAGGCCTCAGTTTGACCCAGTGATGAAATCTTGAATAAAACACAGAGGAATGTGTTTGTATTTGTAATGCTTCCCTTGCAGGTGAAATGGCCACCAGACCCAGGCTTTCTGGAATGCATTCATTTTCTGCAGTTGAAGGGACGATCCCGGATCTGAAAGAAAGAGCCACAGTGACTCCAAGAGTGGAGCCAGGGCATGCTGGACACTGCATAGCTATGGCCACGTGTGTCACCTCCGAGGGAGATGTGAGAGAAACACAGAGGGATCGCTTGTGACTGTGCCTTCTCGATGTATGATGGACTGTTCTGCTCAAATAGTAAGTGTGAACAAGGAGCCGGTGAACATAGGAAACAAAGAATATTTCATTTGACATTATAAGGAATGAGACAATTCTAGTCACTTGAAAGTGAACTATATCTGTCGAGAATTCCTAGTTTTAATTGCGAAGAAATGTGCTTCTCTTTTTGAAAAGCCACAGGTTATTGCTTTTATATCTAATATCAGTCCTCTCTGGATCTCTCAAAGGATTTTGTGTATATCCTACCATTTTCCTTCTGTTGCTGCAGTTTGGAAGTAGTTTGTTATCAGGATTATCAAAGCATCATTGCTATTTATGACAATGACTAAGAAATGCAAGAATATTTGGAACACTGTAGAAAAAATATTTTAGCCTGGAAGGCAAATACTAATTTCAGGAACTATTGATCTGTTATAAAACAGGACCACTCAGACATTTAGCTCTAGGACTTTGGCATATCTGTTGTTGGAGGCGTATAGTGGGGGGCATGACTCAGCTTCTGCTTAAGTACAAGTTGTCTGCAGCGAAGGAAGAATTTGATTGTAGTATCAACAGAACCAGACAGAACTCTTTGAATATAATTATATATCTTGGAAACTGACTCATCAAAGCTATTAGATTACATAGCATCATTTAAGCATCGTTGGGCTCTGTACTTTTCATTATCTGTACTTTTCATTATGGAGTATAATAGGCTTTATTTGGTACAGAAATTGGGTCTAAGATGGAAACAACTTGTGATTTTTGAATAAACTTTTGGGGATTAGTTACTTTGATGTTGTCAAGATAGCAGCATAGTAAGTCCTCTGCCTTTCCTTTTGATTTATTTATAATTTAGAATCAGTTTATGATTTTAAAAAATGTGACAGACACAGTGGCATGCACCAGTAGTACCAGCCACATGGGAAACTGAGGCAGAAGGATCACTTGATCCCAGAAGATAGAGACCACCCTGGGCAACATAGTGAGAGCCCCATCTCAAAAAAAAAAAAATCAATTCCCAATACCATTCCAGAACACTTTTAATATAACCAGATGAAATTGTGATCACTTCTTTACTGTAACGTTTAAAATGGTCCTCAGTCCATATTTAAGTACAATCTTAGTGTTTCTGTGCAACCTAATATATTAGAAAGAAAAACTGTATTGCATTTGAATAGGAAATAACTCTGAATTGCGGGTTATTTCGTTTAACAGTTGCAATTAGATTGGTTAGTGACAATTATCTGTAATTTTCAGGCAATGCCTAGGCAAGTGCCCAAGACACAGTAGCCTCCTCCTTGCCTCCGTATGTGTGTGTGTGTGTGTGTGTGTGTGTGTGTGTGTATGTGTGTGTGGAGGGTGGTAACATTTCTGGGAATTTGTCTTAACATAAAATGATACCACCTTTCACAAAACGACCTAGAGGAAGTTGGAAATCTCACTATCCTGGCTTCCTGCTGAGCAATATCTGCTTCTCTTTCTGACTCAGGCTGATGCATCTGTATACTTAGCTTCACTTCTCCAGTAAATAAGGGAGAGCTTTATTATAAAAGACAACTTCTATTGATTTTCAAGGGGGTGGGTGGTTGTCAAGCTCACTCCTTTCTATGCACTGAGGGAAAATTATTGTAAGCGATCTGTAAAACAATAGATGAAAAAAGAGGAGATAAAAATTAAATAAAATTTAAATAAAAACTAGGATCCTAAGTGGGAAAATAGCTTTAAATTAGAAATTGATACCAAAAAATAATGATATGTAATCTAAGATGAAAATATTTTGAAGACTATCAGCATATCTCCCTTAAATGTTATTTAGTTCTGAAAAATATGTATTGAAGAACTGTTATATTTTACTTTATGTCTTATATTAAATGTGCTAAAATTAAAAAGAAACAAGTAGATAAAAGTAAAGATTGTATTATTATTTTATCACCCAGGTTATTTCAAGACTGGAGACATTCTTTAAATAAACCTAAATTATGACTCCTTGCACTTAAGTTTTGCTAACATAAAAAGTATGTATGATTTCGGAGATTTCTGCATATTTTGGAATGAGCTCTTCAGTTGCTTGTAATTTCCAAGAAGATTACCCATTTTACCCCTTAACTAAAACCCCTGTTCCCTTACTTCCTTGCTGCTTCACTTCATGGGGATATGTCACTGACCAGAGGAACGATCACATTGAATTTCTGAGCCACACTGTTTTGTATGGCTAGAATAAGATGCTCAAAGTATGATTTCACAAATCACATGGTTATTGCCATGCAAGGAGAATTTGTTTTCTTAAGTTCACAATGCTCGAAAAGGAGAAGAATAATGTGAACAAATCTACAGGGAATACACTCAAAAGATGAGGCACATTAACCACAGAGGGAGTGAGTTCCAAATATTAAAGTCTAGTTCCTGAAGTAGAAATGGAAGCAGACCTCTGTGGAAAGGCAAATCGAATGAAAGTTTGAGGTGCACCTTTTTTTCAAGCGAATTCTCTGGAGAGATGGTGTCTGACACCATGGAGATCCTCAAAGACACCTAGGGTCCCTTGACACCAAGTGGGTGGTGCCAGTGATGCAGGCGAGGCTTCATAGCTCAGCGGCTGACAGGGTGGGGCGCTGTTGCTGCATGAGTTCAGCCTTCCAAGAAGTGACTGGCAGGGCAGCCCTGTCACAGAATATGCTCTCCATTTTTGGAGAAGTGGCTGAGACTTACTGAAGTTCTCAAAGTGTTCAACGAACTCTTATGTTTATATGTATTTTGAAATCCAGTGGTTGAGGTCAGTAACTCACATATGATGGGTCTGATGAGCTCTGACATTGCATTCTTTCCCCGCCACGCCCCCCCCACCCCCCGCCCCAGACGGTTTCTTGCTCTGTCACCCAGGCTGGAGTGCAGTGGTGTGATCTCAGCTCACTGCAACCTCTGCCTCCTGGGTTCAAGTGATTCTGCTGCCTCAGCCTCCTGAGTAGCTGGGATTACAGGCGCACGCCACCACACCCGGCTAATTTTGTATTTTCAGTAGAGACGGGGTCTACCATGTTGGCCAGGATGGTCTCAAACTGCCTGCTCTCAAACTCCTGACCTCATGATCCTCCGTCCTCGGCCACCCAAAGTGCTGGGATTACAGGCAGAAGCCACCGCGCCCGGCAGACACTGCATTCTTGAGGGGTGGAGAGAGTACAGTCTAAGTTCTTGTTACAGCAAAACATAGCAAACTATGTAAGCCTTTGGAATAATTCCAAAACTACATAACAGACATGAGCTCCAAGCTTACTGATTTATCTGTGTGCCTTCTCTGAGGAATATCTTTTGGTTATCCTTGTGCAACATGGCAAATATTTTTCAAAGTGAATGAGAGTTAATGAGAAAATTAAATTATAAAAATATTATGGCAATGAGGTGGATCATGGCAGTGTTCAAGCTACACATAAAAAAATGACATGCCCTCCAACTTTCATTCTCTTATTTTTCAGTAATATTCAAAATATTTATTGCAAAAGTTACCATTTCAATGATGAAATTAAGATGCCTTTCAGTTCAAGTTTGGCAGTTTTACATATTTGATGTGAAACTCTGATTCGAAATGTTGCTGGGGGTCTTTAGTATTGCATATGAATAATAAAAATCAAATTTGCTATTTATATTGAAATAAGATATACAGTATTTTATATGGCAAATGTTTCTCTTCCTTTTAAGAGAAGAAGAGAAATATTAAGGTGGTTATTACTCAAGTGAATCCTACTTAAAAGTAACTTTCTAATAGTTGAGAAGTCACTTATGCATACCTACATGAGGAAGAAAGTTGAATTGACTGTCATTCATTCAGCCCAGTGGGACATCAAACTCTCCAAACCTTTCACAGTAGGAAAACAAAGCCAGGCCTCCTTAACTATGCTACATGGCAAGTCAAAACATGAACATAATATCTGAAAAAGCCTGAAAAACATCTCTGGCTAACTAGATCTCATTGCAGGCAGTGAGAGAGTGGTGGCAAATGTGAACATGTCTGTGTGGGGTGGTGGCAGGGGAATTGGAATGTACGAATCCAAGGAAAACTGACTCTTGGCAAATTACTTGTTTTGGTGCTCCTCTTCATTTTTTTTATTATGGTAGAAGACTTTGTATACAAATTTCTCACTGTACATAAAACAAGTTCTTCAGTTATTGCATTTCTGCAATATATTAAAATACATGAGAAAATCACATTAAAAAGAGGCATGATTATAGAAACAAAATGTTATTACAATACGATATCAACTTATAATTCATAATTATATTTGTAAATATCAAATTATAAGTAATTTATGAGAAATTAGAGCCAAAGCTTTTCATACTTACTTTAGTGTTTTTCTAAAGGAAATACATGGTGAAAGAACTGTAGAGAAGACATAGCTTATGATTAATCCATTTGTCTTGATACTTAACACAGTATTGGTGGTGCATTGGTTCCAGGACTCCCTGGGGATACCAAAACCCATGGATGCTTGAGTTCCTTATGTAAATGATGAAGTATTTGCATGTAACCCACACTTACACTCTCTCTTTAAATAATCTCTAGATTACTTATAATTCCCAGTGCAATGTAAACACTATATAAATCGTTGTTTTACATACTGTTTTAAAATTTGTGTTATTTTTAATTTTTGAAGATACTTTATCCATGATTGGATGAATCCATGGATGCAAAACCTATGGATAGGAAGGGCTGACTGTAACTGAGCTCAGAGATTCTGGAAAAGCACTTAAGTAATCAATATTCCAGGAAAGGGGACTTAAAATGTATCCTTGACTCTACATGAGAAGTTTTAAATACAGTTTTTTTTTTCCTTTTTAGGGAGTTTGCAGGTCAGATACAGGCTAGACTGACATCAAGATTCTGATTCCTTTTACTTTGATTTAAAAAACTTAGCTGATAGCAGTTTCACCATTTTAGAATGAACATGAAAGAAGCAATTGTAGAGGTAACGCATTAATTAAAATTATGACTTTCTAGCATCAATGACTTTACATAAACATTTGATAATAAATGACTGGGAAAAAATGCCCAACCAATGATATACATACATATATATATATGTATGTATAAGTAAGAAGTGAAGTCAAATATAATTACAGCGTTTTGTTTGGTTTTGCTTTTGTTCTTTGCTTTGCTTTTGTTTAACAATGAGAATCTATCCAAGCTATTATTAACATTTGATTACTTAGATGCCAAGTTTTGCTTTTAGTTCATAAGGAAACATAGTCGATTTTATCACTGGATACTACTGGTAGAAACTTTGAATTGATATTTCGGTGAAAACCTATTTTCATTGAATTGTCAAACCACAAATGCTATATATAATAGCAATTTAGAACAAGAAAAACAACCTGATTTTGATTAAAATGAGGATACATAATGAAAAGTCACCACAAAATAAACTTTACTCTGTTACTGGCTTTTGAAGAAAATCATTTAGATATTAAATCTATAGATAGAACATTTCTCTGCCTCATGTAATATTTTATTCTTAGTTAAAAGTTTTGAGGTATAAAGTAATGCATTGTATTTCTTTGTAGATCCTCCCAGTTATAGATATCCTATGAAGCAAAGTAAATTGGGAAAGGAGATAACAGGTGGAGTGGCAGCTTTTGGCATTCTATAAGTTGGTTAAAAATATTTTCCTCTTAGTATATAAATCTTGGAATTGATCTCTTAATCTTTTTGGTAGCACTAACAGGTGGTTTATTTTATGATTTTTTTCCCTTGGTTTTCCTTTGCTTCCTGTCTTTTTATCACAAAGTTACTCTTCATTTGAATGCTTCTATTGGAACAAATTGCTAGGTTAACAGAATGCAAGGAGACAAGTCATCCTGTCAGGTACAGAATTCATTCAGTGCTGTCAAATTTCTTGTATTGGGGAAAATTTTAGGTAGGTGGAAGAAAAACCTTTCCCTTCACATAACAGATCAAAAGTGTCATGTCACAAGCATGAGAACCATTTGTCATGCTGAAAGAAACTTCTTTTCTTAAGTTTATGAATAATTACATCATGAGTGACAATCAAGATAAAAACTGTACTTTTATCTAAGTGCACATGTAATCATGAGTAAAGTGCTTCCTGAAAGACGAGCAAGAATATTGCTTCAAAAATAATCTTACATTTATCTGTCTCACTTAGCAATCAAGCACAATGAAATGTGTTATTCTTCTAATAATTCAGGCAAGAAAAAATGTGATCAAAGTATGTGTAAAATTCATAGCTTCTGTCTGTGTCTTCATCGGTGGTCAACCCAGAAACTTTCACTTAATGAGACAACTAAGATTAAGTTTGGAATAAAAGAACGGTATGAATTAATTTTAGAATGCTATATTATTTGTCTTCTGACTTATGAACTGTATGAATTAATTTTAAAATGCTATATTATTTGTCTTCTGCCTTCATTTAATTCTTATGGAATTTGAATTTTTCATAAAAAATGGTTCTGAGCAAGTGCTGCAGTGGATACAAGATAACTGGATCCTAGCACTGGCTCTTCCATTTACAAGTTGCACCATAGACTGTGACAAGGTATCTGATATAGTTTGGCTCTTCTCTGTGTCCCCACCCAAATCTCACATTGAATTGTAATCCCCAACGTTGGGGGAGGGAACTGGTGGGAGGTAACTGGACCCTGGGGGAAGATTTCCCCCTTGATATTCTTGTGATAATGAGTTCTCTCAAGATCTAGTTGTTTAAAAGTGTGTAGCACCACCCCCTTCACTCTCTCTCCTGCTGGCCAAGTGAATATGTGCTTGCTTCCTCTTCACCTTATGCCATGATTGTAAGTTTCCTGAGGCCTCCCCAGCCATGCCTCCTGCACAGCGTATGGAACTGAGAGTCAGTTAACCCTCTTTTTAAAAATAAATTGCCCAGTCTCAGGTAGTTCTTTATAGCAATAAACTAATACAGAAAATTGGTAGCAGAGAAGTGGGACATTGCAGTAAAGATACCTGAAAATGTGGTAGTGACTTTGGAACCGGGTAGCAGGCAGAGGTTGAAACAGTTTGTAGGGATCAGAAGAAGACAGGAAGATAAGGGAAAGTTTGGAACTTCCTAGAGACTTGTTGCATGGTTGTGACCAAAATGCTGATAGTGATACGGACAGTGAAGTCCAGGCTGAAGTGATCTCAGATAGAGATGAGGAACTTATTGGGAACTGGAGTAAAGGTCACTCTTGCTATGCTTTAGCAAAGAGACTGATGGCATTGTTCCCCTGCTCTAGGGATCTATGGAAATTTGAACTTGAGAGAGGTGGTTTAGGGTATCTGTTGGAAGAAATTTCTAAGCAGCAAAGCATTCAAGAGGTGGTCTGGCTGCTTCTAAAAGCCTATGCTTATTTGCATAAACAAAGAAAATGACCTGCAACTGGGACTTACATTTAAAAGGGAAGCAGAGCATAAAAGTTCAGAAAATTTGCAGCCTGGCCATGTGGTAGAAAAGAAAACCCATCTTCTCGGGAGTAACTCAAGAAGGCTGCAGAAATTTGCATAAGTAAAGAAGAGCCGAATGTTAATAGCCAAGAGAAGGGGGAAAATGCCTCCAAGATATTTCAGAGAACTTCAAGGCAACCCCTCCCATCACAGGCCTGGACGCAAAAATGGTTTTGTGGGCCAGGCTCAGGGACCCACTGCTCTGTGCAGCCTAGGGACATGGCATCCTGCATCACGGTCACTTCAGCTCTAGCCTTGGCTAAAAGGGGCCAAGATACAGCTTGTCCATTGCTTCAGAGGGTGTAAGCCCCAAGCCTTGGTGACTTCCACATTGTGTTGGGCCTGCAGGTGTGCAGAAGGCAAGAATTGAGGTTTGGCAAACTCTACCTAGGTTTAAGAGGATGTGTGGATGTCCAGGCAGAAGTCTACTGCAAGGGTGGAGACCTCGTGGAGATCATCTACTAGGGCAGTGCAGGGGGGAAATGTGGGGTTGGAGGCCCCACACAGAGTCCCCACTGGGGCACTGCCTAGTGAAGCTATGAGAAGAGGGCCACTGTCCTCCAGATCCCAGAATGGTAGATCTGCTGACATTTTGCACCATGTGCTTGGAAAAGCCACAGGCACTCAATTCCAGCCTGAGAAAGCAGCCGTGGAGGCTGTATGATGCAAAGCTACAGGGGCAGAACTTTCTAAGGCCTTGGGAGGCCACCCATTGCATTAATGTATCCGGGATGTGAGACAAAGTCAAAGGAGATTATTTTGAAGCTTTAAAATGTAATGACTCCCCTGCTGGATTTCAGACTAGCATGGGATGTGTAGCCCTTTTGTTTTGGCCAATTTCTCTCATTTGGAATGGGAACATTTACACAATGACTGTACCCTTATTGTATCTTGGAAGTACCTAATTTGTTTTTGGTTTTATAGGCTCATAGGCAGAAAGGACTTGCCTTGTTCCAGATGACACTTGGGACTTGGACTTTTGAGTTAGTACTGGAAGGAATTAAGACTTTGGAGGACTTTTGGGAAGGCATGCTTGTGTTTTGAAATGTGAGAAGGACATGAGATTTGGCAGGGACTAGGGGTGGCATAATATGGTTTGGCTATGTGTTGCCACCCAAACCTCATGTTGAATTGGGACCTGGTGGGAGCTGATTAGATGATGGGAGCAGATTCCCCCTTGCTGTTTTCATGATAATGAGTGAGTTATCGTGAGACCTGATGTTTTAAAAATGTGTGGCACTTCCCCCTTCACTCTTTCTCTCCTGCTCTGCTATAGTAAGACATGCTTGCTTCCCCTTCACCTTCTACCATGATTGTAAGTTTCCTGAGGCTTCCTAGTTATGCTTCCTGTACAGCCTGTGGAACTGTGAGTCAATTAAACCTCTTTTCTTCATAAATTACCCAGTCTCACTGGGTGCAGTGGCTCATGCCTGTACTCCCAGCACTTTGGGAGGCTAAGGTGGGTGGATCATGAGGTCAAGAGATTGAGACCATCCTGGCCAACATGGTGAAAACCTGTGTCTACTAAAAATACAAAAATTAGCTGGGTATGTTGGCATGTGCCTGCACTCCCAGCTACTCAGGAGGCTGAGGCAGGAGAATTACTAGAACCCGGAAGGCAGAGGTTGCAGTGAGCCAAGACTGTGCCACTGCTCTCCAGCCTGGCTACAGAATGAGACTCCATCTCAAAAAAAAAAAAAAAAATTCCCCAGTCTCGGGCAGTTCTTTATAGAAGTGTGAGAACAGACTAATACAGCAACTATTCTTCTGTGTCTGTTTTTTCATCTGTAAAATTGAGGAGATTGGAATAAATGATCCCTCTATATCCCTTCTACTTTTGATGCTTTATGAATCCAGGTTAAAGTGTGTGGTACAATTTAAGAAGGCTCCTTTTAATATTTGTATATCCATTAAGGACTCTTAGCTCAGATCTTCAGTATTATTCAATGACTCTCTTTCTCTCTTCCTCCTTCTCTCTCTTTACCCTCATTCAGATCAACATATAGAACATTTCCATTACCTAGGAAGTTTCCTGTGTCCTTTCCAAAACAATCTCTTATCACCATTGATTAGTTTTGCCTTTTCTTGAACATATAAATGGAATCATACAGTATGTCATCTTGTGTCTTGCTCATTTTCCTTAGCAAAATGTTTTGATATTCCTCCAATTTTTGGTAGATATTTTTAGTTCATTCCTTTCCACTGTTATGTACTCTTCCATTATATGAATGGAATTCATACAATGGATTTGTTTATCCATTCTTTTATTGATGAATTTTTGGGTAATTTCCAATTGTTGGCTATGAATCTCCTGTATTAGCTTTGCAGCTGTAATGAAACTTTTAGTCATTTCCCTCAAGATCACAATATGTTCTCTTAAGTTATTAGTACTTTGGCCACTTCCCAAAGAATGCAAGATCCTTACAAGTTTACTTCCATGTATTTGTGTATCTCTCACCCTTGTGCCATTGTTGTAATACACTTTTTTATTGCATTTTATATTTCTACAAGATATTATTATTATTGTAGTTTTAAAAAGCTTTCATTACTATTTACTCATGTTTGCCCTTTCTCTGCACTTCATTTATTCTTGCATTCCCCCCTGCTGCTTTTGTTTTCTGGTTTTTGATTGCCAATAAGAGCTACAGAAAATCATGAAATATTTCTTTTGTTTCTATATTTAATGTTTAATTGTTTTTGTGCTTATTGTTAGTAACTTTTTGAAACACCTTTCATTCCTTTAAGTAGAGAGGCTCTTCAGCCAAATTTTTATTCCTTAATATTTCCTTTTTCTTCCAGACATTTTGTTGTTGATGAGAGCAGAAAAGATTTCCCTTTTTGGAAAACATTATCAAGCAAAATATTTTATGGGCCAATGCCTCCATAACCTGAAACAATTGAAAGAATTCTGGATTGAAATGATAGAAATTGTATTGGTTTCTGGATTTCTTGCTGTAGATTTTTTAAGAGAAAAAATGTATTAAATCTGTTTTTGAAGTGACTAAGCAACTCTACTAAAAATTGTCATGCAAGTGAAAATTGTCCTCAGCTTCTTAGGCTACCATGTGACATTTACTTCACTACTTAGCTTCACCCAAATCACGCTTTTCCCATCCCTTTCTTGCCTGAGATGCTTAATGTTTTTTCTCCTTTTTTTCTGTCAAAACCAAAGTGTATTTGTTTTTCCATGCTAAGAGTTGATAAAATATTGTCCCACTGAGGCATAAATTAGTAAGAAAATGCCAACTATTAGTTCTCCCAGTTGGTTTTATTTTTTTCATTACATTTTAGTAGGAAAAATAGGTTTTAAGTTAAAAGAAAGGAACCCAAAGATGGAGTTTCAAGACATCCAATAGGAAAGACAGATAGAAATACATTTCTGTATATAGATATGTGTACATATGTTTATACATATAAATATATAGATATGTGTGTATGTACATATTTCTGTATGAGTCATGGTCCACGTGTAATTTAAAACTATTTATGGAAATATTACATAAAGCACATTTATTTATTAAAAAGAAGGATTTCCATAGTGGAGTATAAAGTTCTTTAAACAGTTAATAGGAAGACTAGTCAGGACAGAATTAGAAAAATGTATGTGAACCATCTCCAAGATATGAGAGAATTACGTGCCAGGTGTACCATGAAACAAATTATATTAGTGTTCAATATTGCATATAAGAGTATAACATAATTATGAATATAAAATATATATTATAAATAGAATGTCATTTACCAAGGTTTTCCACCTTAAATAATACCGTTTTTTAATCTTAAAACATACATTGTAATAAGAGTTATGATGTTAAGAATTCTAAGTATAGCATGACAAAACGCTTCTATTATTTTCTTTAAAATATATATAAAAAACTTTTGCTGCTTTTTGGTGGATAATAACCCACACACATGTACACACACACACATGCATCCCCATTACCTTTTAATGGAACAAGGCAAGTCCTTTAATGGGGACACATGCATCCCTATTACCTTTTAACGGGACAGTCACCATTAAAAATGTCTGCAGTTATGTATTTCTAAAATCAGCTCTGTGGGTAAGAAATTTAATGTAGCTGCCGATTCTGTGCGGTTCTGGGGAAATAATAGTTTAAAATCTTCTAATTTGACTCTAATTTCACTTCTAACTCCAACCTGTGCTCCTGAAGCAAGACGTTTTTGGACCGTCAGCAGGCAGATGAAGGCCTGAGAGTGGTAGGAGAGCTATTGTGGGCTTTCCTACCTCAGGGCTAGAGGAGGGCTTGGAGACCGGCAAAGGAAAAGATGGACCATTTCAAGTCTCAGAGCAAAAATACTAAGAGACAAAGATGGGATGGAAAATAAAAGTGACGTGGTAATCGATAGAGGAAATTTACACAAATCTAAAAATTCTGAAAAAGAAAAAGAAGCAGAGACAATAAATATGCATCCAAAGAGAAGAAAACTCTGAGCAAATTAAAAATGTGAGCTGCACATTCCTGTTACTGGGTATATACCCAAGGGATTATAAATCATTCTACTCTAAAGACACATACACATGTATGTTTATTGCAACACTATTTACAATAGCAAAGACTTGGAACCAATCCAAATGCCCATCAATGATAGACTGGATAAAGAAAATGTGGGACATATACACCATGGAATACTATGTAGCCATAAAAGAGAATGAGTTCATGTTCTTTGCAGGGACATGGATGAATCTGGAAGTCATCATTCTCAGCAAACTCACACAGGAACACAAAATCAAACACTGCATGTTCTCACTCCTAAGTGGGAGCTGAACAATGAGAACACATGGACACAGGGAGGGGAATATCACACACTGGGGCCTGTTACGGGGTTGGGGGGCAAGGGGAGGGGGTATTAGGAGAAATACCTAATGCCTGTGGGGCTTAAAACCTAGATGATGGGGCCGGGCGCGGTGGCTCACTTCTGTAATCCCAGCACTTTGGGAGGCCGAGGCAGGCGGATCACGAGGTCAGGAGATTGAGACCATCCTGGCTAACATGGTGAAACCCCGTCTCTACTAAAAATACAAAAAATTAGTCGGGCGTAGTGGCGAGAGCCTGTAGTCCCACCTACTCTGGCGGCAGAAGCAGGAGAACGGTGTGAACCTGGGAGGCGGAGCTTGCAGTGAGCCAAGATCGCGCCACTGCACCCCAGGCTGGATGACAGTGTGAGACTATGTCTCAAAAAAAAAAAAAATCTAGATGACGGGTTGATAGGTGCAGGAAACCACCATGGAACATGTATACCTATGTAACAAACCTGCACTTTCTACGCTTGTATGCCAGAACTTAAAGTAAAAAAAAAAAAAAAAAAAAAGGCCAGGCGCGGTGGCTCACGCCTGTAATCCCAGCACTTTGGGAGGCCGAGGCAGGAGATGGAGACCATCCTGGCTAACACGGTGAAACCCGGTCTCTACTAAAAACACAAAAAATTAGCCGGGCGTGGTGGCGGGCGCCTGTAGTCCCAGCTACTCCGGAGCTTGAGGCAGGAGAATGGCGTGAACCCGGGAGGCGGAGCTTGCAGTGAGCCGAGATCGCGCCACTGCACCCCAGCCTGGGTGACAGAGCGAGACTCCGTCTCAAAATAAATAAATAAATAAATAACTAAAGTGAGCTGCAGTTTGAAAGGGCTCACCAATTTAGACTGATGGTATTTGTGTTGAGTTTCTTATATGTTTTGGATATTGACCCTTTATTAGCTGTATAGTTTGCAAATATTTTTTCCCATTCTGTGGGCTGTCCCTTCACTTTAAAGGTTTGCTGTGAAGAGGCTTTTTAGTTTGATGCCATTTTATTTCTCTCTTTTTGCTTTTTGCTTCTATTACCTGTGCTTTTTGCTTTTTGCTTTTGTTGCCTGTGCTTTTGGGGTCATATCCAAATAATCATTGCCCCAGCCAATGTTGTGGGGATTTTTCTCTGTTTTCTTTTAGTAGTTTCACAGTTTCAGATACTATGTTTAGATTTTTAATCCATTTGGGTTGATTTTTGTATGTGGTATAACATATGGATCTGATTTCATTCTCCTTCATGTGGATAGCTAGTTTTCCCCACACAATTTATTGAAGATACTGTCCTTTCCCCGTTGTGTGTTCTTGGCACCTTGGTCAAAAATCAATTGATCATACATGCATGGGTTGATTTCTAGGCTTTCTATCCTGTTTCATCAGTCAGTTTATTTTTATGCCAGTGCCATGCTATTTTCATTACAATAACTTCATAAGATTTTTGAAATTAGGGAGTGTAATGGCACCAGCTTTTTTCCTTTTGCCCAAGATCGTTTTGACTCTTTAGGGTCTTTTGTAATTCCACACAAATTTAAGGATATTTTTTATTGCTGTGAAAAATGACATTGCAATTTTGAGAGAGATTACATTGACACTGTAGATCATTTTGGGTTGTATGGACATTTTTGAAAGAGGGGTGTTGAGGTTCCATAATATTGTAGTATTGCCATTTATTTATCCCTTTATGTCATTTAATAATTGCTTTACGTATTTAGGTACTCTGATGTTGGGTGCATATATAATTACAATTGTTATGTCCTCTTGGTGAATTGACCCCTTTCTCATTATTTAGTGACCTTCTTTATCTCTTTTTACAGTTTTTGATTTAAAGACGATTTTGATTGATATAAATATAGATTCTCTTGGTCTCTTTTGATGTCTATTTGCATGGAGTATCTTTTTCCATACCTTCAGTTTCAGTCTGTATGTGTCCTCACTAGTAGAGTGAGTCTCTTGTAGGCAGCATATGGTTTTTTTAAAAAAAAAAAAATTATTCAGCTGTCCTAAGTCTCTTGGTTGGAGAATTTAATCTGTTTACATTCAAAGTAATTACTGATAGGTAAGCACTTGCTACTGCTGTTTTGTCATTCATTTTCTGAATTTTTTGTAAGTCCCTGTTTCTTTATTTCTCTCTTGTTGTTTTCTTTTTGCTTTGTGGTTACCATGAGGCTTACGTAAAATGTGTGAGCTTTATAGCAAGCTACATTAAGCTGATAATAATTGAACTTTAATCTCATACTTTCACTCCCCCCTTTTATAATTTTGATGTAAATTTTTTATTTGTTTTTGTAATTTGTATTCCTTAACAATTGCAGCTACAATTGCTTTTAATAGTTTTTCCTTTTAATCATCACAGTAAGGATACGATTGCTTTATGTATCACCCATACAGTGTTAGAGAATGAGTTTGATTATGTATTACTTAATACCATTGAGTTACTGAGATTTTTACATACATTTTTTTGTTGTTGTTAAGTAGAAACCTTCCATTTCAGCTTAAAGAACTGCCTTTAGCCATTCCTGTAAAGCAGGGATAATGTAATAGACTCCCTTAGGATTTGTTTGTCTGGGGAAGTTGGAATTCTCTCTTATTTCTTTTTTTAATCTTTTTTTTTTTTTTTTTTGAGATGGAGTCTTGCTCTGTCGCCAGACTGGAGTGCAGTGGTGCAATCTTGGCTTACTGCAACCTCTCCTTCCCAAGTTCAAGTGATTCTCCTGCCTCAGGCTCCCGAGTAGCTGGGAATACAGGTGCACGCCACCACACCCAGCTAATTTTTGTATTTTTAGTAGAAACGGGGTTTCACTGTGTTGGCCAGAATGGTCTCGATCTCCTGTCCTCGTGATCTGCCCACCTCGGCCCCCTCAAAGTGCTGGGATTACAGGCATGAGCCACCCTGCCCAGCCAATTCTCTCTTATTTTTTAAGGACAACTTTGCCAAGTAAAAAATTCCTGGTTGGCAGTTCTTTTTCTTCTGCACTTTAAATATATCACCCCAATCTCTCTTGGCCTGCAGAGTTTCTGCTAAGAAGTCAACTGAAAGTCATATTGTGGTTCCCTTGAATGTGATATGTTTCTTATCTCTTGCTGCTTTCAGTTTTGTTTCTTTGTCTTTGATTTTTGATAAATTGATTATGTTTTATCTTGGTAAATTCCTTTTTGAGTGGAATTTGATTGGAGACTTTTGAGCTTCCTGTATTTAGATGTTGTCATCTTTCCCCAGATTGGGGAAATGTTCAGCCATTTTCTTAAATATCCTTTTTGGGCCTTCTTCTCTATCTTCTTCTGAATCTCTGATTATGTGAATATTAGTTTGCCTGATGGTATCTCATAATTCCTGCAGGCCTTCTTTATTCTTTTTCTTTTTGCTCTTCAGACTGGATAATTTCAAGATACCTATCTTTGAATTCAGTGATCCTTTCTTTTGCTTGATCAAGTCTGCTGTCAAAGCTTTCCATTGACATTTTCAGTTAAATTATTGTATTCTTTATGTCTCAGATTTCTATTTGGTTTCTATTTATCATCTCTAGTTCTTTGTCAATTTCTCATTTTGTTCATGAATTGGTTTCAAACTTAATTTAATTTAATTGGAGTTCCCTGAACTTCTTTAAGGGGGTTATCCTGAACTCTTTGTCAGTCATTTTATAGATCACCTTATATTCCAGATCTATTATCTGATCTTTATTATTTTCTTTTAGTGGTATCATATTTCCCTGACTTTTCATAATACTTCTGTCTTGCATTGATGCTTCTGTGTTTGAGGAGACGGCCACCTCTTCCAGGCCTTGACAGATCTTTACTACTTCGTAGGAAGGGATTCTGGATGTGTTAGCTGGCAATGACCCTGGACGGGCAGAGCTTGGTGTCAGGTTCTCTAGTTGGGCTGTGTCACTTCCTGAGCCCTAAGGTTGAATGGTACTGCTAACTGGACTCTGCAGTTCACTCTGATCAGGCAGGATCGTAGGCTGTCTCCGCTGGTTGGATGGTATTGTTGTTTAGAATCTGTAGTTGAACAGGCCTCTGGGCTGAGCTCTATGGTCACCTAAAGACTCTGGTGTTGTTGCTCAGCTACACAGGGCTGATTAGGGCTAGAAGCCATTATGCCCCACACATATGTGCGGACTTGATCTTGTCTCCTGGCCTAAGGTAGGCTTAAACAAAGCTTAGTGGAGTTCCTGGTCAGCTGCTGGTGCTGGGTGGGGACCAGATGTACCCTCTGCAGAGAAGTGCTGACTTTCACTTGCCTTCTAGCCTGGGCAATGCTGTAGAAAGCACCAGGTCTATGTAGGAAAGCTGGCGAGGGATGCTAGCTGGGTACACCTGTGAGCTGTACTTCCTGCGGTACAATGCTGTTGGCTAATCTCTCTCATATGATGCCTCCATTAGCCAGAATGCAGACTAACTACACGCTAGTCTCTGTGAGATCTACTCCCATTCTTTGTTTCTAGCTGACTCCAGGTGGTCTATCCCCGATGGCACTCCTAATGTTTCCTGTGGTATAAGACAAGGGTGAGCCTCCTGTGAAGGGTCCTAGAATGGTGGGCAAGCTGAATGTCCACCTCCAACTTTCTTTTCCCACTGTAGAAATTGTGGGTCTGGTGAAATCCTCTGTGTGTCATGCTATGCCAGCTTGGTGGAGGGGTGGCATGCTCAAAATGAACTGTTCCTCTTACTCTTCAAAGCACAGCTTTTCTTAGTTCTGCAGTACAATTGGGTGTCTCAGTCTCACTCCTGAGTTCTGGGATATTCAGAAAGGTATTCTTGCCTGTGGATAGTTGCTAGTTGGATTTCCGTGTGGGGGTGTGGAGCTGGAGAAATTCTATTCTGCCACCTTGTGAAGTCATTCTCTGGAATAATTTTAGATTTACATAGAGTTGCAAAGATGGTAAAGACAGTTTCTATACACTCTTCACTTAGTTTCTTCTGATGTTAACCTCTTACTTTACCATGGCACATTTATTAAAAATAAGAAATTAACATTGTACAATACTATTACCTAAATGACAGGCTATATTTAACCAGTTTTTCATTCTTGAGAGGAATTCTTACTCTAATGCCTAGGCTGGAGTGCAGTGGTGCGATCTTGGCTCACTGTAACCTCAACCTCCTGGTTTCAAGTGATTTTCATTCCTCAGCCACCCGAGCAGCTGGGATGACAGGTGCCCAACACCACATCCGGCTAATTTTTGCATTTTTATTAGAGATGGGATTTCACCATGCTGGCCAGGCTGGTCTCAGACTCCTGACCTCAGGTGATCCACCTGCCTTGGCCTCCCAAAGTGCTGGGATTACAGGAGTGAGCCACCGTGCCCGGCCCACATTTCACCAGTTTGTTTTTGTTTTTGTTTTTGTTTTTAACTAATTTCTTCTCTTTGTTCCCAGGTACCATCAAGGATCTCATATTGTGTTTAGTCTTCATGTCTCCTTAGTCGACTTCAATTAGGGACAATCTCTCTGTCTTTCCTAGCTTTGACACTTTGAAGACCACTGACCAGATATTTTTTAGAATGTGCATCAAATGATTTGGGTTCATCTGATGTTTTCTCTTGATTAAAGTGGGGTTGTAAATTTTGAGGAAGAATTTCACATAGTTGAAGTGACCTTCCCATTGTGTCACGGTGGTGTGAGGTAGCCATATGACTTTTCATTGTTGATGTTAACCTTGATTACTTGGCTATGTTGGTGACTTGATGGTTTCCTCCACTACAAAATTACAGTTTTTACTTTTCCATATTCCATTTCTTAAAGGCAGTCATTAAGACCAACCTGCAAGACTGGGCACAGTGGCTCATGTCTGTAATTCCAGGACTTTGAGAGACCAAGGTGGGCAGATTGCTTGAGCCCAGAAGTTCAAAACCAGCCTGGACAACATGGTGAAACCCCATCTCTACAAAGATACAAAAATTAGCCAGGTGTGGTGGAGTGCACCTGTAGTCTCAGCAATGTGGGAGGCTGAGGTGGGAGGATCACTTGAGTCTGGGATGTTGGGGTTGCAGTGAGCTGTGATTGTGCCAATGCACTTCGGCCTGGATGACAGAGGAAGACCTTATCTCAAAAACAAAAACCCAAACCACAAAAACAAGACTAACTTGCAAGCCACATGAGGGGAATTCAACTTCACCTTAATTCAAAATCACCAGAGTAATTAACAAATATTTAAAGAATTTTTCAATGGTTATAGAATTCTGGGTTGATAGGTTTTTAAGAATTCTTTTATGACTTCAAAAGTGTCACTTCGTTTCTTGCTTGCATGGTTTCTGATATGAAGTCAGCTCCCATTCTTAACCTTGTTTCTTGTTTGATAATGTCTTTTTGCCTCTAGCTTCCTCAAGATGTTTCTCTTTTGAGAAAAATGAGAGATTTTCAGTTTTTGTGTTGATTTCTCTTTGTCTCTGGTTTTCAGCTATTTGAACACATTCCATATCACTTTAAGATTTCTTCATCGGGGGTCACTGGACACATGTGTCACAATTAACAAAGGGGAACACATTCTCCAAATGTGTTCTGTTTCCCCAGGAAGACAGCTGGAAATGCAACAAAATGCCTCTCCCTCTCCTTTAGCAAAACACGAGTCAGGGCAATGCAAGATTTGATTGGGACTGCTTTACTTCATTAACTATTACAGTGCGCTGTTTTTCTTTCTAGTAACAACCCAGTAATAGTTATTAAATTATTTGGAGCTAAATAAGTGTAATGGTAATTTTCATTTAAAGTTTGCTATATGGTAGCTTAGAGCATCTTACCTGTACACAGTTCCAAACGCAGAAAACCTAAATGAAATTAACATATATGTATCATTACAGGTTCTCAAAACCTCATAAATGGCTCTATTTTACATCTCTGAGCTCTTATATGATGTTTCCTTTAACTATGTCACAAGACCTAAGACTATGGTTTGAAATATATACCTACTATAAAAAAGTAAGCCTTCCTGCTGGTGTCAATAGATAAAAACAAAACAGACAAAACGACAACCAAAAATGCCCAGAAATCCTTTTTTTTTTTTTTTTTTTTTTGAGATGGAGTCTCACTCTGTCACCCAGGCTGGAGTGCAGTGGCGCGATCTCAGCTCACTGCAACCTCCGCCTCCCAGGTTCAAGCAGTTCTCCTACCTCAGCCTCCTGAGTAGCTGGGACTACAAGCGCCCACCACCATGCCTGGCTATTTTTTTTGTGTATTTTTATAGATACAGGGTTTCACTGTGTTAGCCAGGATGGTCTCGATCTCCTGATCTCGTGATCTGCCCACCTCGGCCTCCCAAAGTGCTGGAAACCCTGTTTTTAAATGCATATTTGCATTCATAATAACCCGTGAATACATACATCTATTGATCTATGTATTCATGCATCTCTATATGTAAATGTCTGTCCAAAATGCCACTATATATATATTTATATATTAAACTTTTATTTTAAGTTTGGGTTACATGTGCAGGTTTGTTATATAGGTAAACGCGTGTCATAGGGGTTTGTTGTACAGATTATTTCATCACTCAGGTATTAAGCCTAGTAACCAATAGTTATTTTTTGTACCCCTTTCCCTCCTCCCACCCTCCACTCTCAGGTAGGCCCCAGTGTATGTCGTTCCCCTCTATGTATCCATGTGTTCTCATCGTTTAACTCCCACTTGTAGGTGAGAAGATGCGGTATTTTGTTTTCAGTTCCTGTGTTAGTTTGCTAAGGATAATGGCCTCCAGCTTCATCATGTTCCTGAAAAGGACATGATCTCATTCTTTTTTATAGTTGCATAGTATTCCACTATTCCACGGTGTATATGTACCACAATATGTTCAATTTTAGTTTATTACAACTTATATGCAACATACAATGGCAAGATGAATCAGATCAGAAGATAAACAATTGAGTGTGAAAAGACAGCAGTTTTTTTCCTGTTTTATTCTCTGCAGATGTAATTTTCAACGAGAATACATTTTATTGCATTAGTAGTGCTTTTAGAAGAGACATCAATATGATGCCCAGGCTGGTCTTGAACTCCTGGTCTTAAGTGATGCTCCCTCCTAAGCTTCCCAAAGTGGTAAATTGTACTTCCTGAGGGCATAGAAAAGAGACATAGAAGCAAGTGAAATTGGTATTACCCTTTTTTCTGTTATTCTTTATTAGTAAAACAAATTAGGTTTTTCTTTCCTTGGTTTTCATGTGTCCAAGCTCCTTTCTCTTTCATTTCACATGTGCACAAATATAATAACATACACTTTTGAACATCAAAAGTTGAATGATGAAAGATCATTCGTTAGCCCAAATCAACCTGCACATGACTTTTTTTTTATTCCTCTGAGAGTTAGCCTGTGGAAAGGTGGCAGGGTTTCATTGCATTATCCCCTGCAGATGGAAAGGTCAATGACAACATGTGTAATTGCTTCAGTCCTGATTTTCTACCTACACTTACTGCTGTGGGGTTGTTTCACCTGACCAAGGCAGTTTCTGTGGCAGCAGGTCCTAGCTGTCTCGACCAGGTCCACTGACAAAGCCACTTTGCTGAGTGGCCAATTTGCTGATGACTATTTTGTTAAATTTGTTTCTGCTAACTATTTAAGGTTGACTCATTTTCTTGTGTCATAGTCTCAGCAAATGTGAAGGGATGGCTGGTCTATCTCTGACCTGGCTTTCTGCTTTGACAGATGGAAGCTAAAAGAAAAAAGGAAAAACTGATGGTGCAAAAGATAAACATATTTATATGAGTTTATTCTTGAATAAAATGATTTATTTTTAAAATATATTCTTGATATGATTTGGCTGTGTCCCCACCCAAATCTCATCTTAACTTGTGGTTCCCATAATCCCCATGTGTTGTGGGAAGGACCCAGTGGGAGGTAATTGAATCATGGGGACGGTTACTTCCATGCTGCTGTTCTCATAATAGTGAGTGAGTTCTCGCGAGAACTGATGGTTTTATAAGGGGCTTTTCCCCCATTTGCTCAGCACTTCTCCTTTCTGCCATCATGTGAAGGAGGACATGTTTGCTTCCCCTTCTGCCATGATTTTAAGTTTCCTGAGGCCTCCCCAGCCATGCTGAACTGTGAGTCAATTAAAACTCCCTTTTACAAATTACCGAGTCTCGAGTATGCCTTTATTAGCAGCGTGAGAACGGACTAATACGATTCTTCCGATGAATATATTCTTCTCATTCATAAATGCTTGATGTAAATGCTTAATTTTTCCTCTAGGTGCCTTCAAGATTTTTCTCATTGTCTGTGGTTTTCAGCAATTTGGATACCTTACATATCGTTTTTATGAATCTTCCACAGAGATCAGTGGACACATGTGGCACAAAGAACATGTGAATTAAGAATGCACTCCTGAATAATATATTTTACATATATGTTATTGAGCATATTCTTAAATATAAATAATTTCTTGTGAATATATTTTGATTAATAAAAATATATTAATAAATGTTAACTCATGCATATTCTTCTTACTCAAAAATATGTTCTTATATTAATTACTCCCTCTCTCTTCCTCCTAGTCTCCAAAGGTAACATCAGGGGCTAGAACAGAGACACAGAAATGTTCCTTAAAATGTCAAAATGAAATATTGTCTATTAAAACAGAAGAATTAAAATAAACAAGAGAAGTTAGGTATTGGTCATCTGATATTTGTAACCTGCAGCTTTCCCAGGAAACTTGGTTGGACCCTTTTCTTGATTCAGCTGTCAGAAGCTAAATGTTCCCTTCCTCTCTCTCTTTGCAGTCTGTTCATGACATTTGGTATTCCTAATATGCCCACTTGGAGGAAATTGCCAGCTTAGGCCAACCAGGGTGAAATGCATGCACTTATAAACTCATAAGCCCAATAATAATTTTCAGAAGGAGGCACTCATTCACTTCGGCTTATAAACTTGCAAATCTGTAGATTCATTAGTCTATCACTTACATGGAAAGACAAAATTTATATTTAATTGTTGAGACTTGACTTCAAAATTTTCAAGAATATCAACATTTGTTTTTGTTGTGCACCTCTCTGTCAAAAGATAAATACGTAGTACATAATCATTATTATTTATTAATAATATACTCTGCATGGTCTTACATTTCACAGTTCATGCATTGTTTATTCATTAATATAACCTGTTAACGTTAATATGCACCACATTACCGAGAGCCCTTGTCAACTCCTCAGAAGCAACTAACTCCCAAGGTAACTATGACAACGAATCTCTTAATGCTTAAAGTGTAACAAAAAGATTGTGTGATTTGGATGTTAATTCAAATATTTCCTATACAGCCCCATACAGCCACTTTAGAAGGGAAGTGGTTTCTCACAAAACTAAGTATATTGTCACCATAAGATCCAGTAATTGTGTCTTGGCATTTAACCAAAGGTATGGAAAACTGAGGTCAACACAAAAATCTGCACATTGATGTTTATAGGAGTTTTATTCATAATTGCCCAAAGGTGGAAGCAACTTCAGTAAGTGAATGGATAAACAAACTCTGGTACACTCATACAATAGAATGTTATTAAGTGATAAAAAGGTACACACTATTTAACTATGAGTAGACATGGAAAAAAAAAACCTTAAATGCCCATCGCTAAGTGAAAGAAGCCGATCTGAAAAGAGTACATACTGTGTAAGCCGAACTATATGACATTCTTTAAAAGGCAGAACGATGAAGACAATGAAAAGCACAGTTGTTGCCAGGGATTTGCAGGGAGAAGGAGGGATGAATAGGTGGAACACAGGGGATTTTTAGGGCAGTGAAACCATTCTGTAAAATGTCATGGTGGATATATGACATTACACATTTTCCAAACCCATAGAATGTACAACACAAACAGTACACCTTAATGAAACTGTTGATTTTAGTTAATAATAATAATGTATCAATATTGGCTCATTAATTGTAACAAATACACCAGACGAATGCAAGATATCTTAATAATAGGTATGATGAGCTAGGGAGGGTTTAAGGAACACTCTGTATTGTCTGCTCAATTTTCTTGTAAATGTAAAACTGCCTCCAAAAATAATGTCTTTTTATTAAAGGAAAACATGCTGCTACCACTATGTGCTTAGTGTCCTATGCATTTCAAGTCTGGGTGGTATGTCTAGCAGAAATATATTAACATGTCCCAGGCTGATGGTATTGAATAAAGGATTTAGATGGCCATAAAAAATGGATTTTGTATAATGGATTTCTGAGTTGATAAGAAAGCAGTATGAGTATATCACCATAATACAAAACTTAGTGATTTGAAATAAGGCAAACATATCATCAATTTTGCCAGTGTAATGATAACACACACACTGTATAAACAGATATTGGAACATCAGTTTGTCACTGGTTGTTCAGGATGTAGAATATACATCAACTTAAATTTTCACATTTAGTAAAGCTCTAGCTTCCTCTTATGCTAGCTCCATAAATAAGACAAATTTTTTCTTTCATCCTCTTTGATGGCCAATGCCGGCCTAAACTCTTGCCTGTTAGGAATTAGTACACATCTCCTAGCTCAGAGACACCTACACGAGTGACTCTTGGCCAGTGGAACCTGGTTCACTGTGCCCTCCAGTGTGGGGCCAGGCATTGTTCCTCTCCCTTGCTTGGCATCCCAGTCTTGTGGGCCCTCTTTCAGTTGTTCATTCACTCCCTGCTTCCTCTCTTCACAAAAACTACTCTGTTGACCTTGGTTTAGAATTCTCTACCCACCCTCCACCCACCTCTTTATGCTGATCCTGTCCTTGTCCTGTCTTGCAAGGCTCAACAGTTAAGTCTCAGGGCAGCCTTCCCTCACCCTTCAGTCCTGCCGCTTTATATAACCATCCTGTAGACTCCTGCTATTTTCCATCAGCCTGAGAGCCTCAGTTCCCTGGTGTGATAATGTGACTAAAGTCAGCCTCACCTAATTAAACAGGGAGCCCCCAGAAAGCAGGGCTCACTGTCATTCGGCAGTACCTGCCCTGAGTCTGGCCCATCCTTGCTGCAGCTCAGGAGAACTCAGCAGCCCAGGACAGCACCTTCGTAGGGCTCAGCAATACAGCTGGAACTAAGGGAGGGAGGAAAAGAAAGAGGCAGAGAATAAATGAATCAACTTAGCCAGAATTTTACAGTCAGAAAATCTACAAAGAAGTGGGTTTAGTTTCAGGATATATTTGCTTTTAAAGACAAAATGACATTTTAATGCTGTTATTAGTGGTAGGGAATGGGTGACATGTCCATGTGTTGGTGCTTGAGGTCACTAAACAACTTAACATAGCTCTGAGTAGAGGTTTCAAAGAGAGTTTTCGATGAAATGATTTGTTTTACAAAATAGGGCACATTATCTCCTGTTTTGTTGTGGAAACAAAACCCATAGAATAATTTCCCTTTTAAGCAATTCTTCTTTGTTTCTACTGAGGGAAGCTGAACTAGGAATACACCGTGTTAGATCAGGAGAGATTCAAGACAGACATTGGGAAGAATTTTCTAGCTGGGGTGTTGTTAATCACTTTCGCACAGTAAAAAAGCCTGCAGAGCAGCCTTTTTTTTGATGAGAGTTAAGGCAATAAGACAATTAATAGTCTAACCCAGTAACAGCTGAATTGACCAGATATCCTTCAAGACTTCTCAGAGACTTCCTCAGCACATGGACTTGAGCTCTTACATAATGTTCTCATTCACAGACTGCATTGTGCCTGCAATCTCATGTGTCATTATTATTAGTAGTAATAGTATTTTAGACGGAGTCTCACTCTGTCGCCAGGCTGGACTGCAGTGGCATGATCTCGGCTCATTGCGACCCCCGCCTCCTGGGTTCAAGCGATTCTCCTGCCTCAGCCTGCCAAGTAGCTGGGATTACAAGCGCCTGCCACCACACCCAGCTAATTTTTGTATTTTTAGTGGAGACGGGGTTTCACCACGTTAGCCAGGATGGTCTCGATCTCCTGACTTCGTGATCTGCCTGTCTCGGCCTCTCAAAGTGTTGGGATTACAGGCGTGAGCCACCGCGTCCGGCCCCATCTGTTATTATTCAAGGTATTTTAGTGCATCACCGCACACACGATCTTGGGTCTCGCCATTATTTTGTTATCCCTGTACTTGAAGAAGAGAGACATTCTGACTGGCATTAACTCAACATTTTGTGTGATGGACTACTACATATGGCTCGGAACGCATTTTTGTTTGCTATATAGAAATGATCTTCTCTTCGGTGTGATAAATAATACAGCTAAAAGTCTCAGAATTAATCAAACTTACCATCAATTAATTTCAAATTTTTGACTAGTTTCCTTAAGTATTTAAATTATTATGATTTGCAAAATAACCTTGAAAGTCATTCAGTCAGAATGGCTTTGAAATAAAATCATCATATGTTAAAGTAAGAAATTATATCCTACCTAATAAGGACAATAGATACATTAAAATAGTCTCATCAAGTATTTGTCTTTAGTTAGTAGTTATTTCTCCAAGAAAGTATTAACTTCAATTTTGAACAAAGTTTTCTTTCTTTTTCTGGCAGTATCAGCCTTTTGCCAAGCTGAACACAAGGGGATGAAAAGAAAATCTGGGCTCGAATGTGCAATTTCATATTTTATGTTAAGGCAATTTACAACATATCATAAAGCTGCATTAATAAACAGATGTTTCACAGTCTGCAGAATATAAAATAAATGTCTTGAATAAGCTACCAAGACCAAGGCACTTTTTGGAGCAGATATTTTTGTCTTAAAGTTTTATCTCATGCAAACACTGTATATAACACAAACTTATATAATCAATGCTTTTAGCAAAATGTCATAGTAGAACCAAAGCCCAATTGTTAGCTGAAATCTATATAAATATAGGTATGTAGAATAGTTAGGAAATATAAATATTAGCATATGCTCTTTATTGTTGATGATATCAAGAATTCTTTTATGAACTCAGAAAAGTTTTTTCTCTTTATATTCAAAATGAATTTTTCTAATTACTTTCTTTTTCACAGGGTTCTCCCTGTCTGCAAATTATAACCATTACAGCTATTTCTTTCAAGTAAATATCTCCTTTGAATCAGTCTTAGTTTCTCCAACACCTAGACAATGCCTGGCACATGTAAAGGCATTCAGAATACAAGTAAATGCATGCATAAAATGAATAAATATATTTACAAGATATTTATAGACATGTCATAGGAATGTGGGGGCCAAGAAGAGGGATTCTAGCTTTTGGGTAGATACAATTGCAGATAATAACAATAACTTACAAGGTGCCTAAAATATCAAGTTACCGTTCTAAATGTGTTAGATCTATTGGTTCATATAGTGCTTGCAAAAGCCCTTGAAGTATAGTTTTATTATACTTACCATTATATAAATAGAGAAACTAAGGCAGGGAGAGGTTATGTTGTTCCAGGTTCACGTGACAATTCAATGGCAGAGCTTGATTCAAATTTCATACTTTTAACTTACGTACAATTTTGCCTACCATCAAGACATTCTTCTTGCTGAATGGAAAAAGGCCCTCAAAGGGAATTTATGGAGTACTATTACACATAAATAACTCTGCATATAAGTAATTCTTCTGTGGAATGATTTCATCTTATATTCTCAGAGAATGACACATTTTATGTCAAATAAATACAGGAGAAAGAAAATGATTTTATAAATGTTACTAACACTATCCTAACAAATGGAAGAGATATGATAAACTTTACATTCTAATTTGAAATTTATGAAAATGATACACAAAACACTGTTTTGAGTAGACTCTATGTCTTATTTTTGTGAGGCCAAAATATCTAATACATTTATTTTATGAAATAAATGCTTAGGGATTATTTTATTTGTTGTTGTAAGGAATTATGCCTACTGAAATGGACAAAGCATTGTGATTAGTGTTGGGTCTTTTGGCTCAGACTCACCTAAAGGGAACAAAGAGGAACAACCAGATGGTGAAACGGAGGTTCCTCCATCCTCTGATAGCTTGACTACCATTGCATTTTAGTAAATCCTTAAATCGTATACTATGCTTATGACAACTTAATTTTTTTTGTAATTGATGATGGAGTTGATAAGTTCTTGTATACCCTTGCTTGTTAGATCAGGAGAGACTCAGGACAGACATCAGGAAGAATTTTCTAGCTGGGGTGTTGTTAATCACTTGCCCACAGTAAAAAAAAAGCCTGCAGAGCAGTCTTTTTTTGATGAGAGTTAAGGCAATAAGACAATTAATAGTCTAACCCAGTAACAGCTGAATTGGCCAGATATCCTTTAAGGCTTCTCAGAAGCCTCCTCAGCACATGAACTTGAGCTCTTACATAATTTTCTCATTCATAGTGACTGCATTGTGCTTGCAATCTCATGTCCTATTATTTAAGGTACTTAGTGAATCACTGCATACATGACCTTAGGTCTTGCCATTATTTTGTAATCCCTGTACTGGAAGAAGAGAGACATTCTGACTGGCATTAACTCAACATTTTGTGTGATGAACTATTACATGTGGCTCAGAATGCATTTTTGTTTGCTATACAGAAATGATCTGTTAATTATATGTGATAAACAATACTGCTAAAAATCTCAGAATTAATCAAACTTACCATCAATTAATTTCAAATGTTCACTAATTATTAGCGAGAGAGGAGTGTTGAATTATCTAATCATAATTGTACATTTGTTGATTTCTTCTTTTAGTTCAATTAATGTTTGCCTTTTGCCAAATTTGGGTAATTTTTCCTGTTAGGTTTTCAAAATTCTTTCAGCACTGCGCTCCTTTTCATTTTCTCCTTCTGAGACTCAGATGACATGTATGTTGGAACTTTAGTTATTGTTCCTCAAGTCTCTAAGGCTCTAATCGAGACTTTTTCATCTTTCTTTCTCTCTATTGTTCAGATTAGATAATTCCTGTTGATTTATATTCACGATAACAGATTCTTACCTCTTTAGTTTTACTGTAATAAAAAGCTTACTTAGAATTTTGTATGTCAGTTATTGGATTTTTTGGTCCTAATATATTCATTTTGTTCCTTTTTACATCTTCTATTTATTTTCTGATACTTCTAGTTTTCCATTGGTATACAAGTGTTTGTGACCGGGCATGGTGGCTCACGCCTGTAATCCCAACACTTTGGGAGGCCGAGGCGGGCAGATCATGAGGTCAAGAGATCAAGACCATCTGGCCAACATGGTGAAACCCCTTCTCTACTAAAAATACAAAAATTAGCTGGACGTGGTGGCGCATGCTTGTAGTTCCAGCTCATTGGTAGGCTGAGGCAGGAGAATCGTTTGAACCCGGCAGGCCGAGGTTGCAGTGAGCCTAGATTGCGCCACTGCACTGTTGCCTGGGTGACAGTGTGAGACTCCGTCCCAAGGAAAAAAAAAAGTGCTTGCGACCACTTGTTGGAACATTTTTATAAAAGCTGCTTTAAAATCCTTGTGATGTAATTCAAATTTATTTTTCTTCTCAGTATTGGTAGCTACTTAGTACTGACTGTCTTTTCTCATGTGGGGTGCAGTTTATCTGTTTTTTTGTAATTTTGGATTGTGTCATGCACATTCAGTTTTGAGGCTCTGGGTCCTCACAAAATATTAGGCGGATGGATGCTGTTTTTGTTTTAGAAGCAATTGACCTTGTCATATTCAAGCTGCAAGTTCCAATCTGTGTTTTGTGAGCTGTGGTTCCAACAATCAGTTGAGTTTTCAAAGCCTTTCCAGTTTTCTTCAGATGTGTCCTGGTGGTCAGTGTGGAAGTCGGATGATAATCTGCTAGTTTCGTTCTCAAAATCTTTGGTTAACTAATTAGGAGCCGATCCACACACATGCAGCTTGGGGATGCGCTCAGTTCATTAAAAACTTTATGGTGTCACTTTCTCATACTCCTTCCTCTCCACAATGTCTCCAATATTTTCTGGTTCCCTGGAGCTCCTCTTTTCTGTTTTCTGGCCAGAATGCTGGGTCTTTGATTACGGTACTCTGCTACAGTGTTTCATGGCTGCACCCATGTTTGGAGCCGACAGGTGGCAAAATGAGAAAAGACTTTAAAAAGTTTGCATCACCCTCTTGGGATCACTACTGCACCAACTGGAGAGGAAGATGCCCTGGCCTGAGGGTTTTGTTTCTCCTAGGCACTGCCTGCTGCTGTCACCACAGGAATTCTTGGGGGCCAGATCACAAGGGCTCAGAGAAAACAAACAACAACAAAACGGAGGGATTTCTGCATTCTCTCGGAGTAATAGGTGTCCTCTTTCCTGCCCAAACTTGTAGGGCTTATCCTTGATCTCAGCAATTGCTGAGAAACTGTTCCACCCTTTACATGGAAAACAGACTTTCTTGTTTGCCTCATCCCTACCAGTGTCTTTCTCTCTACACCTAAGTTCAATTACCAGCTGCCCTTTATCATTGAACTTGATGCTTTCTTCTCATAGTAGAATTAAGAGGAAAGTAAAATATTTTTTGTACCTATATCTTTATTATATTTAGACAAATCACAGAGTGAGAGAGTAGGGGTTTCAAGAACAATAGGAGAGAGACAGAGAACAGAGAAAGAACTGCTTGTGGAAATGCAGAATATCCCACATTTTCAATGTGGAAAGTGTATGAGGGTCTGAAAGAAAATAATCAGTTTTTTTTTGTCCTGTAATAGGCAGCATTGACAAATGTGTACCAGAGTTTGGGTACATTTGAGCCAGTTCTTCAGAATCGTGGGGTGGGAAATAGAAGAAAATTATTTACACCTAACTCTAGGCAGATAAGTGTGCTTCAAGGAAAGGCAAGGGCCTGGCTAGATTCTAGATGTTTTTAAACTGGAGGCCAGAGACAGCTTTAGGGAGTCTATATACAGGCACAAATTTATTTCTTTTATATTATTCTTGCTCTTTGAAAACGGTCTTTATGCAAATACACACTATATAACCAAAGTTTCTCTTTGTTCCAGACAGCAGTAGGGCTGATTGGAGCCATTGTACAGTGTCAGGAACATACCAGCACACTGAGAATAGCATCATGTCATAAGGACCCAGAGCAGGTGGACCCTGCTGTGATGCACAAAGGTGAGGGTGCAGCTGCCCAGGACACACTCATGCATGTTTGTGTGGACCATGGAAGATGGCAGGGGAAGAGCTGTCAGGTTGTTGGGGCAGAGGGTGCGCATGAGTACTCGCCTGTAAGTCATGTTGTAGAATCACCTCGCACAGCCGCTGTATCTTCCCACCAGCATCACCAGATAACTCCCTTATCGTCACTTCAATAATGCTTGATTTTGTCTGACTTTTTTATGTTTACCAGTTCAGATAAAGAGAATTGCACTCTCATCATTGCTATAATGTACACTTTTTTGACTACTAACGAGTCTGAGAATCTTTAGATACATTTGTTAGTCATTAATGTTTTTTCTCTCTCTTTTTTCTGTTTTTGAGATGGAGTCTTACTCTGTCACCAGGCTGGAGTGCAGTGGCATGATCTCAGCTCACTGCAACCTCTGCCTCCTGGGTTCAAGTGATTCTCCTGCCTCAGCCTCCCGAGTAGCTGGGGCTACAGGTGCCCCCCACCACACCCAGCTAATTTTTGTATGTTTAGTAGAGACGGGGTTTCACCATGTTGGCCAGGCTGGTCTCAAACTCCTGACCTAGTGATCCATCTGCCTCGGCCTCCCAGAGTGCTGGGATTACAGGTGTGAGCCACCGCGCCCGGCCATGTTTTCTCTTCTTAATCTGTTTGTACTTTCATTTACTTTTTCTTTCTTTTTTAATAAGAGGTTTTTATTTTGGATATCAATCTTTATATCTTCAGTAATGTTGTAAATATCTTTTTGTTCCCACTAGCTTTTCTTGCAAACTTTTATTCCTAGTGTCTTGTTGCACAGAAATTTTATTTTATTATGGTCAATTTTGTCGGCCTTTATCTTTATAATTTGTATGGGGTTCTTTTCTTGTTTGTTTTTGATTTGTATAAAAGTGATTTTTTTACCCTAAAGTCAAAAGTTAAAATTTAATGTTTTCTTCCTATTTCAGAGGACCATGCAAGATATGATAAAGATCTATGTCACTGAATTTTGGTTCTGTATTTGTATCTCAGCTTCCCGGAAATAAAAAAGAATTCTAACATTCATACTTTCAGTATTTTATGTGACAGGTTTTGTTGTCAAAATCAAGTCTGAGAGCAATGTTTATTGGGGCCTTTAATTGGAGTCACCAAGCGATAAAGGGGACATTGTTTTCAACAATAACCCTATAATAAACACGTTTTGGACAATAAATATATAACAGTTTCTTAAAAGCAATTTCTTGGGCAATCAAGACAATATGGCTTGAGTATGGAGTTATATGATGGTCTGGATTAATCCAGTATTAAATCTCTGGTTATTACAGAAATCAATGGAGCCTATTCTTCCAAATAATCCTTAAATGTTACTTATCTCAACTGAGATTTTGGTGAAAATTTAGCTTTAGAGCTTTTATTGACCTGCCAATGACCTGAAGTTAAGATTATTCTTTTCCACCGAATGAAGACAAACCACCTCATAAAAATTAACCCAGAAGGCTGTAGAGGTGATTTGTTTTCTTCATTTCTGATGACAGTTAAATAGCTTGACTAAAACTCTTGGTTCCCTAAATGGCTTTTCTGCTTTTGGATGGTGGTAGCCTGGGGAACGTAAGGAAAGCAGATGTCTCCCAAAACTGGGAATAAAATACATGGTTTATTCCAATACATTCAAGGAAACCCCATTTCCAAGCTCTTTAAACTAAAACATTACTGTAAACATGTTGGCCTAAAATTTTTCAGAGCTAGAAATTTTCAGAGCAATAGCTGCCAGTTGCCACCATGTTAGGAAATTCTCATTAATTCTTACATGACAGTTGTCTACATAGAGATGAAACACTTGACTAAATTGTCAGCAGCACAATTGTGTCCACACAGACAGATAGAACAAATCCAATGCTGTGATGTAGTTTAAATGTGCACATATTAACTGATTAGAGAGCTAGAAAATGGAGGGTATTTTTAGCAGCATATGATAAATATATTTCTGACTGCGTTGAATATTTTTTAACTGCTTTGTTCTAGTTACTGGGGATTATATAGTAGGAAGTAATACAGACAGATGTCACGTCCTGATGGGCCTTGTATTTCAGGGATGAAATGGGATTTTGTTGGCACCAAGACCTGATTGCTTTGCCAGTTACCCTCACCCCTGGCTCATGGGGAAAGAGTATTGAGGAGATTCTCGAGGAACCACATGAGTTTCAATATCATAAGCTTCTGCCCTGAATTGAAAGGTAATTTTTTGTTGAGGAGGGCTGAGTCACACTTATCCACAATGCCTCCTTTGGCATAGACCCCAGATAACCCAAAGTGTGTTCTCTCAAACAGATGGAGAAAATTAGAGGATAGAAAATATCAAGAGTGTTACTGAGGATGCTGCCAGCTGAACCACCATTTATGTTTTTCATAGAACAAAACTTCAAGGGGTTTAAGTAGTCAGAGTGTGGCCAGCTTTTCCTTGGAAGTATTTATGCAAGGAAGATGTTTTATATTCTGGAAGAGGGCATATGTGAAGGGCATTTCAGAATGATGTAAGGTGTATGCACAGGTCATGTGATGGAGTGGTCTGGGGTAGCAGGACATGTGACAGGCCTCGAAGTTCACCACTACAAGCATGGAGCCCATATCCACAACATCTTAAAGCGCAGAAGCTGGGCTGTGGGGTGGAGTAGTTCATGCCAAAAATCACAACTTGGTTTGGAAAATGAGAGGGAAGAGAAACTTCCCTAAAGAGAATTAGAAAAAGTAAAACTCGTGAGGTAAAGCTGTATAGATTTGAAATAATAAATCCTTACAATTTTTACTTCCACTGGTCGATGGCAGGGTTTCTTAATCTTAGCAGTCTTAACCTTTTGAGTCAGATAATTTTTAATTCTTCTTGCAGAGGAGAAGAGAGGGTACAGGCTGTTCTGTGCAAGATGGCATGCTTAGCAGCATCCATAGCCTGTACTCACTAAGTGCCAGTAGCAACCTCCAGTTTTGACAACCCAAGATGTCTCCAGACATTTTCTTCCCTGGAGGCAAAAACAGCCCTGGTTGGGAAGCACTGGTTTATGAATAGAAATAAAACTGTAGTGTTCTCCAGCCAAACAAACAACAACAAAATTAAACAGCATATTTTCAATTTATTGCCTTCCTTGGCTAGTACATAACCCACTATAATTAAAGCTTCCAATCAGAAATTCTTCCTCGGTTAAAAAAAAAAAAGCTATCAAGAGAAGCAATTTAGTAAGCTGGGTTTTAGGAATATGCTGTTAATTTTGCCTAAAATGTGGCATGCAAGGGGAGAGTTATGTAATAATTTTAAGTAAATAAGTGTTTCATTAAAAAAAAAACCCTTAAAATGGTTTGATTCAAAAATACTGAAATGTCTTATCATAGACGCATAAATCTAAATAGTTTGGTTATTTAAATATAACTTACTTTGAAATTATCAAGGAACATAGCTAATCGAACCTATCATTCTAGCCTACATCATCCTGTGCATTTCACAAAATCCTAATGAAAAACTACACGAAGCTCAAAGTATAGATAAACATATCAGTGTTGACAACGGTGAAACCACACTATCCAAAGGCTACGAGCTCTGAGGAATTCCTGTTAGCTACAGCACATGTAGGATCAATGAAGGAAGAAAATGAAGGCTCCTGGGAGACAAAATTATGCCAGGACAAAGCTGAAGAAGAGCAACACCTGTCGGAAATGTCCTAAGATAAATTTCGAAAGGTGCCAGGCTTGGAGGTGGGGCAGGCACCGCCGGAAGAGACACCTTCCCTTTGGGGCTTTCTTTGCCTGTGACAAGAACAGCACTTGATGCCCTTAGAATAGTTCCTGGAACTTCTGAATAAATATCTGCGAAATGGCTGAATCAGGGGTGGGGACTGGCGTTCAGGTGGGGGACCCCTCAATAGTATGACCACAACGGAGGCTCCACCTGGCAGGGAGCTGCTGACTCCTGATGCTACAGGAGCTCGTCTCTGTATTAGGAGGTCCTGTTCCACTTCCAGTTGCAAATATTACATATATTTGTGTGTGTGAGTGCAAATATATTAATATATATACACAACCGCCCAAGTTCCCCTTGCCCCCTGCCTAGACAGAGCTGATTTATCAAGACAGGGGAATTGCAATAGAGAAAGAGTCATTCTTGCAGAGCCAGCTGGGCGGGAGACTGGAGTTTTATTATTGCTCAAATCAGTCTCCCCGAGCGTTTGGGGATCAGAGTTTTTAAGGATAATATGGCATGGTCTCAGGAAGTGGGGAGTGCTGATTGGTCAGGTTGGAGATGGAATCACAGGGGGATCAAAGTGAGGTTTTCTTGCTGCCTTCTGTTCCTGGGTGGGATGGCAGAACTGGCTGAGCCACATTACCGGTTTGAGTGGTGTTGATGGCCGCAGCGGCCCATCTGGAGAGGCTGCTGCCAAGATGCCGGCTGCAGCAGGGGAGGCGCCGCAGGGAGCGCTTTGTGGAGCCCGCGGGAGCCCTGGCTGCTTCTGAGCTGGTGGGGAGGGAGCCCTGCAGTCCCAGGCGCAAGGGCAGCTGCCCAGCCATGGCTTCGGACCCGGGCATCCCTGTCCTCTTGGGAGGGGGTTGGGGGTGGTGGGGAGGGGGTTGGGGGTGGTGGGGGGGCAGGGGAAGCCTATATTAGACCAAATAAATATCATGATATATTTTATGTGTTTATTTTTTAACCCATACCAATCCAAGCTAGATTTTCTTACTGATTTATTTTGCTTGTTTATTAATCTTATTATGTAGAATATATTTTGGAAGTTGCCTTAACAGTTTTTAGAGGAAAACAGGATAAAAATAAATAAATATATAAAAGATGCCAGTTTTCCTTATATGTATATGTAATGGTGTAAAAAAAGCACTAAATAAAATGATCAGTATAGTGGCTAGGGAAATAATTACAGTTAGGTTTTTGGGCCAGGCGAGGTGGCTCACGCCTGTAATCCCAGCACTATGGGAGGCCGAGGCTGGTGGATCACCTGAGGTCAGGAGTTCGAGACCAGCCTGGCCAACATAGTGAAACCCCGTCTCTACTAAAAATACCAAAATTAGCTGGGTGTGGTGGCAGGTGCCTGTAATCCCAGCTACTCAGGAGGCTGAGGCAGGAGAATCGCTTGAACCTGGGAGGCAGAGGTTGCAGTGAGCAGAGATCGCACCATTGCACTCCAGCCTGGGTGACAGAATGAGACTGTGTCTCAAATAAATAAATAAATAAATAAATAAATAAATAAATGAAATAAAGTTAGGTTTTGAATGAATTGAGATTATAAAAATATATTTCAGAAAAGGATGCAGCAAATATCTTTTGAAAATGCAAGGGCAGAGGTATTTCTGGCAGAAGTAATGATATGAGACATTTACTACAATATCGTTTCTACTTATGCTCCTGTAGTTTACTAAAGGCAATTATTGTTTCATTGGAAATGTAATTAATGAACATGAACCTCAGTACCATAGATTGGGAGCCATGAGTCTGGCCCTGGGCTGACTGTGGTTGGACTCACTCAGGAACCGTCTTGGCTAGTCTCTTTTAAATAACTGCTGCCAGCTACTGCCAGAAGTTGCAGGATGGGAGGAAAGGAAGCTGACTGGCCCAGCTGATCCATAAACAGCCCTTTAATAGCACTGCAGTTGCTTGTGATGCATGCCTGGGATTCTAGGTTTGTGTCTTTCTTTTGTGAGGGGTTTCTGTCTCACCCTCAACACTGTTCTTTGCATCGTTCAGGCTACACATCCCAGTGTGTTCCCATCTCCTGCCCTCTAGTCTGCTGAAGGTTTTGCATCCTGTTCTCAGCATGGACACATATCTTCTCTTTTGTCCATCACATGGTCATTTCAATAGGATGTTGGTAGAATAGGAAGAAGATGCACATGTGTTTAACTAATCATTTTTAATTAGAAAGCCAGAGGTTGAATTGAAAAACAACTCATATTGAAACTGCATTTGCAATAATTATAACAGTGAGAAAATTATGGCAGTGGGGAAGATCTAATATAGCCAACTTCCCTCTTATATTTTACCTTCATGTTGCCTTAATTATTACCAGGCTTAGGATGGGCTAGCTTTGGGAGACATGTAGTTTACAGTTTAAATGATAATATTCCTTCTCCAAAACTTAATCACCTTTATAAAGCTAATGAGAGACAACCAGGCTAGGAGGAGAAGAGCCTGAATTCGGCAAAGGTGTAGACATAAAAGACTGCCAGCCATTATTCCAGAGGTCACGAGATATGCAACTTTTCCAATTACTCCTGCAGATAACATCACGACTGTAGAACCCAAGATTGGCCTTTTGAGATAGCCTTTCAGATATTTTGCGTGTTTGGCACCAATTATGGTGCCTTCTGAACCCACCAACTGCTCATGTGGCCCCATACAGAAGCAGAAGCCATTCAGCACAGAGCAGGATCTTTTCCCATGTTAAGATTGCACCCCCCAAGCAATCAGCAGAAAGCATCCATTGCCTAGCCACCCTCATCACTTCCCCCAAATTACCTCTGAAAGAACCCGAACCTACAAGCTTTTGATGAGTTTGATTTAATAACTCCACCTCCTGTGTGGTGTGGCTGGCTTCGCATCAATTAAATTCTTCCTTTACTGCAATGCCCTGGTCTCTGTGAATTGATTTTTTTTTGTGCAGCAGGCGGGAAGAACCCATCAGGAGGTTACAGTATGGTTGTTGAACTTTTCAATTTATGGAGTTTTAAAATATAATTACCAATATGTGTCTTCATAAAATACTTTTACACTATGACACTATACAATATTTTTATTAGATCTTATTTGTTATTTATGATTTTTCATCCTAATTTTTAAAACTATGATTTTTATTAGACTTTTATTTACAATTTTTATTATGAAAATTTTCAAACATACATGGAAGTAGAGACAAAAGTAATAAAACCCAATGTATTCCTTACACTCTACTTCAATAATTATAAATATATGGAGTAGTCTTAAAATTTCATATATATCCCTCCCACAAACACACACTCAAGCATAATTTTAGCACAAACCCCAGACATCATATTATATCATTTTAAAATATATAGCTATGTATCTTTAAGGGAAAGGACTTTTAAAATACATGATAGTAGTACCATTAACACAACTAAATAAATTAACAGTAATTCCTTAATATCATCTAATGTTTGGTGTTCAGGTTTTCATGATTGTCTCACAGATCTCTTTTTCAGTGAGAATCCAAACAAGTCCACGCACACTGCATTTGGTTGACAGAGGTTTTTGACAGAGCAGGAGCATCGCCATCATGGACAAGTACCACCATTCTAAAGTTCCCCTTGATCCACCTAAAAACCACCTAAATCCAAAGGGCATCAGCCTAATGGCTAAGGTCAGCATGACCATAAACCACAAATGACATGTCCAACCAGAAACATTCCAACCATAGGATAAACCCCTCCCTGACCAGAGACATGCCAGCCCCCAGATAACCTCCCCTCCAGCTGGAGAGATGTCAGCCCCAAGAAAACCTCCCCTCTGACCATAGACATTCCAAACCCGCCATGAGCTTCTCCCCCATACAGAAACATTCCAAGCCTGTGATAAGCTCTCTCACCAATAAATACTCTTACTCTGGAAGAGAGAGTGTTCCTAACCGAAATCGGCCAGAAGCCCCTCTCAGGTTTATTCTCCAAAATAAACCTGTCTTTGACTCTTAAGCCACTTTTCATGTTTCTTTCCTCTTTCTTTAACTTTAACAGTTTTAATTGATCACAATATCTTCTTCCCACCTGACTCCATGTATTTGCAGAAAAAACTAGGTCATTCGCCTGTAGAATTTCCCACATTTTGTGTTTGGCTTAGTGCAGCCTTATGGTATAATTTAACACATATAAACTGATAGTTAGAACAAGAGGTTGATTTAAGTTCTTTTAGTTTTATATTCTTTTGGCAAGAATACTTCAAAGGTGGTGCAGTGTGCTTCCTATTGAATCATATTCAGAGGCATGTAATGTTGGATTTTCTTTCTCTTATCAGACTTCTTAATTTTAGTTGTTCCAGTACATAAAAATTAGTATGTTATCATGGTCTGTGATTACTAATCATTTAAGAGTTTATGGGGATGTAAGTTACTTGCTCCTGCTTTGCTGTCTGCCACGAGTAAAAGCCCCCTGAAGACTCCCCAGAAGCAGATGCTGCCATGCTTCCTGTACAGCCTGTGGAACGTCATTGAAATTATAAGACTATCATTCAAATGGAAGCATTACAGTTCTTTGGAAACATTATTATTTCAAAATGAAGGAGAATGATACAGATACACTGGCTGAGGTGTTTTGAGGTGCATTGAAATGTTCCAAGCTGTTATTTACCTTAACATGTTCTTGAGGTACCATGGCATGGATTAAAAGGAAATTTGGTAAGTGGCCTCCATTTAAACGACTTACTAGGGAAGCTATGTGAAATTATTTAAAAGGGTAAGGGGATCAAATAGTACTTAGCCTTCATGCAAAAGTTGTACAGAAGTCATATGGAAATGAAAAAAGGTTTTTTTGCCCTCCCCCTTGTGTATATCTTATGGGCAGTGGATGGAAGAAAATAAAATAACAAATGAAATGCGATGGTTGTTCTGAACAAGGGTCTCAACCAAGTGCATTTATTGGCATAGGAAATAGTGACCAAGAAATGCAGCAGCTAAACTTGGAAGGAAAGAACTATTGCACAGCCAAAACATTGTACATATCTGATTTAGACAAGCAAAAGCACTTCATGTTGTCTGTAAAGGTGTTCTGTGGCAACAGTGATGACATTGGTGTGTTCCTCAGCAAGTCGTCCAAACCTTCCAAAAAGAAGCAGTCATTGAAAAATGCTGACTTATGCATTGCCTCAGGAAAAAAGGTGGCTCTGTTTAATCGACTACTATCCCAGACAGTTAGTACCAGATACTTGCACGTAGAAAGAGGTAATTTTCATGCTAGTTCACAGCAATGGGGAGCATTTTACATTATTCTTGGATGATGATGGATCAGAAGGAGAAGAATTCACAGTCTGAGATGGCTACATTCATTATGGACAAACAGTCAAACTTGTGTGCTCAGTTACTGGCATGGCACTCCCAAGATTGATAATTAGGAAAGTTGATAAGCAGACCACATTATTGGATGCAGATGATCCTGTGTCACAACTCCATAAATGTGCATTTGACCTTGAGGATACAGAAAGAAAGTACTTATGCCTTTCTCAAGAAAGAATAATTCAATTTCAGGCCACTCCATGCCCAAAAGAACCAAATAAAGAGAAGATAAATGATGGTGCTTCCTGGGCAATCATTAGCACACATAAGGCGAAGCATACATTTTACGAGAGAGTGGGCCCTGTCCTTGCCCTGGTCATGCCTCCGCCTGTCGTAGAGAGCCTTAAGTTGAATGGCGGTGGGGACGAACCAATGCTTGAACTTACAGGACAGAATTTCACTCCAAATTTACAAGTGTGGTTTGGGGATGTAGAAGCTGAAGCTATGTACAGGTGTGGAGAGAGTATGCTCGTGTTGTCCCAGACGTTTCTGCATTCTGAGAAGGTTGGAGATAGGTCCAGCAACCAATACAGGTTTCAGTAACTTTGGTCCGAAATGATGGAATCATATATTCCACCAGCCTTACCTTTACCTACACACCAGAAGCAGGGCCGCGGCCACATTGCAGTGTAGCAGGTGCCATCCTTCAAGCCAGTTCAAGCCACGTGCCCCCTAATGAATTAAACACAAACAGCGACAGAAGTTACACAAACGCCAGCACAAATTCAACCAGTGTCACATCATCTACACCAACAGTGGTATCCTAACTACCGTCTTTTTGCTAAGACTTAAACGGACTTGAGTGCAGCAAAAAGTTGACAAAAAAGGAGAAAAAAATGAACAGTCTTTTGTGGTTTATTGGGAAAACTTTTCACACCAGGTGATACTATTCTAAAACCCCACTATCTATCTGCAAGTGCTGATTTGAAATGCAGAAGCCACAGTAAAACAAAAAAACATCAAAATGTAAAAACTTGGAAATTAATTTTTTCAGCTGTTTTGTTGGTTGGTTGGTTGGTTGGTTGGTTGGTTGGTTTTTGTTTGGTTTTGTTTAAGTGGGCAAGAAGTAAATAATGTGGCTGGAATACAAGTTGAACAAACTAGAAGACATAAATCTAACATAGTTTTTATGGACCAAGTAACTTGTATATTGTATAAGCTTTAGTAAAAGGTACATTTTCACATATTCACCATACCCTTTTTTATATCATGGTATTATAGTACATCTTGTCACCAAAGAGGTTGTTCTCTTCCCCACTCACCTTTGAGCTTTTGCTTTAAAATACATTCAGGTTCCAAGCCTGGCCATGCTTGCTTAATCTAATTATCATGTTCTTCCAAGTTTTTTTTTGGTCCGAGGCTAGAGCTTTTTTTTTTTTTTCCAGCTGAAGTCTTACGACTTTTCGTGAGTCAAAATTGTTTGGATTTCAGCAAGTCAAATCTTGTGAAGGCCTACATTTTTTTTTAAGATTATGTGAAGTCTGTGCAAAAGCTTTAAAAAGCTGCCTCTGCCTTGCCTGCAACACATGCAATGTATGTTAACTTAGTCTCTCTTCGCAGACACTGTTGGTAGTTATTTCTGCATTTTCCTTTTTTTAAAAAAAAGTATTTCTAGTGGTTATCCAAGAGGTTCTAACATTCACATGCAATTTGGTGTGGCCATTTTGCCATAAATGAGTTAATAGCGCAGAACATGTTGATATTTGAAGTGTTCTCTCTCCTTTTCCCATAACGTAAATACATTATGTGTGTTCCAGGATTTGTTCAGGTTTTTCCCCGCTCCTGATCTTGTACATAACTTGTATTACGTATAAGTTAAACATTTCATTTTGAACTTGGAATGTTCCCAGTGATTTCATCCAGCAGAGTATTTTCTGCCTTGTTGGCAAGTGACAAAAAATATCATGAGAAGCATCTGCTACCAGTTGGGAGATGGTGCCCTTATGGTAGAATGAGGAAGATCTCAGCAAAAGCATGTTTTATTAACTTTACTTTTTGGGGGTGTTGGAGGGGGTAGCCTAGGCCAGAACATCATTGTAATCTTAAAACATAAGATGCTTTTATTAGATGATCAACTAAAATAGCTGGAAGACAGTACTTTAGAAACAGATAGTTGTAAGATTATGAAATGCAAATGTAACTTGTGTTTTTATTTTTCTTTTCCCTGCCTTTTTTGTTTGTTTTCTCTTCTCCAGTACTGAGCATCTCCACAAATGTCTCCTAACTCAGAAAATGTTTCTTTTCCTTTCAGCTGAGATTTGGTTGCATTCAGGGTTGTACATTGGCCTTGCATGCGAAACTCGGCAGTTGTACCTTGCTTTCATTCCTGAACTTCGCTTAGCTTTTGTTCGGATTCTTCGAAATTGCAGCAGACTCTTTGGGCTACATTTAGTACAAGAACCACGTGCATAATATGATACGGCACAGTCTAGTAATACAATCATCCTTCTTAGAGTAAAAACTACCTCTAGATTGTGGTAAGCTTTTACTGTCCCATAAAACAGGAGCCACGGTAATTTATGAATGCAAAACTGTAACTTCCTGCAGTGTTTCCATACAGAACATTGTCTTTCTGGTTTCCTGGGCTATTTTGAAAAAATTTTCATTAATAGACTTTTCAGAAATTATTATTAGTAGCATTTTTTTCCAGCTTTGCTGTTTTCATCACTCATTCTTTGCTCAGACTCCAGCATTCAGTACCGTGTTGGTCCAGATGTAGGTTTATATGCTCATTTTTAGCTTATTTCTTGTACCTTGCAGCACACTCTACGCACTCAGCCCTTAAGGGGTTTACTTTACAAACTGTGTGCCTGTAAGATGTATTAGCAATAAGATAGAAAATTGAGCAAGTTTATACCATAATTTTGTAGAAAAAAAGAATCTGCTCAATTCCATATTTCATCCATGAAAAACTTGCAATACGAGCAGTTTCAAGCAATAAGAAGAAAAAAAAAAAGAGTTTATAGGTCGGCCAGGTCTGATGGCTCACGCTCGTAATCCCAGCACTTTGGGAGGCCGAGGCCAGCGGATCACTTGAGGTCAGTTCGAGACCAGCCTGGCTGACATGGTGGAACCCCTGTCTCTACTAAAAACAAAAACAAAAACAGAAACAAAAATTAGCCAGGTGTGGTGGTGTGTGCCTGTAGTCCTAGCTACTCGAGAGCCTGAGGCATGAGAATTGCTTGAACCTGGGAGGTGGAGGTTGCAGTAAGCCGAACTTGTGCCACTGTACTCCAGCCTGGGTGACAGAGTGACACTCGGTCTCAAAAAAAAAAAAAAAATTTTATGGGTCATTTGTGGTTTATTTATTTCTGCAAAATGTCCATTCCCATCTTTAGCCCACTTTTAATTGGGTGATTTTTTTTAGTAAGAAAAACTTTATATATTAAACATTGATTTTTAAATTATTTACTATATCCAATCAACAGCTTTCTTTAAGAACTCTCTAATGCAAAATAGAAGAGTGGTAGAAGCTGAGTACAAAAAGGAAAAAATTCTAATTAATTAAATGTATCTTTGATTAACAGAAAAATAATATAAGCTACAATAATATTGTTATTTCAGAATTCCCCAGTTACAAAGTAACAGTAAGAAGATGGTGATCTACAAAACTTTACTTGTGACATAATTCTAGTGTAGTTTATTTAAGAAATATAAAAGAAAATGATTGGATTACAAAAAAGATTAATATAATGATACATCAGTATTATGAGTATCTTTCTTAAATAAATAATATTTTCTGAAGACATGGATAATAAAAAAGGTAGCACAATAAAATTATACAGGGACAACTTATTAAAATAAATAAACATGCTCAGTTCATTGTAATGAAATAAAATTTGTTTTCTGAAAACAAATGGAAAGAAAATAATAACCATGTTAGCCCAGAGAAAGGAATACACTTGAATTATAGATGAACAAGGGCATATACTGTGTATGACTATCATGTAACCATGAAGAATAGGTCAAGATAAGGGAAAAGCAGCAGAAACATCAGTTCTCAGGCAGTGGTGCCTGAGATTATTACAGTGTGCCCAATTAGTTTATGTCACTTTTAAAAAGTCATTTAAATAAATGTATTTGTGGAAGAAAAAATATCTGAACATCAGGTATGGTCTGATCCACAATGATCCAACGATCTGTCATAACTCATTCTAGGAGTATTCTTATACAGTTTGCAAGAGAAATTACATGTGGAGCTACAGAGGAACATTTATCAAAATTCATAAAGCTATTTAACCTGAATGTTACATAGTACATAGTGACCATCATACAATAGTAAAAATACAATATCTGATACTATTTTTACAAGCTATGACGTAAACAATTTAGGCTCTTTTTAAAAAAATAAAAGAAATTTGATTACAACTTTATTTCAAGCATTTTCAGTTAGACATAGGTTTATATATTTTCACTCAAAATGGCAAAGGACCTTCTGTAGGTAAAATATATTCTGTGTTTAAATGCTTGCATTCTGAAGTATGATTTGCCATGTACAAGTTCAGGTAGGACAATGAAGCTGCTGTAGCAAAATCCTGGCTGATGATGAAGACTCGGACACTTTTCATCTTTCATGCAGCCATTCAATATTTTGTGTATTTACATGAAGGAGAAAAGAGGGGAGGATACAAAGAGAGCCAGTATTCTTTTTGGATGAAGCAGCCTAATTCCAGAGAATGAGCTTTCCATTTTGAACTCAAAGACTGTGGTCCCCAAATTGAATTCTTACCAGTCCAAGGAGCTGCCTTTGGCCTGTGAGGCAACACTTGATGATGAAGTGAGCTAGGAAAGTGTTAACTGAACTACAGAGATGGCTGCGTGCAAAACAAGTTTCCAAACATGCTCAGGCCCACGCAGAGGTGAGGTGCAGCCAGAACTATTAGTTAAAAATAAATGCCCTCACGGATGCAGACATAGAGCTTGTAGGAAGAGTCACCGTTCTGGGGGCCTGATTGTAGTTTCCAATACCTGCCTTCACCACTCTCTGACTCTTCTATTTTTCTGCTTTGTTTAATTTGAGTCCAAGGATTTCATTAGCAACTTTCTGAAAATACAGGAAGACAGTCTCCTGTTTTGGCTGAGATAAAGTGGCTACTAAAACCATTTTCCTGGCAAAACCATAAGTGTTTTTCAGGTTTTACTGTTTCCATGTGCTCCAAATAAATTTTATTGCTCACCAAGGCAACCAGTAGCAAAGCTTCTGACTCTTCGCTCCCTTTCTTCGGTACAATGTACACATCTTTTTTTTTTTTTTTTTTGAGATGGAGTCTCGCTGTCGCCCAGGCTGGAGTGCAGTGGCGCGATCTCGGCCCACTGCAAGCTCCGCCTCCCGGGGTTCACACCATTCTCCTGTCTCAGCCTCCCGAGTAGCTGGGACTACAGGCCCCGGCCACCACGCCCGGCTAATTTTTTTTTTTGTATTTTTAGTAGAGACAGGGTTTCACCGTGTTCGCCAGAATGGTCTCGATCTCCTGACCTCGTGATCCGCCCGCCTCGGCCTACCAAAGTGCTGGGATGACAGACATGAGCCACCGCGCCTGGCCGTACCAATCTTTTAAATTCTCCAAGCTTTGCTAATTTGTAACAAGAGGATTCTCTGTGGTCCATAGATAAATGCATCCACCTTCTTGCCGCGTATTGTACGCACCCCCTACATCCCATACTTGAAGAGTAACATTCAAGTTTCCTGGCAATGTTATCCCGCTCAAAAAATATGTATATATATTCATCACTATAGTTTAGTTTTATTGGTTCCCAAAAGTTTCTTGAGCAAAACTCATAGGTCTTCCAGGAGGTGCTGCTTCAAGCATGACAAATTTCAGTTGCCATTCTTGGTTTCTTTCTTGGGGTCTGATGGAGTTCAGTGTGGTGCTCAGGCTAGCTCCCCAGGCAGAGGGAGAAGGAAAGGAGAGCGCCTCCGTAGGTGGGGAGAGAAGGAAGGGAGCAGGACCCTGCCCTGGGATCTGGGTGCCCTGGAGAGATCAGGGGAAACTAGTTGATGATACTTTTGTTAAATGAACCAGTACTTTCACATGCTTTTAAGTAAAAATGAAATTTAACTGGAAGGACCCAAATCAAACATGGTATCTCTTGAGTTATCTCTCACTATGGATGACAAAGGCTGTTGTCAAAGTTGATTTCACTCAATTAACTTGATGGATATTAAACAACCTGTATAAGCCCAGAAAATGAGGGTTCTGGGAGATCTGTTATTACAGAAATGCAGAGGTGTCCTAACTCGTGTTATGTGAAGGTGGCCATGATGCAGATAAGGACATGGCTATGAATGTGCAGGCTATAGTTTGCCCTGACCTGGGTCCATGACCGTGCCTTGAGGGTGGAAGAAACACCAGAGCGCCCTCAGATAAGATGGCTGGAGGGCATGACAAAAACCATGAAAGTAAGACCAGACCGTGCATGCAAGATGAATGCTGGCATCTGGCTGAATAGAGGAATTTGAACAAACAAAATCCTTTTTCTGCAAGCTCTTCACATAATTCTACTCCACCTGGAGCTTCATGGCTGAAATGAGTGGTTATCTATATTCAGGTCTAGTCAGACGTGCTGATTAATTATAGTTGATCAGCATACATATATCATGCTTTCTTACATATTTAATCTATCCCATGTATACATAAGATTTTGAAGGATAAATTATTTATTAGCATTAAAGTGTAAAATTTGCTTGATAACTATAAAATGCCTTAAATACACTAGTATGAGTTTCGAAATTATACCAAAATGACCAATGTGAAGGGTAGTGTTACTACACTGGGTATGTCCTGCCACTACGTCCTTTAGGAGATTTCTATAGCATCACAATGAAGTCCACCTGTGTGTGAGAGAGAGGCTTGCGCTCGCCTTCCTTACCAGCAATGCAAAAGTGCTCAGGGGACCCAGCTTGGTCTGAGTACGAAAACAAACCTAAGAGGCTTCAAAGCCAGCTCTCCTGTAGTATGTGCTCACATCCCTGAAAGAAAAGCAAGAAAATTCCAAACTCCAGATTTTCTAATATAAGCTCTAGTGAAATACTTACCTTTCTTGAGTCAAAGCAGAAGCAACTGCTAACTAGAAATGTCAGCCTGCTGCCTCAGAGAATTTCTATGGCTGTTCTGGGGTGAAGAGGGTGGAGTCTTTGGCTTTCTTACCACAGGTGATCAGGTAAGAAGGAACCACAGCATCCTCTATGAAGAAATGCTGTCCGAGGTGATACCTGGAATCCAAAGCTTTTCTAAAGGAGACCTGGGAGGGGACTCCACACCCATCAACCAATAGCAGCCCAGCCCAAAGGCTGCAAATTTGCTTCTTTCTGACACCCAGTGGAGAAACAATCACCAGCTCTTTTCCAGCGAGTCCAGCACTGTCTGCAATTGGATTTGCTTTAGTTGCAAGGATTGTAAGCTAGTTGGTGTGTGTGTGTGTGTGTGTGTGTATGTGTGTGTGTAGGTGAAGTTTGAGACACCTGGTGTTAGTGTTTCTATCCAGTTGTACTAAAATTGGCATGAAATTTCTTATCTAGAATTTCAAGCCTCCAGCTGTGAGCCTTATTCAGCTATCATTGATTTCATCACCAAAAAAGATAAAACCAGGAAATAGAATGCGTGTGAGAGAGTCCAAATGATTGTTTCTTTTACCCTTAACTAACTCCCTTTCCTTAGCCCCTCTCCTGCACCTACTGGTTTTCTAAGGTTTATTCCCGCAGTCTTTAGTAAACTAATTTTAAATGTGCGAATGGGGTGACCAGGTTAGAGACTCCCAGGGAAGAACCATGCTATGTATCCCACTAATAAGTTCTCCTTATGGAGCTAAAGTCTTTCACTGGAGCTGTTTCCAGTGTAACTTGATGTAGCATTTGGGATAGTCTCATCGTGGAGCACCACCACTATCCCAGTTGGCCGATACCTGTTTCTTCTAAGAGGAGAATCAGGTAAGTTTTCCCAAAGCGCCTTAGGGAAATCGTGCCATTCAGAGAGCTGCGTTGTGCTCATGCATCTGGAAGGTCTTGCTGTTCATGCACTGACTCTTCTAACTCCATATCCTCCATTCCTGGGTGTTTGCCAGCAGGATGGAATGATGGCTCACTGAAAACTGAAGAAGACATGGAAGACAAAAAGGGAGATGAGAAAGTCCTGCCCATTAATGATAGGAAGATGGGCACAATGCGGTGACCTCACAGGTCTCCCTGTCTCAGCTCAGCTCTGATGAAGAGGCTCATGTCATACAGTCTCTTCAGATGATCACAGAGAAAAACGTGGTGACAGAGAGGCAGATGTTTTACTGTTTCCACTTCTGGAACTTGTTGCAGGGTATGAAGAGGGTCAGCACCAGAGAAGATACAGAATATCATGTCTGCAATGGATGAAGCCATCAAAGGATGGCTTCACTTCACCACCAGGCAGCACTGACCAACTTATGGCAATAAATCCCGCAGACCAGAATTGCACCCATCAAATGCCTCACTCACCATATGTCAGCCCAGAAGACTCTTGCAGTGGTGAGCCAGTCTCTTTATCCACCAAGCCTGACCCAGCAGGCAGGAGAGGCCCAGTACCAAGATGATCATCCACAATAACCTGCACACTGCATTGAGGATGGAGGCCAGCCCTAACAGCCCGCAGCCCTCAGGAGGGAGAGGCAGTAAAGGGCTCCTTCTCTCTTTGTCCTGATGAATGGGCATTGCACTAGAAAGATGAACATTAGGAGCAGATTATCAGAGCCTCGGTCCAGCCACCATCTCCTCTATGATGACCCAGATGGGCAAACCTTCTGAAGGCAAAGGTCCAACCAACATCCTGGGTGGCTGGCATTTTCTGAATTTCTATAGCTCATCACAAAGTGCAGCAGGAATGGGAGTATTTGGTGCACTTTGATTTTGCAGTTGCCTCTGATGGCCAAGAGTCTTAGGGCCAAAGATTTCTCCTGACCCAAGGTCCAGGTCATATTTCTGCAGCACAGCTGTGACCCTCATCCCAACTACAGCCACTGGCACAATCTCCAGTAATATTTGCAAATGATTATACTCACATCAGGTTATAAAAGCTTGTTGTTTTTAATTTGAGTTATATTTTTAAAATACAAAAATGTCTTGTTTTTTATGTTTGTGTTCATGTGGTACATTTTCCAGGATAAGATGGGCTGTGCGGTAATGGCAAATAAACCCTCCAAATCTCAGTGGCTGGCCTCCTCTAAGTTTATTTCTTGCTCACGGGGTCTGCCGTGAGACCAGAGTCTCTCCAGAGCAACTCCCCTTCCACCCCTGCCCAGGAAATAGAACATGTGCGTAACTGAGAGACAAATCATGTAGAAAAACAAGGTGATTTTCCTAGAGAAGGACTGAAGTGCTTTGCTAGTATTAGTCACTATGATAAAAAGTAGAGAAGAACTATTCTATTTCTTTAACCATCTAAGAGACAGACCATTCACTTGGAGTGAAATATTTAAACTATTTCTTCATCTCTTGAATTAAAAGACCTTAATAATATGAATTCATAACTCGAATATAGATAATAAACCCAGCACAGTTTGGCACAACAATTTGTATTTCCTCTTGAAATACCAAGGCTATTTTCTCATGTAAATTATATACGTATCTATATACATATTTTCAAGGACTGAAATTAATTTTAACATCTTTAAAACACCAAATAGTATCACATTACCTGTAAAATGGCTGGTTACCTCAAAGGCAGCATTTTAACATCCTTAGCTGCTTTAAAAGATTATCAGCAGTCTATAGCAAATATTACATGAGACATTTAAAGAATGGTGCTTCATTTCATCATTTAAAAATCTTAGTCAAGAAGAGACAAGAACAATTTCTTAGAATCAAAGCTCCTTCATTGGGAAATCATTCATCTTGGAAAAAGCAGAAATATTTTGGCTAATAAAAAACATTTTATTACTAAATTAACATTGAAGAAGTTGTAAAAATCTCATTTTGCTTTAATTTGTTAAAGTCAAAGCCTTATATGCACCTTTGATTTTTATAAAATTTTAACTCTTTGAAAATAAAATATTAAGCATCAAAAGTAAATAGAAAAAATTAAAAATAAAATGAAAACCAATGAAATGGAACACAGACCAATAATAAAATCTGTGCTGCCAAAAGCTGATGCTTTGAAAAGATTATTAAAAACTGCAAAACACCTAGCAAAAGGAAAACATCACCAATATCAAGAATATAAAATGGGACATTATTATAGACCCTAGAGATACTACAAGGATTATAATAATATGTATGCTGAACAACTTGAAGGCAAGAAATTTGACAATTTAAATGAAAAGCATGCATTTCAATTTCTTATGGTATAGTTACTTGCAACTCTGGAGAGCCCACATAATTCATATAGTAGCCATCTTCTAGCTTTGTGGGTTCTCTGTAAAAAAGAAACTGGAAGAGTCACAGTAAACGAACGACATATACTTTCCACCCTTACATGAGTAGAGAATAATCTGCTAGAGCAAATGGGCTGGGTGTGGGGGCTCACACCTGTATTCCCAGCACTTTGGGAGTCCGAGGTGGGTGGATCACCTGAGGTCAGGAGTTCGAGATCAGCCTGTTCAATATGGTGAACCCCCATCTCTACGAAAAATACAAAAATTAGCCTGGCGTGGTGGCAGGCACCTGTAATCCCAGCTACTCGGGAGGCTGAGGCAGGAGAATTGCTTGAACCCAGGAGGCAGAAGTTGCAGTGAGCCGAGATGGACCCATTGCAATCCAGCCTGGAAAACAAGAGGGAAACTCTGTTTCAAAAGAAAGAAAAGAAAAGAGAAAAGAAAACAAAAAGAATCTCCAAATGCTCAAATAAACTCTATATAATTTAAATGTGTTTTAATTTTCTCTTACTGTTAGGAAATTGATATTTTAAGAGAAAACAACTAGTCAGTGATTGTTTCCAGGAGAACTCCATTTTGTGGAAGCTCCTCTGAGACCTAAACCCTTTAGGGGAGCTCCTGGGAGAGCCTGAGCTTCTCCTGATTCAGGTCCCCTTTGTGTGTTCACTAAGAGTCTGCTCTTTGCCGAGTTTTGTAACAAGGTTGTTGAAAATGGAAGAGTATTTTCAGCCGTGAGCTTACTTTGCAACATTCAGCTTTCTTTAGAGTTTCAGGAAGTTCGTAATTGTCTTATAATGAACAAGAACTTTCCTATAAGAAGAACTACAAAGCATGCCATTCAGAAAATAGGTAATAGACCTTAATCCCAGGAATACTAAATATTTTAGGAAGTCTCTAGGTTCAGAAAAACCCAGGGGCCCTGTGGACTGAATGCCAACCTCCCCTCCCTCCCCCCTGCCCCCCCGACCCCCAACCCCTCTAACCTCCACAGTGAGCTCCCTGCTTTCAGGCTCAACCTTCTAAAGTTCTCTTTCCTGGCTGGATGAGTCTCCCATGAAGCCCCTTCCATCTCTCCACTGCTCAGAGCTCTCCAGAACTCACATTGTGATTTAAATCCAGGGTTTACTTACTAGTCTTTACTTACTAGTCAAAGCCCCACATGCTTGCCCTGAAATCCCTCTAGTTATTTAGTGTTAGAAACTCACCACTAGGACCATTATTTTGCTGTTAGATCTATTTTTGGGGGAAATGCCTAATGTCAGGATTTTTTTTTTTTTGAAAGAGTCTCGCTCAGTCACCAGGCTGGAGTGCAGTGGCGCGATCTCGGCTCACTGCAACCTTCACCTCCCGGGTTCAAGTGATTCTCCTGCCTCAGCCTCCCGAGTAGCTAGGACTACAGGCACGTGCCACTATGCCCAACTAATTATTGTATTTTTAGTAGAGACGGGGTTTCACCATGTTGGCCAGGATGGTCTCGATTTCTTGACCTCGTGATCCGCCCACTTCAGCCTCCCAAAGTGCTGGGATTATAGGCGTGAGCCACTGTGCCAGAACAATGTCAGGATTTTTTGGCTTATCTTTACTGACCTGGTCTAATCCCCACAGATGAATATTTATTGATTTATTTTTTTCTCTTTTTGGAGGAAGGAAGCCCTGTTGTCAGCATCCTAAAAGCTAGAAATGAGAAAAGCTGGGAATCTCAATTTTCAGTGTGTGCTTTGTTTTCAATATTGTACCCTTTCCTCAATTGGTCTCAGTGGTCTCCAGTCCAGAGACTCTCTGTTTTATCCTCTACGGAAAATGAACATTTTGTCCTTTATACAGAAATGGACATGTGGGGCCGTCTTCAACCACTCCTAAAACACTAAAACAGACATTCAATAAATCCTGTTTCCAGCCCCACTTAATCCTCCAAGTTACATAACTGCAGATTGCAGCGCTCACATAGGGAACCCTGTGAGCAGCCTCCTTTGAAGCTGGTCATCCCTCCAGCCTTATTCCCCCACACTCTCAACGGTATTGTAACTAAGGACCTCAGTTTTTAAAATATACTTCAGTCATCCACTCTCTTTATCTTCCTTCCTGCCGCTCTCACACCTTGATTAAAACCATTTTTTCCTTCCACCCATCCATGTCTCTTGACTCTGGCTTTTAGGTGGCAAGCTGCTGGACTTAGGACCAGATACAGTATCGTATGTCATGAGCCTTTGGGGAGCTCTTCAGTTTACAACTTGGTGGCTCAAAGATTTCCTTTCTACTGCTTTAGACAGCTTTTTGGGGGGATGTGTTTTCCGAAATCAGCTGCTCTTTCCGTATAGAACCATACATTGAGATTACATGAGTGGCTGTGATGTCTAATGTAGCAGAACATTTGATTCTCTTTGTCTATATTGTTTATAGAAAAACATCTCTTCTCATTGATATGTTTCTTTCCCCTTCCATCTCTGTTACTGTACTAACCATTACCAGATCTTTAACAATAAATTTAGGATTTTAAAATATATTTGTGGCAGGAATTACTGTCTGCCTCTAGAGGTAACATTTGAGTGAACTGTCTTATTGTCATTGGCAACTTCCTTCAGATCATGCCACTGCATTACAGACTGGTCGACAAGAGTAAGACTGTCTCAAGAAAAAAATTAAAAAGATTAAAAAAAAAAAAGAAACCTTTCTGAGGTAATAATTGGAGACACTGGCAAAGACATGTGACAGAGTTTTCACTTTCTTTTATTACAAGGTCAAAGTATAGAAATACCTAAATATTGAACCATGGAGAGATGATTGAATTGTACAATATTCCTATGTATGGCTGATTGATTCAGTTAGAACTTTACTCACATATTGAACTTCAAAATTTTCACTCCCCCGACCAATGCTTTTTAGCCTTCTATTTTACTTTGCTTCTTAACACTCATCACTGTCTAATATACTATATTTTTCTTGTTTATGGTCTGCCTTTCCCAGAATAGAATCTTCATGAAGGCAGAGATTTTTGTTTTTATTTCGTTCATTCATCTAGCTCCAGTAATTAGAAAACTATACTGCACATGGTAACAACTCGCTAAATATATGTTGAATGAGTCATCAATGCTTTTCTCTTAACTTAATGACATGGGAAAATGTCCATAAAGTATACAATAAAATATGCAGACTCAGAACATAAAAAATATACACACACTCTCACACACACACACACACGACAAAATCTTGACTTCAGGGTGTTCTGCTGAACTTCAGTTGTTCTTGACTTCCACATGTGGAGGTGGAGCATCTTTGTTAAGTTTATAAGTAATATGTTTTTTTTTGTTTATGAAATGCCAGGTTATATGTTTCCTTTGTCCAGTTTTGTATTCGTTTCTCTTCTGATTTGTATAAATTCTTCATATTCCATAAACACTACTCCTTTTTCATAGGTGTTGCAAATCATCTTCTTTCCACTAATGGCTTCTATTCCCTTTTTATAAAGTCTTTTGATAAACTAAAATGTTAATATTATTGTTGTAAAATGAACCAATGTTTTACTTCATAGTTTTGTGTTTTGGGTATGAAATCCTTGTCCACTGGAAGGTATAAACTACTTCTTCATATTTTCTGAATTTTAAAGTTTTTTATTTTTTATTTTAACTCATTAGAAATTACGTTTGTTTTTTTGTGTCCAGTGACAGGTAGGGGTCCAATTTTATATTTTTTCTCATCTGTAACTAATGTCCCAGTACCATTAATATTTAGAGTTGCCCATTCTTTCCCAATGGACCTGAAGCAGAAGATCTCATGCACTGGGTTCCCTTATAATTCGGCTATTTCTACATTTTGAGCTGTTTGTCTTTCTTATATAACTCTGTAGTCATGTAAGTAGTCTTATGTATGGAGTCTCCCTTCTGATGGAGTTACCTACCCCACTGATTTTTTTTTAGGCTTTCTCTTTACTAATAAATGTATTTACAAATACAAACCACCTTCTAAAGAATGCTTTAGTTGCACCAAACATATACAAGCTTTGATATGTAGTGTTTTTATTGCCATTCTGTTCTAAACATAACTTCATTTTCTTATTTCAAATGTATTTTTAAATTTCGCAAAGTATAGTATCTTGCGATCTTCTGGTTAACAAAATCTATGTTGTCAAATTGTGGTCTAAGAATATGATCATATTAATTATTATTATTACTATTTTTTTTTGAGATGGAGTCTCACTCTATTGCCAGGCTGGAGTGCAATGGTGCCATCTCAGCTCACTGCAACCTCTGCCTCCTGGGTTCAAGCAATTCTCCTGCCTCAGCCTCCCGAGTAGCTGGGATTACAGGCACGTGTCACCACACCCAGCTAATTTTTGTATTTTTAGTAGAGACAGGGTTTCACCATGTTGGCCAGGATGGTCTCGATTTCCTGACCTCGTGTTCTGACCACCTAGCCCTCCCAAAGTTCTGGGATTACAGGCGTGAGCCACTGCACCTGGCCCGATGATTATTATTTATTGATACTTGCTGTGGCCTAGTACACTGCAATTTTTATAAGTGTTTCATATCAACTTGAAAGGAAAGCATTTTTTGTCATTTTTGAGTATTATGGTCTGTTACTACCCTTTTCATAAAATTTTCATAAATAGTGTTTTCAAATATCCTTATTTTGAGATTTTGTTTTTGGTTTATTGCTCAACCAGTATCTGAGGGAAGTATTATTTAATTGTGGCAAAATACAACATAAAATGACAATTTTAACCATTTTTAAATACAATTCAGTAGTGTTAAGTGTATTCGCATTCAGAACACAACCAGTCTCCACAACTTTTTCATCTTGTGAAACAGAAACTACATCCATTAAATAACTTGTCCCCTCCCCACAGTGAGAGAGGTATTTTAAACTGTCTCTCTGGAATATCTGTTCACTTATCATGATTTTGTCAACTTTTACATCATATGTATTGAGGCTTTTTATATGCATAAAGGTGAACTTTATTATTACTTCTTACTTTATAATAATGTATTATTTTAAGCATTTTAAGTACTTACAAAGCTGATTATGTATATTTAGTCTCTAAATACCTGCAAGGAATAAGTATAGTGCTTTATTTCTAAGGAGAAATTTCTGTTTTCACCTAGAGAATAGCAAAGTTCCCTATCCTTTCTCTCTTTAAAAAAATCAGTCTACTGTTTGAATGTGCCCTATTTTCTATGTGCTGGCTGGGTGCAGGCATCTCTATTCCCATTCATTATATCACAAAGGTCAAAGGCTTTATCTCTGATATCTGCAATGCTATCAACACCCCAAACTCTAAATACAGAGAATGGAAAGGAGAATTGTTATGTATTATCTAGTGTCTCTAGGTGTTTCTAATTACAAAAGTTGGGTGTTGTTGTTAATTATCTTAGCCAGCCAACTGGATGAATTGGGATGTCTCCATGACATAATATTAATCTGAAAAAATACAGTTTGTCGATAGCATTTACTCAGTGATTCCAGAAATGTATACTGTGAGCCCACCATGCACATGCTTATGGAAGTCCATAAATCATTCTGTCCACTTGAAGCATCATGGTTCATACATTTGGGAAGAGGGCTCTATTTCTAAAGCAGGTTACCACAACCTGCAGGCAGGACGCAGAAACTCTGAACCTCTGAACTGAGCAGAAAATAAGTGTTTCCAGGGAGGGAGGAATAAGAAAGGCTAACGTGTATGTAACATGTGTCCCATGTTCACTTTGGGGTGGAGACATAGCATTTAAATGTATTTCAGTTAGGCCTTGTACATCAAAAGGTGAAGTGGAGGATATGAAGGCGCTTAGTACACAGCCTTTGTAGACCAGCCAGAGCCATGCTGTGGTGGGTGGTCTCTTATTGGGAAGGAATGCTGGTCAGTTTCTGTGTTAAAGCTGCAAGAGGGAGGACAAGTGTCAGGCAGTTGGTTGAAATCACTGGGCAAGACTTTTGAAAGGGCTGGTTTCTGCCTTCACCCTTAGGGAAGAAAGCCTAATGGTGGTTAGCCATTCTCTAGAGAAACCTTAAAAACCTCTGGTTCCTTTGACCAAGAGGAAGTCTGTTCAGTCAAGTGGGGGGCTTAGGATTCTCTTTATTTCTCAATATATAAGTCCTGCACTCATGGCCTAGCATGATCTAGCAAGGATTCAGTGTGATTCCACTAATGACAATTTATTTAGTCCTAAGTCCATGTGTATGGACATGTAAATACATGGAAGACTGCTCAGCAAAATATTGGTTCTGTTTATCTTTGATATCTTGGTGGTAGTTTCTTGGTGGTAGGTAGTTTCTTCTTCATGTCTTTCCAAATTATTTTTATTTTGAGGGTTGTATATAAAGAGAATATTATAAGCAAACCAAAAAATGCAAATAGTATATATATAAAATGAAAAATAATTCAAAATATTTAATTGCTCATGATGTCATAAAATGGTAGACTCTCAGTGAGTGCATATATTTCCTTAACATGAAGTTATTAACATATGGTCAGCATTTTCATTTCAACTTAATGTAGTTTATAGTTCTCACTATCTAAATTGACATTTACTTTAAAATATAGAAAAAGACTTCTCAGATGATAATAATGGTAAGGTTAATTATACATAATGGTCCCATTCTTTTTTTCTGTGAACCAATATGTGAAATCAATGACTATCTTCTCTATGAAAGTTTTAGGTGGCTTAGACAATGTTCATGCTTTATTAGAGTCTCATCTCGAATGGGCAAGAGCCTGCATTGCTTAGGTTAGTACTGGACGTAGTGAAGTGATCCATGCCACATAGATGCATAAATCATTTTGAACAGCTGGGCAGTTTCAGGAGGCCAATTAATCAAGTGGAAACCAGGTGTAGAGGCCAATGAAAAGCTTCCCCTTTGCCCTCTGAAGGTTTGCTGAAAAATCAACTCAAAAAAGGTAAATTAACAGGAGAAATGGCATGCAAGTTTATTAGTGTGCACAAAGAGAATCACAGAGTGATTGTCAATACCTTAGTGGGGTTCAGAAGCCTGTATACCATGTTGCAGAAGGGGAATCTCAGAGAAAGCCTGGCTGTTTATTTCACCTATATAGATTTTCTGCACAGATGCAAATCTACTCCACGAAAGTCAGCTTTTCTGCACTATTCCTGTCTGCTGGCCTTCTGAATAGCCACCTCAAGATACATCAAAGAAATATGTTTTGGGGTGAAATTTTTTGGTTTCCTTTAGCAAAGGAAAGGTTTGTATACCTTTACTCCTTTTGTATATCAGGCACCCAGCCACTCGCTATTGCTTACCTGCACCCCATCCTCATTCCAGAGAGTTATTTCCTGCTTATATATGTTTCCTTGAACTGCCATAACAAAGTACCATAGACTAGGTGGCCTCAACCACAGAAATTTATTTTCTCATGGTTCAGCAGGCTGGGAAGTCCAAAGTTATGTTGTTTTGGCCAGTTGGTTTCTGGTGAGGGATCTCTTCCTGTCTTGTAGATGGTCACCTTCTAGCTGTGTTCTCACATGGCCTTCTTTAACTGTATGTATAAGGAGAGAGAAAGAGAGAGAGAGGGAGAGAGAACTTCAACAATCTGACCCCTGCTTTGAGCCTCATACTTTGCATATGACTCCCAAATCCATATGCACATTAATAAATGTGTATGCCTTTAAAAAAATCTGCCTATAATCAGTTTGTTTTATAGGCTTCATAAAAAGCCACCAATCCTATCAGATTAGGGCCCCAACCTAATCTGATGGGGTGTAACTTTAATTACCTAATGTCACTTTAATTACTTCCAAATGTAGTCTAAATGAATTCAGGTCATAGCAATTCAGTCCATAGCTTGGCTTAACCTGGTCCGCAGTCACAGGTGAAGCCGAGCTATGGACTGAATTGCAGCCCGTCCGAATTCATATGTTAAATCCCTAACCTACAATTTGACTGTATCTCCAGTGTAGCCAAATTGGAGGTTAGGGATTTAACCTATGAATTGGGACGGGCTGCAATTCAATCCATAGCTCGGCTTCACCTGTGACTGCAGGCCAGCTCTGACCCAGGTAAACAGATAGACTTCTCTGTAATTCAGTAGGATAAAACACCTTCTCCAATAAAGTCTTAACTACAGCTTTGGGGAAGGGCTTCTCTTTCCAAGTTCGTTCTTCCTTGAGTAATCAGCTCTAGATTAATTTATAGAGTTCACTCATATCCTATAGTTAATCTTTTATCATGGCATAATTCTTTATATTAAATTTCTGTTGAAATCACTCTATGGCTTTTATCTTCTGATTTGACCTACACTGCTACAAGAACAGACAAGCTGAGAAGCATGAGCTTGAAATATAACTGCCCCTGGTGTTAATAATTACATTTTTGTGGAATGTATCTGTTATAGGACTAGGTATTCATTTTAATTATACTTGTACTTTAGTTTTATTTAATTATACTTGTATTATGATTCTGCCATGTAAAATGTAAGCCTGTGAAGAAAATCAAAATATTTCACCCCCAAATATCCTTCTTTGACATCTTTTGAGATGGCTGTTCAGAGGGTCTGCAAATAGAAGTAGCCCTGAAAAGCTGTCTTTCCTCAGGAGGGAGGTTTGCATCCATAGAGAATCTGCCTTGATACAGCCAGGTTTCTCTGGGGCCCTTCCTCATCTGAGTCTAGTCTGACACCTTTAAACTTCTCAAAGAAACATTTACCATCTATTTTCTGAGAGGGCTGCTACCTGTGAGGTTTCAGCTACATAACAAGACCAGCTTTGCTGCCAGGCCTCCTCTTCTCTCCCTCCCATAACGTGTCCCACCACCATAACTTGATTTACCACCATAACCTGGTTTTGGCCGTGCTCTGAGCTGCCATTCTTTCTGTAGCCTCGAAATGGCATACAAACTTCAACCATCTGACCCTCGCTTTGAGTTTAATACTTTGTATGTGATACCCAAGCCCATATGCATGTTAATAAATTTGTATGCCTTTTCTTCTGTTAATCTGCCTATTTTCAGTTTGTTTTATAGGCTTACATTATCAAAACTTCAGGGGGAAAATGTAAACTTCCCTGCAATGCCAGTGCAGCACAAAGCTTAGAGCATATGGTAACCCTGACAGGAGGGCCGCTGCATCGGGGGGACCTCACAAGACAAGTCTGGAAGGTAGGGACAAGCAGGCAGAGGGAATCAGGGTGGCAGTGTGGGCAAGAGACCTGGACCACATAGCGTCTCTCTCAAGAGGGCTGCATGAAGGTGGTCACTAGGACAGGCTAGGACTGAGGGGTGGTGTATTTTGAACATGTCGCTGGGGCAGAATGACGCCAGATGTTCTCATACCCACACTGCTGGCCCGCCATGCAGCAGCTGGAAAGAGCAGAACAGCCTTCTTTCTGCTTACTGGTATCCTTACTGGTAAGCAGAAATGCTTAAAGATGCCTGTCCATTAGTACAGAACATATATTGAAGACTGCATTTGGAGATCAGAGGCAATAAACTGAAAACTAGCATGATTCTCTTAGTCACATTTTACATAATAGATTCTAATAATTTAAGACTTTTTTTGTATGTGATTTATTGTAGCCCATGTGTTACAAAGGATCTGAGAATTAGACACTTTAATTGTAATATATTACTAACTTTAATATGGAATGTTGTTACCCCATTTATGGGAGTGAAATATGCTTAAAGAAACATTACAATGTGTCTAAAGTAACTTCTTAAACTTGCAAAAATCAGAGTGGATATGCCACATAATTGCACTCTAGTGTGAAAATCCAGAGATACAAAGCAGGTCAGACACCACCTGGGATAAGCTTTCACCTATCCTCCTTTTATGATCAGAAATTATTTTGCAAATTTTGCATTTCTACAAAATTATCTTAGGTTATTATCTAAATTCACCATTTAAGATTCACCATTAAAAAAAATTTCTGGGCTGGGCACAATGGCTCACAGCTGTAATCCCAGCACTTTGGGAGGCTGAGACGGGCAGATCATGAGGTCAAGAGATCAAGACCATCCTGGCTAACACGGTGAAACCCCGTCTCTACTAAAAATACAAAAAAATTTAGCCGGGCGTGATGGCGGGCGCCTGTAGTCCCAGCTACATGGGAGGCTGAGGCAGGAGAATGGCGTGAACCTGGGAGGCGGAGCTTGCAGTGAGCCCAGATGGCGCCACTGCACTCCAGCCTGGGTGACAGAAAGAGACTCCGTCTTAAAATATAATATAATATAATATAATATAATATAATATAATATAATATAATATAATAATATAATATAGTATAATACAATATAATATAAAAATTAAAAATTCTGATACCTTCTAAGGGAGGAGGATGTACTATTTGTTCTTTAAATTCTCACGGTATTTCCACATTAGAGTCCCCAAATACAAGAGCTCTAATGAGAAAGTGACTGCTCAGAAATTTGGGCAGACGTTTTATCGTTATGCCTTCATTTCTTTCATTGCTTAATAAACTCTAATGGATAATAGTGAACACATTTCTATGTAGTTTCTGATCAAACGATTCTGTGAAAATTTAGTCAAGGAATCAAGAGAAAGTACAGTCATTTCTCCAAAGGAGCATTTCAACAGACATTTCATCAAAAACAAAATTTAAAATGGCAACCTGTGTGAAACACTTTGGCAGAATAATAATAATAAATAATTTGGATGCGAGCTGAATACATGAATTATTTTACTGGGGTGGAGGATATGGGCATTGCATGCTTATTACGTTTTTGGTTTGTATTGCCCTACATGTTCTTTAATGTCCTAGTGTTTTGACAAAGACAGGCATAAAATGAGCACTAATATTTTAGTTTCTGTCTTCTTTTTTTTTTTTTTTTTTGAGACGGAGTTTCGTGTCTCACCCAGGCTGGTGCAGTGGCGCGATCTCGGCTCACTGCAAACTCTGCCTCCCGGGTTCATGCCATTCTCCTGCCTCATCCTCCCGAGTAGCTGGGACTACAGGTGCCCGCCACCACGCCCAGCTAATTTTTTGTATTTTTAGTAGAGACAGGGTTTCACCGTGTTAGTCAGGATGGTCTCGATCTCCTGACCTCGTGATCCGCCCGCCTCGACCTCCCAAAGTGCTGGGATTACAGGCGTGAGCCACCGCGCCCGGCCTAGTTTCTGTTTTCTTAAGGAAATAGACCAGTCCTTTGCAAACACATGTTTTATTTCCTAGTAAACTCATCTATTGCTACAACTGTGCAATTTAAGGGACAAATCATTCTTCCTTAATCTCCGTTGATGGCAATTCCATCTGGTGCCCAAGCTAATGACTTTGGGATCACCACTCTTCTTCTCTCACACTCTACATCCAGTCTGGAAAGAAATCTTATTGGTTCTATCACACTTACAAAACCTATCAAAAACCCTACCACTGATTAAGAACTCCATCGTCACCACCCTGATCAAAGCCATATTTTTCTCTTTCCTGGACCAATTTAACGGCCTCTGGAGGAGGACTGGCCCCTAGATGGCCTCAGCGGACCCAGCTTTCTTCTCCCCTTCCCCATTTCCTGGCTTGCAGTTTTAGAATAACTGTAGAATGTGCTAAGAATGCAGTATCTTGATATATAGAGGAACTTTCCAGAAAAGCCTGGGCTTTGTCCTCATTCCTTGTAGAACGGGATGTCCTATAATGCTTTTGCTCAGTGACCCACCCACGGGATGCCCTCGAGCTAAAACCCAGAGCGGTGTGCTTTCAGAGTCCTTCAGCTGTAGTGCAAAGTGGAGCATGTGTAGATGAGTATATATTCTCTTTATACCAGAAGTAAGTATAGTTTCATTCAGTGAAAGTCACTGTCCCTAATCTATACAATACTCAAAGTTTAAAAAAAATACTCTATGTTAAAAACTGTGAGCATTGAAAGCTGACTTATCTATTCAGAGATCACATATAGTAAAGGGTATTACAGTATAAAATACCAAGAAAGCAGATCAGCTGATGAAAATTACTGATTTTCAATGTCTTTTTAATCATTATATGACATCCTGATAAGTTTTCCTGAGGAATTAAATGCTTCTGGGATCTTAAAGTACATTTTCTACAAACAAGTCATAGTGTTTTCTTAAAATAAGCTATCAATTAAAGCAAGAATGTGGAGTAGATGGCATTGGTAGATACAATCAACTAAAACATTGTTTTTATTTTCACTCCAGAGTACGGTGAGCTTATATTCACAATTAGTAAAAGGAAGCAGAGCTGATTTTCTACAACTTCTTCTGTTTCTTCTCTCAAAATCTTCAGAGAGAGGAAAAGGCAAAGGAATGCAGTATTCTCCCATTTAAGTCAACATTACAAATGCAATTAAAGGGTGTATAATATTGCTAAATAAGACCTCATCATGATGTGTATTCTATGACAGTTTATTTTGACTCCTTTAACTGAGCGTTGTGTGAGTTTCTTTAGTTTATTTGTTAGCCACTCGGTTACAAAGATCAGGATGTTTTTAGCTTTTTAGACACAATATTTGTCGAAGCTCTTCTTCTCATACTATACTTTTCTAAAATGAATGTGAAAGTATTGAAATGTGTTATCGACTTTCCATAAAATTCTCATTTACTTGAGCCTATGTAAACACCTGACTAAACACACGGCTATTCACTGTCAGGACTTTCTCCTCAGCATCTGCCACGGAAAAGATTCGATTGCACGCATACGAACCCAATGCCAGCACCCCAAGGGACAGGGCAATAGAAATGGGAGGGGAATGATCAAGTCAATGAATGATACACTCCATTAATCTTAATGTTAGGACATTAATATTGCTTGGCAACTGCCTAAAATCAACAATAAGCGATCAACCAATTTGTTGCCTAAAAGTTATTGATTTAACCATCAATAACTTAACAGCATAACCATAACAATAACTTTAATTTTACTAACTTTAAATAACTACAGTTCTTTAACAATAACAATAACAGCATATATGTACATCAGTTATGCATTAAAAGATGGATATTTTTTGTGTACATCTGAATGGAGAATATTAGATAATGTAGAAAGACATGAGACAAAGTTGATAATACAATCCCTTAGAGCTTTAATAAATGAGCTCTCTCAGTCAAGCCACAGTAACGACCTTTTCTCTGTGATATGAGCCAGGACTCTGCAGGTGTACAGAGGAGATAAACTGCAATTATAAAGTACAATTAACAGGTAGTAGCGGTCTCATTTATTATACACACCTACGCATGTTTCCAAGCCAGATGATCACTAAGTATTCACAGCAAGTAATCACCCACTGGACAAAACAGCATTACTTCACCTTCTGAAAAAGTAGTTTCTACTACTTTGAAAAGCTTGTTGGTGATGAGACGAAAACTGAAATAGGTTACAATTCTAATAGACACACAGTACAGGTAACACAAAGAGTCTTTCCTTATTTAACATTCTTAAGCATCACCCAAAATACCAAAAAGAAATACGGTAAGTTTCAAGGTTTTGCATAAAGTACTACACTGAGCTTTTAAAGTGAAGGGCTTAGTCACCCAAATACTGTCTTAGGCCTTATAGTATCTCTCCTGAGTTCCCAGTATATAATTTATTATACCAAACAGATCATTCTCCAGAGTTCTTTTGATATTTCTAGATCTCTCTCAACTTATAACCTAATCAGCTCCCTCAATCCCACATAGGCCTCAAGCTAATCTCAATCACTCTTCTTCCATTCATTTTTCATTCACTTATTTACAAATATGTATTTTGCATGAGTTGTCTGCCAGCACTGATTTAGGGGCAGAAAGAATATGATAGTACCTAAGAAAGACCCTCATTCTTATGTCTCTTTAAAGGAAGATAAAAACTTTTAACAAGGTAAATATTTAAAAATACTTTAAAGGAGACCAGGCGTGGTGACTCATGCCTGTAATCCTAACACTTTGGGAGGGAGAAGTGGGTGGATTGCTTGAGGTCAGGAGTTTGAGACCAGCCTGGGCAAAATGGTGAAACACTGTCTGAACTAGAAATACCCACCCCTAAAAAAAATTAGCCGGGTGTGGTGGCACGTGCCTGTAATCCCTGCTACTTGGGAGGCTGAGGCAGGAGACTCACTTGAACCTGGGAGGCAGAGGTTGCAGTGAGTGGAGATCATGCCACTGCACTCCAGCCTAGTTGACAGAGCAAGACTCTATCTCAAAAACAAAAAACAAAGAAACTTTAGAAGACACAAAATGCTATAATAGCAGAGAGTGACAATTGCTACAAAGAAAATAAAATATGATTATGGAAAACAAATGAACTGGTTGATCCAACTCCTGTCTGTGTCCACTGCTACCATTTTGGAGTGAGCTCTTGTTAGGTCACCACTCACCCAGGCTCCAGTGATACCCTAATTGGTTTCCTTCTGTTAATGGCCTTCATTGTTTTTTCTGCAGCGCATTCAGTCTGTCAGGTTGGGTTCTATAGAAGCAGAGCCTGCAATAGCAATTATTGAGCAACTTTTCTTGAGAGAATAACCTTATGAGAGGGGAATAGTAAGTAGGGTGAGACAAGGGTGAGATCTACCTAAGCCAGGATGATCTCAACACAAGACTGGCTCAGCCTGACACCCAGAGTTTTGGAGCATGGATTGCATTACAGAGTTGGCCTGACGTTGAGGCTAGAGGAATAGCTCTTTATACCATGTGTCAGTCAGTCACTGGCTACAGGTTGTCCAGGTGAGGCAGCTCCCTTAAGTCTGGAGAAGTGCTCAGGAGAGAACAGGGCACTTGTGAGCCCTTAGCTACCAACAATAGTATGGGGGGGTGCAATGCAGAGGCCTAGTAAAGTGGGACTGAATAGAGCAGCACCCTTTAATTTAAAAGAAGAAGAAAATGGATATTGATTAGAAACACAGCAGCATCTGCCACAGTTAGAAAAAGCATGACTATGTGGTGTTTCTGTAAGAACATGAGAGAATGTCAGTGAAGCACATCATAACAGTGATTGGAGCATGAGTTCTCAGTCAATGGCAGTTATTTTGATTGTGACAGAGATTGAGATGTTTATAACTTGAATAGCTGGCACTAGAATTCCTATTACAGAAGAATTCCTAACGTTGAAGTACTAGTTTGATGAGCTGCTTGGGATAAAATTGAAACTTCAAAGTTATGCCCATTGGCAAGAGTTAAATCAGCAAAGGGGGCACCAAAACTATCTTGTGTGAGAAAAGGAGACCAATTTAGTTTTTGCTCCTGAGAAGAGAAAAGACAGAAGAGAAGGGAGGGGAAGGAGGGAGATGCAGGAAGGAGAGCCAGGGTCATGCCAGAAAAGCTCAGAGGGAATTAGCTGGCCAAGCAGTGGGGAATTAACTTTTAAAGAATATAAGGCTTGGCCTGGGTGCAGTGGCTCACACCTGTAATCCCGGCACTTTGGGAGGCCGAGGCGGGTGGATCACCTGAGGTTGGGAGTTCGAGACCAGCCTGACCAACGTGAAGAAACCCCATCTCTACTAAAAATACAAAATTAGCCAGATGTAATGGCACATGCTTGTAATCCCGGCTACTCAGGAGGCTGAGGCAGGAGAATAGCTTCAACCCGGGAGGTGGAGGTTGTGGTGAGCCAAGATTGCGCCACTGCACTCCAGCCTGGGCAACAAGAGTGAAACTCCATCTCAAAAAAAGGAAAACAAAACAAAAAAAAAAAAAAAAAAGAAAGAATATAAGGCTTATGTTTACAGTAATTTTTGTTACACCTCCATATCTTCTGTAAGGTTATTGAAAATAAACTAATGGGTTATATGTATATGTGTCTTTTTTTGGTGAAAATTGAGGGAGAAAATAAATCTTATTTATGAGTTAGGATGTTTGAATCATAGAGAAAGAATAATCTATAAAGTGAAGAAGTTGGAATTCTCAGCCAGAGGTGACTGTACTATCTGGAATATCCTGAGAAACAGAACCAATAGCAGAGACAGAGGGAGAGCGAGAAAGACTTACTATAGCTAATTAGCTTATGTAATTCTGGAGGCTGAGAAGTCAAGTTTGCAGTTGGCAAGCTGGAGACCCAGGAGAGCCAATGGGAGAGTTCCAGTCTGAGTCTGAAGGCCTGAGCACCACGAGAGTCAATGGTGAAAGTTCCAGTCTGAAAACTGGCAGGCTCAAAATCCAAGAAGAGCCAATATTTCAGTTTAGTCTGAAGACAAGAAAAAAGTCATGACCCAGTTCAAACAGCCAGGCAGGAGTTTTCTCTTTCTTACTGGAAGGTCAGAGTAATTTTAGTTCTATTCAGGCCTTCAACTGATTGAGTAAGGGCTACTCACATTAGGGAGAGAAGCTCGCTTTACTCAGTCTACTGATTCAAATGTTAATTTCATCCAAAAGCGCCATCACAGACATAGCTGGGATAACGTTTCATTAAATATCTGGGCACCTCATGACATCGTCAAATTTCCACATGAAATTATTCATCACAACTCCACCTCTTGTCAACTTGGCATCCATGCACATCTCCTTAAACTATACTTAATCTCTAAATAAAGAAAATAGCAAGGCCATGCTTCTGTCTAATATATCATCATCCCATGTACAACTGAAGACACACCTACCCCTTCCCCAGAAAAGGAGGTATAATCCTCGAATGATGTTTACTTTTCTCCTTGATATCCTGTAACTTAAATGTTATAATATAAAATCAACAACACTTAAATGCAATGATATAGTCAATACCTCCTACATTAAATTATAAGGGAATAAGACAGCAGAAAAACAATAATATTTGCTTAATGCACCCACACACATTTGCATGTATTCATAACAAAAAAGGAGGAAATGCTGATAACAATTTCAATCTTGATTTCTGTAAGTGGTCATGTGGTCATAGCTGGTATTTCTAGCTACCTTCTTCCACTAAGCACCTCACTTCTTCCACTAAGCACCTCACTTCTTCCACTAAGCACCTCAGCTGGTCGTGATTATTTCCTTGTTGGGATGACCCAAGGCTTCATTCCTGAAGGGTCTGGGCCATTAGTTGTCCTGCCTGGATTAGGTGGTTGTCATTTTCCATTGACCATAAGTACAGAATATTATAATCCCAAGGACACCCTAAGGGTATATATATTGCAGACACACCCTTCCTTATCTCCATTTGGAAGTACGAGTCCAAGTTCCCCTTGCCAGTTAAGATCAATAACCAGAACTAGCCCAGTAACTCTCTTCCTTGCCTATTGATTTACAGGCATGAGGAATCCAAAGCCACTGGGTAACAGTTTTAATTTCCAGTTCTAAAAAGGCACTGTTGTGTCTCTTGGAGGAAGCAATCCTTCATTTGAAACAGACTTCTAGGCCAGCAGATCATAAAGTTGTAGAATCAAGAGGCAAACATTTTGCTAGTAGGTCACTAGGAATAACCGTGAGTGAGACCACTCCCACTTTCTTCCCTTGATTCCTGGACCTGTGAATTCTGCCTTTTGGAGAAACAGCATCATATTTTGGATGCTGATTTAAAGCATACAGACTCCTGAGGATTCTTTCCCCAGCTCAGTACTGCCACCTGGCTGACACTGTAACTGAGTCTGCAAAAGGCCATTTCATCATTCTACCAAACCAGCTACTTCAGGATGGTAGAAAACATAGTAAAGTCGGTGAATTCCACGAACATGGACCCATTGCTGCACTTCTTTTGCTGTTAACTGAATTCCCTGATCAGAAACACTGCTGTATGGAAAACAATGACTGTGGTTAAAGCATTCCGTAAGCCCATGGATGGTAGCTTGGGTAGAAACATTGCATGTAGGGAAGGCAATTCTATATCCAGAGTGTCTATTCCAGTAAGAATAAAACACTGCCCTTTCCATGATGAAAGTGGCCCAATGTAATCAATCTGTCACCAGGTAGCTGGCTTATTACCCCAGGTGCATATCAAGGATTCAGAGTTGGTCTGTGTTGCAGGCATACTGGGCCCTCACAGTGGCCATGGCCAGGTTGGCCTTGGTGAGTGGGAGTCCATGTAGGCTAAGTCTCCATCCTGCCACTATGGATACTTTGTTCCTAAGTCTACTGGGAGATGACAGAAGTGGCTGGCGAAAGAGGCTGATAGGTATCCACAGAATGGGTCATCCTATCCACTTGATTTTTAAAATTCTTCTCTGCTGAGGTCATCCTTTGGTGAGCACCCACATGGGACACAAATATCACCATGGTTTTGTCACTCATTCAGAGAGGTCCACCCACACATACCTCTTTCCCAGGTTTCCTTGTCACCAATCTTCTAATTATGTTTACACATTATGCCATTTGTTCTTTCCAAGCAAAGTGAACAACCTGGTGCACTATTTGAAGTTGAGTCCACTGGGACAACTTCTCTTCACCACTGTCCAGGGATGTCCCAGAGAGGGGCTACAGTGCTGCAGCTATCCACTTTCAGATGGTTCCTGAATATTATGCAAAACCCTCTGTAATCCAGGCCCAAGTCTTCTCTTCTTTAGTCAACTGATAATGGGGAGCTCCCCATGGGACCATAGGTGCAGGCTGCGAGAGAAAGGTCAGTGTAGCAGATGTGGGGACCATGGGCTTTTGGGTCACTTTTTCACGTAACTTACTTGTGCTTCAGAGCCTGCTCAGACCTAATCATGTGTATACCACTTCCATTAGATGCTGGAGTGCTCCTCTGCATGCCTAGCTTCATAGCTTGGTGAATCAGATAACACCCAGCTCATCACATGCAGCTCAGATCACATGGCAACTTGGTGGCCCAGGGTTACGAGTTCTGTAACTACTAAGGTCTAGTAGCAGGCCAAGAGTTGTTTCTCAAAAGGAGAGGAGTTATTCGCAGAAGATGGCAGGACTTTGCTCCAACATTCTAAGGCCCTGCGCTGTTACTCACTTATAGGGCTTGTCAAAGTCTCCAAACAGTATCCTATCTGCCACTGGCACTTCAAGCACCATTGGATCTGCTAGATCATACGGCCCAAGCAGCAGAGAAGCTTGCACAGCAGCCTGGACTGCTACAGAGCCTCCTCTTATTCTGGGTCCCACTCAAAAGCAGCAGTTTTCTAGGTCACTCAGTAGATGGCTCAGAGTAACACACGCAAATGAGGAGTATGATGCCTCCAAAATCCAAAGAAGTCCACAGGGTGTTGAGTCTCTTTTTTTCGTTGTAGGAGAGACCAGAAGCAACATCACCTTAAAAGGAATATCTTGATGTGCCCAACATCACTGGACCTCTCGAAATTGTACTGAGGTAGAAGGCCCCAGCATTTTAGTTGGATTTATTAACCACTCCCTGACATGTATGTCTTACCAGTAATGCCATCAGTGTAATGGACCAGTAATATCTTGTGGAAGTAAAAGGTAATCAAGATCCCTGCCAACTAAATTTTAACATCGGCCTAGAAAGTTGACATATCTGTGAGGCAGGATAGCGAAGATGGATTGCTGGCCTTGTCTGCTGAAAGAAAATTGCTTGTAATGAGACTTATGAACAGATACAGAGGAAAAAAAGCATTTGTCATGTCAATGGCTGCATATCAGAGGATGTGTTAATTTATTCAACGAAACCACATCTGATACAGCAGCTGCAATTGGAGTTACTATCTAGTTAAGCTTACTGTAATCTGTCATTCTCCAAAATTCATTTGTTTTCTGCACAGTTCAAATAGGTGAATTGAATGGGGGATGTGGTGGGAATCACCACCCTTGCATATTTCAAATCCTTAATGGTAGCATTAATGTTTGCAACCTCTCCAGGAATGCAGTACTAACTTTGGTTTACTACTTTCCAAGGCAGAGACAGTTCTAGCGGCTTCCATTTAGCCTATCTCACCATAATAACCCTTGTCCCTTACACAAGTTAAGGAACCAATGTAGGGTTCTTCCAGCTTCTGAGTATATCTATTCTAATCATGCATTCTGGAAACAAGAAATAAGCACAGGATGGATTTCGGGACTCACTGGGACCACTGTGAGACAGACATGGGATAAAACTCCCTGAATCACCTGATCTCCATAAGTCCTTACTTTGACTGGTGACCCACAGAGGGGGTTTAGGTGTCCTGGAATTAGTGTCAGTTCAGGGCCAGTGTCCAGTAGTTTCTAATAGGTCTGATTATTTCCTTTTCCCCGTTGCATAGTTACCCTGCTAAATGGTACCTTACTTTTGGGGAAGTTGTGAGGAAGTTTAACAGTGTAATTTTTTTTGCATTGTATGGTGCTCCTTCCTCAAGAGTACTTGGCCTCCCCTCCAGGGGGTTCTGGGGCTATAAACTGGCTCTAATCTGGGAATTGATTGAGGAGTTGTGACTCTGGTCTAGGTTAAACTTATATTCACTTGACCTAGGAATTTTCTGCTTACCCAGTGATACAGTTTGGATATATATCCCCAGCCAAATCTCAGGTTGAACTGTCATCCCCAGTATTGGAGGTGGGGCCTGGTGGAAGATGACTGGATCATGGGGGTGGAGTTCTCATGAATGGTTTGGCACCATTCCCTTGGTGCTGTTCTCATGAGAGTGGGTGCCTTCTCATGAGATCTGGCTGTTTAAGTGTGGCACCTAACTCTCTCTCTTTTGCTCCAGCTTTCACCATGTGACATGGAAGCTCCTGCTTTGCCTTCCGCCATGATCCTGAGGCCTCTCCAGAAGCAGATGTCAGTGCTCATGCTTCCTTGTAGAACCATGAGCTAATTAAACTTCTTTCCTTATAAATTACCCAGTCTCAACTATTTCTTTATAGCAATGCAAGAACAGCCTTATGTATACAGAGAAAGTAAGAATTTAGTAGTCTTCCAGAGTATTTCACCTCTAGAACCATCATGCTCAACTAACCAACACCATAAATCTGCACAAGTGAGATGATTCTGATTGCTGTCTTGAGTCTGCCTCCCTTACAGGAACCACACCCACTCTCACTTTGGTACCACCCTTTGGCTCCTGTCATCCTGGGATCCAATTACTCCCACTGTCTAGATTTCCCAAACAGTGACTGCATTCTCCACTGTAAGGTCTGGCAATCACAAAGCTCTTCAGAGACGCTGAGGCTCTCCTTACAAATTGATTTCTCACAATAGCAGTGAAAAGAAGTACATCTTCTGTTTTCTCCCAATGAGGGTGGTTAGATCTGAAATGGCAAATCTATTCTAACATTCTGATCTCCCTAAGCCTTTGATGCTTTCCTCTACAGATGGTCCCCTTTAAGATGGTTCCTGTTGCAATGGTGTGAAAGTGATGCACATTTAGTAGAAACCACACTTTGAATTTTGAATCTTGATCTTTTCCCAGGCTAGATCTGCTGTATGACACTCTGTTGCAATGCTGGGCAGCTGCAGGGAGCCACAGATCCCAGCCACCCACACCATCACAAGGGTAAATGACCAATACTCAGCTGCGTACTGTGAGTGTGCTGTGTTGCCAGTGGTTTTTATTTTTTATACTTTTAATGTTTTAATTTTTTCTTATTTTTCATAAGTTATTGGGGGTACAGGTGGTATTTGGTTACATGAGTAAGTTCCTTAGTGGTGATTCGTGAGATGTTGGTGCACACATCACCCAAGCAGTGTACACTGTACCATATTTGTAGTCTTTCATCCCTTGCCCCCCTCCCACTTTTCCCCCCAAGTCCCCAAAGTCCATTGTATCATTTTACATTCTCAAGCTTCATCAGAAGAGAGAGAAACCAATAACCCTGTCACTATAACCTCTCCATCAGCCAGCAATTAATTTTAGTTCAATGTTTCAAACTTTCTTCAGGCTCCGTGCACTTTCAGCTGTGTACATTAATGGTTAGTACCCATACAAGTATTCTGTTTTTCACTTTCAGTATGGTATTCAATAAATTAGGTCAGCTATTCATTACTTTATTATAAAATAGGCTTTGTGTTAGGTGATTTTGCTCCACTATAGAATAAGTGTTCTGAGCATGTTTAAAGTAGGATAGGCTAAGCTATGATGTTTGGTAGGTTAAGTGTATTAAATGCAGTTTGACTTGCAATGTTTTCAAGTTATGGTAGCTTTATTGGGATGTAACCTTATAGTAACTAGAGGGGTATCTATACATTCAACCAAGGCAGGTCTGGCATTTCCAACTTACTCACTGTAGGCCACCTTTTGGTCTAGGCTTTAGTCAACCACAGAAAGTGTTAGAGCCCTTTCTGACTCCTGAGATGCACATTAACTGTATAATCTATGCTTAGTAGAAGTAATTTCAGCCTGAGGTAAGTTGGTGTTCCTCCACCAATATCTCACACACTTAATATCCATTCTCACATGTTTCCTAGGTTTCTGTCTGTATAATTTTAAAAACTCAAATAATTATTGTAGAGTGTAGCACACCTCCTCATGGGCCACACTTTATACCTCACCTTTAGGGGCCCGCTGAGATGAGTCTAGTTCTAGATCCAGAAGCAAAGAAAGATGGTAGGCATGGTTCCTGAGAATATTCAGCATTTTCTTGATGGCAGCTTCCTCAGGGGAGGCCACTAAAATTTCATCAGTCACTAAGAGGTTACTCTCTTCAAATGGGGGTAGAGAGGCTGCTCCCCCTGGGGCTGGGGAGACATCTTCCAGCAGAAAAGAACTTAGTGGTTCAGTGTTTCCAGCTTCATCCAGGTCTTCCCTCACATCACATCCCCACTCCAATATTCAGATTCCATTCCTTCCCAATCAATGCCCTCACTTTCCCCATAAATACTCTACAAGGCTGGGAGTTCAAACTTACATTGTAATTCAGCCAGTCACAGGATGAGTTTCTGGGCTTCATTTTCAGCAATCTTAGAACTGAAATTACAGGAGATAAATGTCTCCTTCAGGGCACACATAGAAGCTTTCAGATCATTTAGGTAGCATTTGAGCTGGGAATTTTAATCGTTAAGCTCATCTTTCTCTTTCTATACTTTGTCCAGCACCATTAGGAACAATCAGTCCTAAACTGTTATATTCAATAGCTTGTCGGAAATGTTTGAAATTACCATATACACAGTCATCCATATCCATGCTTTTTGTAAGTAGTTGATTAGGACTATCCAAGGGTGATATTTTGCATATTTCTATTGCCAAATCATGCCAGGTACTGTGAGTGCTTTCTTTACCACTGGAAACAGAACCACTAGCATCTTTAATTCTAATCAGATTAGAAAGCCAATTCTGGAAACTTCAGAACAAATTCAAGAAATTTATTCTTAAAATTTTGTTTCTCTAGAACCACTGTTAGTACTAAATCATGCTAATCTCAGTACTAATCTGTATTAGTCACGTACCTTCCAAAAGAAAAAAAACCCAGAACCCACTAGATGCTCAGATGGATATGTGGACACATAGGTACATTTATTGTAAGAAATTGGTTTATGTGATTACAGAGACTGAGGAGTCCAAAATTTGCAGTTGGCAAGCTAGAGACCCAGGGAAGTTGGTAATGTAGGTCCACCCCAATTCCAAAGGCCTGAATACCAGGAAAGCTGATGGTGTAAGTTCCAGTCCCAGTCTGAGTCCAAAGGCAGAAGGACACTGATATCCTGTTCAAAGACTATCATAGAGAAACAATTATTTATTACTCAAACTTTCATTCCATTCAGGCCTTCAAGGAACTATATGAGGTCCACCTACAATGTGGAGAGCAATCTGCTTTACTCAGTCATACCTGGGAGGCTTCAAGACTTCCAAGAAGGGTGTTAAACTTCCTTCAGACATGGAATTAAATTTTGATTCAATTTTATCCAACTGTCTTGGGAAAAGGGGAATGCTTCACCTACTGGATGGTTTAAATTATTTTGTTGTAATCATTATAAAAATATGTACATCTGTGGACAAAAAGAAACAATGAATGAGCCAAATACATACTTGGAAATTCACAAAAATGTTAGTTTTATATAGACATAATCTGATAAGCTTGGAAATTTTAAAAAAATGCTTTTCGAATAAGCTCAGTGTTTACAATAGTCTTGTTTCTTTTACTTGTCAAAGGCTCTGCCATCTGAAAGTATTCAAACCATGAGTTTCATGGGCCCTGCCTGTGAGAAAATGTGCATTTTCCACATAAAATCCATTTCCTTGTCAGATAATTTACAACTCACCCTGTTTAAACAGACTCTGTATTTAAAGCTAGAAGATTTATCACGCAGCAAGTTCAACCTCAGGAATTCCATATAAGTCCACAAGCGCATGTGTCTAAAAACTGTTGAGTAAGTAAATTCAATGATGAAAACTGTAATTTATATCAAGGATGAGAAATACTCTCTTTGTAGGTCTATTGTCAATGACTAATATATGAAGAATTAATGCAGTTGATCATCTAAATAATGCTACACATGTCTGTTTCCATTGGCCTGTGGACAAGAACATGTGTCAGTAAAAAAAAGAGTTTTGAAATAAATCTCAGATATTATGATTGTTTCATTTTCTCTAATAAAATGTGAACATTTATTCATTCTTGGAAAATAATTTTGAATAGAGGTATATTCAGGTATATGTGTTATATTCCTTTGTTAACTTTATAGGCATTAGTTTCATTAATTAAATATAATGTGGCTTTGGTGGAATGAAAAAACACTAGCCTGAAGCTGAACTGGTCACTTTTCAGTTTTGTGTTTGGTGGGTGTGGACAGACATGATGTAATTCTTTGGAGAATTGAGACAACTTGGGAGATTTACAGGGCACATGTGATTGTATTTCCATTAGTGAAATTGTCACACATTAAAGACAGAGTAGGCATATTAGAGCTAAAATGTATTCAAAGGACCTTTATCAAATAAATGTCAGTTGTGGAAATAAATGTTAAGCTGGAATATGTGAAAGACAAATGGAAAATAAATGGAGACCATTCATTCACGGACAGGTAGAGAAACATTCAGTGAAAGCTAAAAAGATTGAAATAGGGTCGGCTGGGTGCAGTGGCTCACGCCTGTAATCCCAGCACTTTGGGAGGCCGAGGTGGGTGGATCACGAGGTCAGGAGATTGAGACCATCCTGACTAACATGGTGAAACCCCGTCTCTACTAAAAATACAAAAAAAAAAAAAAATTAGGCGGGCGTGGTGGCAGGTGCCTGTAGTCCCAGCTACTCGGGAGGCTGAGGCAGGAGAATGGCGTGAACCCAGGAGGCGGAGCTTGCAGTGAGCCAAGATCACACCACTGCACTCCAGCCTGGGTGACTGAGCAAGACTCCGACCGTCTCAAAAAAAAAAAAAAAAAAAAGGAAGTTTGAAACAGAGTCATGAAAGGCGATTTATTTGTTTTCAGATAAGTGACATTTAGATAACAACTTGAAACGTTGATAGGAAAGTTCCAGTAGGATGGGAATGATTGAAAGAACAAGAGAGTAGGGAAATAATTGACAGGAGATGCCAGGAGGTGGACAGAGAGCACAAGTAGACAGATTTTACTTTCCCGGAGGGATTCCTCAACTGGATTGGAAGGGAAGGCAACAAAAAGTGACTGGGACATAGCGTGATTTTAAAGGCAGAATACATCAAAATCTGGGGGTAGTTGATGCAGAAGACTTTGAACAAATGTGAATATGTCTTTATGGAATGTTCCCATCCTACACCAATATAAGTGTGCTGCTAAACCAGAGAGAGCTCTCTGGAAGGGACTTCCTTGCTAGTGTTACAGGAAAGGGGTCCCTATACAGACCCCAAGAGAGGGTTCTTGGATCTCGTGAAAGAAAGAATTCAGGGCCAGTCCACGGTGCAAAGCAAAAGCAAATTTATTAAGAAAATAAAGTGGCGAAAGAACAGCTACTCCATAGACAGAGCCGGGAGTTCCCAAAAGGAAGAAGAGGAACGCGTCCACCCTAGGTACGACACTTGTTTATATATAGGATAAATAAAGATCATGGGAAGATGTGCTATGCTACAAGGGTTTGTGATAAAGGATTAATTTTCTTATGTTTTGCAAGGATCGATATTATTATCTTTAAAGCAAAATTAGGAATGCTTCTGTTCTCAAGATATCAGGATATCAAGACAATCCCAAGTCTGGGCCAGTTTAGTAAACATTATCAATCTGTTCTCTTAGCAGTAAACATCTAGAGGCTAGGAATGCCTAACTTTCTATGAATGCAGCCCAGCAAGTCCCAGCCTTATTTTCTTAGCCTTCACTCAAGATGGAATCATTCTGGCTGGAAAGCCTTTGACACTAGGAAAAGCACAAATTGTATAAGTGGAACAATTTGGAAACAAGTGTCAGGTAGTCTTTCTTTAGACACAACACGACTTTGACATAACAATTGCAAATAATGCTTTGCAACCATGTCAATAGTGGTATCTTGAGGGGAACTACAGAATTTGAAAATAAATGTACTCTTTACCTAATTACTAATTTTTTCATTTATTCTTATGTCTTACAAATATGATTATATTTATTTAGGAATAAAAATTTGTTTCTTAAGGAATTCATCTATTTTTGTTGTAGTTCCCATTGGAAAACACATTTTTTTTTGTTAGAATAGTATAATCCCAATAAGTGACCTGTATTCATGAAGGCTAAGAATAGAAACAAGTAATGGTAGCTCAGAGGCTCAGGTTGGAACATAATGGCTCTGCCTCCTGAGAAGAGGGAAGGTCTAATATTACATTAGACCACATGTGGCATCTTTATATTTGCTAAGGGATAGTTAGTGCTTGCATTTCTCAAAACAGGCTTACATTATCACAATCGGCGTTCAACTAGTTCAAAATTCAAGCTTAGTGGATTTTTTTCCACAGTAGTCATGCTAATGTAAATAGCACATTTGCAGTGAAAATGTTCCAGTTTTATTCTTAAGATGTTTTAGGGCAGTGCTTCTCAAATTGTAATGTGCAAGATCCTTATGATCATGTTAAATGCAGATTCCAAGTCAACGTAGGTGTAAGTAGGGAAGTCTGCATTTCAAACAAGCTCCCAAGTGAGGTTGTGCCTTGCATAGTAAAGTTGTCGTTTGCAGTTAGATACCCGCTTACCAACAGAAAGTGACCAGTTAAGAAGGAACACATGCTCACCAAATGCTTATCTCAATAAATTTCTTTACACAGACTTATTAAAATCAACTTAACATAGGATACACATGACACATATAACATCCCTGTCTTTAGAAAAATAAATTGATTGTTTTTATGTCTGACATATATGCCAAATAAATGGAAAACTGAAGATAATTTTTTGGTTAAAATTTGGTCTTCACATTAAAATTAGTTTGAAGGGTATTTTTCTGAAAAAAGAATCTCTCTTTCTCCATATATATAATATTTAACATTTAACTTTAATTTGAAGTAACATTTGCAAGAACCAGGCTGTAAGGTAGTTTCCAGGGACCAAATTGTTAAAATAGATGTTTGTAATCAATACTTAACTGATGTGAACATTTTGTATTATGACATTAAAGAGGGAATTCTTATTTGAACTCTGCATTAGCTGAAAGTTCAGTGCATTCTGTAGCTTTCATATGAATTTCTTCCACTACATTAGGTTCTAGATTTTAATATTTGTAGAGTTGGCTGCATGCAGTAGGGAAAATGCCTTTTGCTCTTAGAAGTCATGAGAACTAAGGGGTCACAAGGCGAATTAGTGCATTTAAGCCAGATTTCATCCTGTGAAATCCAGCAGCAGATTTTTTTTTTTTTTTAGCCAAATTTAGTTACTTTAAGAAACAAAGAATAGAAATTCCTTTAACAAAGAAAATTCTGTCTGTTAATGTAGTTGACATAAAGATAATAAGATATTGAATTTTTTAATGATTTCTTTGAGTCTAGGATGTGCCCAAGGAAACCTGTCCCTTGGCAGGAAAATAGTAGACATTTTCTTGAAATTATCGACTCATGCAACAACTTGGATAAATCTCAATGGCGTTATGGTGAGTGAACAAAGTCATTCAAAAAGTTCATACTGTATTGATTCCATTATATGACATTCTCAAAGGATAAAACTATAGGGATAGAAAATAGATCTGTGATTGCCAGTGCTTGGTGGCATAAGGAAGGCTTTGATAAAGAGGCAGCATGTGGGAATTTTTTTAGGGTGATAGAAATGTATCTTATTGTGGTGATCGTTATATATATGTCTTAGAATTTATAGAAATGTGCACCACAAAAAGGTCAATTTTACTGTATGATAATTATAAAAACAAAAGAAAATAGAAAAAAGTGTGAGACAAAAAATATTAATTTACCTCAGAAACTAAATGAGATTTTCCCATTGTATGGAGCTGAGGATTTATGAAAATTGCTTTCTTCCATATGCAGCCAGGCATGAAGCTGACTTGTGCCTCCATTCCCTGGAAGAATCCATCGGGGAAATGGTGGTAATAGAAGATGTGACTCTGTTTGCTGGATTTAGATGCCATTACTTCAAGAGCACAGAGTGCTTCATGTAGTTGCAGACAGAAACTATAATGGAAATATTACTTAACAAGGTATCACTTTATATTTCTTCTTTCTTTTTTTTTTCTTTTTTTGAGATGCAGTCTCGCTCTGTCGCCCAGGCTGGGGTGCAGTGGCACAGTCGAGGCTCACTGCAACCTCTGCCTCAGCCTCCTGAGTAGCTTGGATTACAGGCATGTGTCACCACGCCCGGATAATTTTTGTATTTTTAGTAGAGATGGAGTTTCACCATGTTGGTCAGGATGGTCTCGAACTCCTGACCTCATGATTGGCCCACCTCAGCCTCCCAGAGTGCTGGGATTACAGGCGTGAGCCACCGCGCTCGGCCACTTTATATTTCTTTGAATATAATATCCCAAGTAAGAATTTGGGATTGTGGACCGGGCATGGTGGCTCACGCCTATAATCCCAGCTACTTGGGAGGCTGAGGCAGGAGAATCACTTGAACCTGGGAGATGGAGGTTGCTGTGAGCCAAGATAGCGCCACTGCACTCCTCCAGCCTGGGCCACAGAGTGAGACTCGGTCTCAAAACAAAACAGAATTTGAGATTGTGTTTAAATATAGTAAGTACATTTGATAATCAACTGCATGGCAGTCAAATCTTAAATTCTAAAACCACTACATCTCTGAGTCAAAAAGTTGTATTTGTGGTAGTAGTCTAAAAGAAAAATTCTCACCAACAACACCTCAGGGCATTGTAAAAAGTGTTGCTGATTCTTTTCATTAGGGTGATAATTGCTAATTAAAGCCTAATGTATGGTGGGGTTATAAGGGCTTTCTTTCCCTCCATGTTGGAATAAAACACGGTGTAAGGACAAAGCTGGTGTATATTAAATTAGCCCTGATGCAGACTGGCTTTCCATATTCCGTATAAGGAATCTGAGGTTTATTTTTTATTTTATTTAATTTTTTTCTGAGATGGAGTCTCGCTCTGTCGCCCAGGCTGGAGTGTAGCGGCGCGATCTCTGCTCACCTCAAGCTCCGCCTCCCGGGTTCACGCCATTCTCCTGCCTCAGCCTCCCAAGTGTCTGAGACTACAGGCGCCCGCCACCAAACCCGGCTAATTTTTTTTTTTTTTTTCTGTATTTTTAGTAGAGACGGGGTTTCACCGTGTTGGCTAGGATGGTCTCATCTCCTGACCTCGTGATCTGCCCTCCTCAGCCTCCCAAAGTGCTGGGATTACAAGCGTGAGCCACCGCGCCCGGCCAGGAATCTGAGGTTTAGAGCGTTGAAGGAATTTGCCCAAAGTCCAGGCACTGGACTGGGTTCTCAGCAAGAGAAGCCATGCTGAGAACCCAGTCTCATAACTCCAAGCGTGTCTTGACACAGTCAGGTACTCCCTGCTCTCTGCTAAAGGAAGTGAGTAGTTACCATCATTTAGTCATCCACTCATTCAACTAGTATATATCGAATAGAACTTAGGTGACAGGTGCTGCTCCTGGCAGAAGGCGCTGTTCTGTTAATAGATGCTGGGGTTGTTTCTCTCATTAGAAATATATTAAACCTTGTACAAAAACAAATGTCTTCCTTTGAGTTTCCTTTGCACTTCCAGAGTTTAGCTAAAAATGCCTATCAAGTGAAAGCAGTTTTCTGCTCGGAATCTGCAAATAAACGTGGATTCTGAGAATTATTATTTTAGAAATTAAATCTTCCCTTCAGTTATGTATAAATAACTTGAAATTACTAGAAATTAAAATCAAAGAAAATCTGGAATTACTGAAAATTTTATTTGGAGTTTATTAAAGAATGAAATTATACACACACAAATACACATATACACGTATACTAATAAAAACTAATTCTTTATATCATGCCAACAAAAAGTAATTCTATTGTTTCTGTTCCTACAACACCTAGCTTTACTATTTAATTTTATGTTAAATTTTGATTATTCACATTTAAACACAATGAGAGTGCTTTTTGGTCATTGAAAGAACATGATAGTATCATAAATAAATATTGTAAAATATTAAATATTACTACTAATAAAGAAACTAAATAATTAAAATACTAGTAAATATGGTCTCAATCATTAAATGTAATGACAATTTTATTTTGATCCTTAGCCCAGACTGATCTTTTCATACAACGTCGTTAGAAGGCACTTTGATTTATATTATTGTTTCAGCACCATGCTGGTAGTACCTGCTAGGAAATAAGCAACTTCCCACATCAGAACGGGCAATGGGAACAACCAGAAGCCGCATGGAGATCTGGCACGGGGGCCAGCGAGGGCAGAACGGGAGTCAGCATTGCGCTCATGGCTCTCCAAGAGGGTCTTGGCGGTGGAGCACCTGAGGAAATGGGAGAGTTAGCCATGAGGCCTGGTACACCAGCATTTCCTCCACCTTTCCTATATGCCAGGGGATTTACAAAAGATTTTTTTTTATAGGAACAAATAGACTATTTATATCCCCAACAATCACCTTTTTTTTTTTTTTTAGACAGAATCTCAAAGTCAGTTTTCAGAAAGTATGTGAGGATTTATTGCGTTCCAGGTAAAAGCAGCTGCCCATTACATGAAATCTTTTTTTTTTTTTTTTTTTGAGACAGAGTCTCACTCCGTTGCCCAGGCTGGAGTGCAGTGGTGCGATCTCAGCTCACTGCAACCTCCACCTCCTGGATTCAAGAGATTCTCCTGTCTCAGCCTCCCGAGTAGCTGGGATTACAGGAGTGCACCACCACACCCAGCTAATATTTTTGTATTTTTAATAGAGATGGGGTTTCACCATGTTCGTCAGGCTGGTCTCGAATTCCAGATCTCAAATGATCCGCCCACCTCGGCCTCCTGAAGTGCTGGGATTACAGGTGTGAGCCACACCGTGCCTGGTGCACCAATCACCTTTGACACTTCATATTATAGCAGAGAATGTCTTTCCTCCTGATTATTCAAGAAAAAATATATAAATGTATACATTCATTTCTATACAATTATGAGCTAAACAATACTGAATATATCTTACTAGATTTAAATAAAATTTAAGTAACAATTTTATTTCATCATTTCTAATAGTACGAGTTAAATAGATACTATGAGTAGAATTTGTTGTATGGATAAATGGAAGTAAGCATGGATATGTTTGTATATAATAAAATACAGTCAGCATGAATTTTATCCAATTTTTAAATAAACATAGAGTTATAAATTAAAATTAACCAGCCATACCAACCCATTTGAATCTATAGTTTCCTACAAGGGAATGAAATGCGAAGTAATAGCGAGCCTCCAAATGTTTTAGTCACGCAGTGTAGAGCACCCACAAATCATCTCACCCCTCTGTCGGGGGGCGCTGTGGGGTGCCCCGGCTTTACTAGTAGTGCTTCTCTAAACTCATGCCTGCACCCTTTCTTCTGGAAGCCTGAACAATGATGCAGAGATACTGTTTTCTTTGTTGTAGAAAACAGCAGAAGGTCTGTGCTCACGAGGGCAATATTAGGTCCTCATCAGCTGTGGCTTGCTATCTCCAGCACATCAATGAATGGAGAAAATAAGATTTAAACAAAGATCAGTGTCTCCATTCTCTAACATTTTACTCAAAATATTGGTTAGGTTAGACTCCACACCCACCAAAACCCAAAAGACATTCCATCTCACAGATGCTCTACATTCTTTCAATACAGAAACCTTACGACAAAGCCTACAATATACACTTGTTTTAGTAAAATAATTGGTCCAGTTAGTAAAAAATGAGTTGAATTAGTGTTCTCCCTCTCACACATTATAACTATAACTTTTTTCAATTACACAGGTGTTTACAGAATTTATCTGAGGTGCTTTCTGTGTATCTCTGAAAACACCTTCATAACAGTAGGCACACCCTGGCTAGTGGTTCTCAGCCCTGGCTGCTCACTGGTATCACCAGGAGAGCTCTGGACATACTGAGGCCTGAGCCCTTCCCCCAGACACTAATTTAATGGGACTGTGGTGGGGCCTGGGCATGGATGTTTTTAGAAGCATCTGCTGATAGATAAGCAATAAATACGAGTTTATTAACTACACATGGTGATTTGATTTCCATGGATTCTTCCCTGATTTTCTGATCCATTGGCCCGTATATGAACAGGCTAACTTCTAGTGTGTGAAAAGACTGACAGGATATTAACCTGGCTAAGTGTCTTTGAAAATATAAATGGAGGGACCATGCCTTAAAAGAGTTATGAAAAAAAAAAAAACAGAAAATATGCACCTGAGAGGGGCGCAAAGGAAGCAGGCGAATGTGGGGTCTTGGAGAAGTCACTCCTGATCTTGAGTTTCTATGAGTACACATTAAAGGAAGTCATTGCAGTTTTCTATGTACTGTGCATTTGGATATTTTCACAAACTGAAACAATAATTCGCTGCTTCGGGAAGGGGAACAGATAATGTGTTCTAACGTAGCATCTTTACTTTCTCTATTATTAGAAACATTTTAAAAATCTATCTTTCTTTGGCTTGGCATGGTGGCTTACAGCTGTAATCCAGCACTTTGGGAGGCTGAGACTGGCAGATTGCTTGAGGTCGGGAATTTGAGACCAGCCTAGCCAATATAGTGAAACCCTGTCTCTAGTAAAAGTACGAAAAACATTAGCTGGGCGTGGTGGCGCATGCCTGTAGTCCCAGCTGCTTGGGATGCTGAGGCAGGAGAATCGCTTGAACCCCAGAGGCAGAAGTTGCAATGAGCCAAGATCATGCCACTGCACTCCAGACTGAGAGATAGAGCGAGACCCCCATATAAAAAGAAAAAGAAAAAAATTATCTTTCTTTGGAGTCTGTCAAATGTATTACCACTTTATTATTAGTGAAATTTGGTGAGTTATATCAAATGATCAGTGATAGGAGATAATATCTACAAGATTTAATGATTGACTATAGGGAAGGAGAAGAGAAAGGAATAGATTTCTTCTTTTTTTTTTTTTTTTTTTTGAGACGGAGTCTCGGTCTGTCGCCCAGGCTGGAGTGCAGTGGCGGGATCTCGGCTCACTGCAAGCTCCGCCTCCCGGGTTCACGCCATTCTCCTGCCTCAGCCTCCCAAGTAGCTGGGACTACAGGCGCCCGCCACTACGCCCGGCTAATTTTTTGTATTTTTAGTAGAGACGGGGTTTCACCGTTTTAGCCGGGATGGTCTCGATCTCCTGACCTCGTGATCCGCCCGCCTCGGCCTCCCAAAGTGCTGGGATTACAGGCGTGAGCCACCGCGCCCGGCCGAGAAAGGAATAGATTTCTAAGTCAAATTCCATTGATAATGATGAGAATCATAGGGGGAGGAGTCAATGGGTAGGAGAAAAAATATTTGGTTTAGGACATGCTGAATGTGAGGAGCCTGTGATAAAGGATAGGATAATATGAAAAGCTTCCAAAAGGAGTACACCAGATTATGAGATCTACCTTTTCCCCAAACTTATAAAGGGAAAAAATATCAACTCCATTGTTAATTCTCCATTGATCCTGATGAAACGTCAGTACTACTGATGAGATGTAAAAATAAAAAGCAGCAAGACTAAAGTTCTCCAAGATTCCTCTAGGATATGTTTGGTGTCTGCATTTGCATTTATTGTTATTTAATCTACGTTATTCAAGATGCTTTCTATTTGGAACCCCAAAACAAATGGTTGAATGGGCTTGCTCTGACTATCTATTTCCACAGAACAACCACCCAAAATTTAGTGGCTTAAAAAAATGACAGCATTTATTTTGTTTATGAATATGCAATAACTCCGCATGGTTTGGGGATGGCTCAAAGACCAGGGGCGAGGATCATCTGCAGGCTCATCCACTCACACATCTAGTGGTTGATACTAGCTGTTGGATTTCCACGTGGCTCTTCAGCTTCCTCTCAGCCTAGTAGATGGATCCAATGGTGAGTGTACCAGGAGAGCAGAAGGGAGCCAGGCATAGGTGTCTGGCCTTTCCTAACTGAGCTGAGGAAGTCACATGGTGTCATTTCTACCATATTACAGTCATTAGAAGTGAGCCAGTAAATCTGGCTCATATTCAAAGAGAGGGAAATTAGACTCTATTTTTAAATAAGTGTCAAAGAATTTAAGGGCATATTTTCAAACTGCCAGAGCGATCGCAGAAGGCTCTGCCACCTACAACCAACTATTTCTTTGCATTTTAATAGAATTTTTAAGAGAAATCATAGCTGAAGCTGCGGTTATATTTTGGAGTCGTCACAGTAAAAGAAATAAAGTACATGTAATTTGATATTTCAGAGCATTTTTTCCCTTTGTCCAAGACATTTTAAATTTGAAATATGGTTTTGGCAGTTTTGTAAGAGATATTATGTAAATTGAAAGGAGAAGATGAGTTTTGGAGTCAATCTTAAAAATTCATTTTGGAGAAGCACAACATTTGCACAGCATCCGTCTGATTTGATGCCGTTTGTATAAAAGAGCCGTGCTTTCCCAGGAGTGGAAACTACATTATTGGAAAAATATAGGCTCCTTAGGGTAAATGATAGCACAAAGATAGTAAATGTCTTTTCATTTGAAATAACCTTTGTGGAAATGCTATTATTCTCAATATATTGTAAAAGAGATGAATCAGAACGGTGTTAGAAACTATTTAATGGATCATCTATCTGTGACATATTACAAAGCTAAATGTTGAATTAGCACTTGGCTAAAGGAGGCCTCATGGCCAGAAAGGGTTCAGCTTTGGAATCCACAACTCTGGTTTTGAATCTTTTTTTTTTTTTTTTTTTTTTGAGACGGAGTCTCACTCTGTCGCCCAGGCTGGAGTGCAGTGGCGGGATCTCGGCTCACTGCAAGCTCCGCCTCCCGGGTTCACGCCATTCTCCTGCCTCAGCCTCCCAAGTAGCTAGGACTACAGGCGCCCGCCACTACGCCCGGCTATTTTTTGTAGTTTTAGTAGAGACGGGGTTTCACCGTTTTAGCCGGGATGGTCTCGATCTCCTGACCTCGTGATCCGCCCGCCTCGGCCTCCCAAAGTGCTGGGATTACAGGCGTGAGCCACCGCGCCCGGCCTGGTTTTGAGTCTTGGTTTGACTTTTCTTTGCCGAGAGATCTTGAAGTTTTGTTATGAGGATTAGAGCACAATTCCTGGTATCTGCTCCCTGGCTGACACTCAGAAACTGAGATTTGTCATTAAGATTGTGATGGTGAGATGATGATGAGAAATTGTTTGACTATCTCAGGAATAGTAGAAATTATTAAAATATTGAATTGTACCCATGAGACTATGTGGCCAGGCAAGAAGAATGAGATAGGCCCTTTCTTCAAAGTATATGATTTTTTTATTATTGAAGAAATTATTCATAAACACTTGAAAACAAAGCATATTCAAAGTTTTAAACTGTACCTAAAAGATAGTGCCATAGGAGATGTGAGATTTTGCTAAATATTTTGACCTTAAAATGGGAAACTCATGAAATATGAATTATTTTAAGGGTCTAATTTATTGCATTTTTTGATTCATATGAATTTCCCTCGACAATGTTAATTCAGTTATCAGGACAAATGAAAAAGTAAGCTTTGTAAATTAAAATACAGAAATATTTACATATTGTGGCTTGTCTCTGGAACTTTTATAATGGGATATTATATTTTAACATAATGTTGATGTAAAATATTATAACCAAGATATCAGCAATATAGTTACAAGTTGTTCTTTTGAAACACAGGGTCATAACTCACAGGTACCTGATTTCAAAATACTTTTGGCATAATTTACAATTTATAAATCTATAATCTCTTTAAGGCGAATTGTTCTAATGCATAATTAATGCACTAGTGCCATGACTAACTTTTAAGAATGCTGCATTTTCCACACCAGTTCACTGATAACCTAAAATATTGCAGTCATTCTTTTAAGAAGTTGTTAAAAATGTCTCTGTAAAATATAATGGCAAATGCTGGCTATTTTATGAGTGGGAATTACAATAGTAAATAGTAAAACAAAATATTTTCCAAGAATAAATGTGCTTCATGTGGGTTTGATCAGCACATCTGATTGAAGATTTGAGGTGAGATACATTGTCCCCATTAAGTTTAAGGGTTTCAGCGCAAAATCAGCTGATCTACTCTTTGAAACGCAGGGCATTTGTGAAAATGCCAAACGCATCTCTATTAGAATCTCATCCATGAGCAAATGAGTAATGTAAGTCAGATACAATGGTTAATTCTGTGGTTTGCCAAATCTGTACACTTCCTGTTACTTTGTAGATTGTAAAATAATGATGCAGCATTCACCCTAATGATCAATTGTTTTCCTTACTAAAATGTAAGCATTTAAAAGATCTGCCTAATTTTTTCTAAGTGTATGTTAGGCAGATCTATACTTCCTACTCCTAAAGCATTCTTCTAAAGCAGTTTATTAGAGCGCACACTAATGGCTTATCAATTAAGCAAACATGATCAGTATTGAGCACTTGCTCTGCTCCAGGGTGCCGGTGCTAGGTTCACGTGCATCAGGGAGACAGAGTTATAGTCCTCATGAAGCTTACAGGGGGGCAGATTGATTGAACCGACACCTCTGATTCCCTTTTAAGCCTGTAAGCAGCTGCTCTGTAAAGCAGGTGTTTCAAACACAACCACCTTCAGAGACGAGGTGATTCTGTTGAGTGGGTGAAGCAGGCCAGGCATGAGGCCGCAAGCAGTGGTTTAGACCAGTTCATTGGAGAATCCCTGCCTTATTAAAAATATTTCCTTCCAAAAATGTGAAAGGAAGACTTGTCCTTTTCCCCAAATCATTTAGAAAGCTTGCTTTGTCACCTCTGCTTCTAAGGAGTCCTGGTTGGTCTCCAAAAGGAAGCTTTCTCTAAAGAACAGTGTAGTACAAAGTAAGATGGGACAAGACTCAGGGGGCCCACTCCTGAGCTGCTCAGCCACTTGCCCACCTCAGGTAAACACTGAGCCTGGTGGTCTTTCAGTCATTCCAGGTCTGATGTTCTACAGTTTTGTCAGGTTATCTGGGAGAAATTTTGATGCTGAAGAGTCCCGAAAGTAGGAGAAGCATTTCAAACTGAGGCCTAAGATGTTTTCAAGTTGTGGCAGAGTTGCCTTGAAGAAGGTAACTCGGGCTTTGCCCTTTGCCCTTTTGCCCTTTGCCCTTTGCCCTCACCTGCAGCCTGCACATCCATACCTCACCTCTAATACAGCAACCCCTGTTTGACATGTTGTATATATTAAGCTTTTACTTAAGATGTCATTTAATGAAAAAGATTTTGCTGCTTAAAAAGCAGTGGAGAATAATAGCTAGCCTCTTGAGTACACAGTCCCGTAAGATTTGAGCACATGATTTTTAGAAAAAGAATAGAAAATAAGAGAAAATTATAACCTCACTTTACCTGTCGGGATATTGACATCACTGTCAGATTTCACAAAGCCACATGTGCATCTGGTGAAATCCCAGATCCACCCTTTCTAACTGTATGCTCTTAGGTAGCCAATTAATCTTTCTAGGACTCAGTTTTTCATTCATTAAATAGGAAACTTAACACATAGGGCTTTTGAGAGGGTTACATGAGTCAATACAAGCAGAGAACTTAGTACTTCCTCTGTCACGTAGTAAGCACTCCTTGTTATCCTTGGATTTTGTGGTACTTTGGAGGAGAATGGCACTCGGATCTCTGTTGGTATAATTTTTACCAAAGTAAAATCTGGTTGAAATAGCATTCAGATTTAGGCTTAAGGAGAGGATATTTCTTAGAAAGGAAGGCTAAGCTTAATGGGGGAAAAGAGTTATCAGTGAGGCCTTGGGGCAGGGGACTGACTCCACTGGGCATTACTTGTGCAAAAGGGATAAAATGTAGAGAGAGTTTTTTTTTCTGGTATATTATTTTATTCCATTAAAGTCAGTGTTCTACTTTTATTTTGTAAAATCATATTTCTGAGTCCTGAACAAAAGACTTTCAAGATAGATTTTACTGACAGAGAAATGGAGTGCCACATTCCATAGCTTTGCATATAGAGCTTCACATGCAAAGCTCTTTGCATCTCAAGGGCTAAAACTGGCTGACTTACAGCAAGTAGCTTTCCTGTAAACTGTAAAGTAGAAGCGAACGGAGACAGCTATGAAGGTGGGAAAAATGCCTCCTGCAGAAGAAGAGCAGACATAGGGGAGCATAAATAGTATACCCTGCCTGGACCCTGAGAAGGACCCAGACCTGCATGCTGCATATTGAGACAGACATGGCTGTGGATTCTCATTACTTGGGATTCTCAGTGATGCCTCAATCCACAATTTTGTATTAATAAAAAAGTCTTTAAAATATTTGCATCTAGGAATCAAAGTGTCATTCAATGACTTATTGGTCCTCAAATGACAGCTTGGGGTTGTACTTTATCTTCTATATCATGGAGTAACTCCTACACTATATTCATTCCAGGAGAATTAACTATGTCAATTCTTATGTTCATCTCTTCCTTGGCTGATTATTTGTTAGGGAAAAAGCTTTTGCTTGTTTATTAATTTGTCTCCTTCCTACTCTTCTGATTATTATTTTGTAATCAAAACAGGATTTTAAAATTCATAGACACTAAAATATTCTAGACTTTTAGCACTGGTTTCTAATATTTTGGGAGGAGAAGCTTCATTTTTTCTTGAAAATGAAGGTGTAAAGATACTAAATTCCTTGAGTGGAACATCTGGGCTTCATAGAAACTTTGGAGCTATATGATAGTTAGAGAGAATGTAGACAGGGTTCCTCATTGTATAGATAATGAAACTGTGGACCAGAGAGGCTGAGTGACTTGTAGAAGGTCCCCCAGTGAGTAGCAGATCCTGGATGCATGCAGCATTGCTAACTCTGAGAGCTAAGTCCTCATCATGTCCCCACCTTCACCACACCACACAGTTCAGGAGAAGGGGCACATCTCTAGAATATGGCTGGAAAATACACTAGGGAAAACTTTAGATCCACTAGCAGAGTCCAGTGCTCCTCTTGGAGAAAGTGACCAGAAAGAATAAAGCACAGTTAGCTGTTGAAGAAAAGCTGATTTCTCAGCCAGATTATGTACATTAGCATCCATGTTAGTTACCTTTGCTGAATAATTCTCTCCTCAACTGAGCTCTCTGAAGAAACCTCCAGGAATTAGCAGGGCTTTGAGTAGAGATGGCATATGTTTGGGCCCTGATGAAAATGATAAAATTGTGGCCTGGTTGCAGCTTGTGTGCTGAAGGAAGAGCATGATGCAGTTCATTGGTATGAAAAATGAATGCAACTAAAACCTAAACATTAAAACTTGGCCTTTATTACCAAAGTGAAAGTGCTTCTAATTGAGGCTCCCTGGGTTTTAATTGTTCTTCAGGAAAATTAGATGTTGTCAAAGTAGAAGGTTAATGTCTGTTCACAGTCTGGAGTTTTTGGAATAACTTCCTTCACAGCGTGTGTGTTTTAAACATAAAAAGGGCTTTTTGGTTTGTATATAGTTAGTGGGATTACAACTGCCTCACTAGATGCTTACAACAAATATTTAAGAAATCCATAAGGTCTACTATTTATAACAGAATAAACATTTAAATTTAAGATATTTTGACCATTTTGGTAAAACATTTAAAAAATAAACTATCATGAACTGACAAAACCAACATCATTTAAAAAAATTCAACATGGCAAAAACTTTATGAGACTTATACCATAGACCAAATTTGTAACTTTAGCCTTGATACATTACTGCTTGTAAATAGAAATGTTCTTACTACAAAGTGATGTGCTCAGATACACCCAAAATTTATTAAAGGCATGTCAACAGCCAAATTCTGTGGTACAAGGTTTTTCATACATTATTTTACATAACCTTTGAGGAATTCCAATTTTATATTCCCATTTTCAGAAGAGTTGGTTAGTTACTGAATTCAACAAATGAGTGTGAGCAGGGGCCTGGAGTACTTAAAAAGAATAAACAAAATGCCTTTAAATCAGAAACACAAAATTGCTAGTAATTTCAGTTAATTGCACTTTACTCCATGTAGCTACAATTGTAGATATCTAGAAAAAATATCTATGATAAAAGCCTGCCATCTGGAAAAGTCAAAAGAATGATGAGCTGGTATTAAATCTCAGTAACCCTGACATATGGAATATCTCTGCCATGTTAAAAGCAGACCTTGGTATGAGACTGACTCTGGGCTTTACATATGAATTTGGAATTGCCAATATCTCTACTTGAACTATGTGAGACAATAAAAGTGCTCCCTTATACACTTTAGATAATGGGCCCTTTGGGGGATCTGATGTTCATTCAGCCTTTCCCAGAAAAATACAACTATAATAAAATGTTGTAATCAGTTTCAGTTTATTTATTGCTGATCTTTTATTTTTGTTTTAATTTAACATGGCAATCCACTTTCTATAGTCAAAAGTGCAATTTAAAGAACTCTAACAACTTCACAATCTAGAAGAATGTCTTTGGAAATTTTAGGATTCAAATCTAAAACAAATTTTGAGATTTCTTTTTCCTAGATTGTACTGATGTTATAAGTGCCTTATGTAATACCCAGTTCTTCCCCATGGAGATTTCTCAGTGAAAGAACCACATCACATGTTCACAAGAGCATCAAGAATAAGAGGGTCAGGTACCTAGGAAGAAAGATTGGCTAGCATTCTCTCTCCCCCATCAAATATAAATGGATTTAGCACAGGGATTTTGTTTAATTCACTACTGCCAGCACCTAGAAAAATGCTTGAAATTTTTAATATGACAATGCACAATTCAAGAGGAAATAATAACATTGTATTAGTCTGTTCTCACACTGCTATAAAGACATGCCTATGAAGTGGTAATATATGAAGAAAAGAGGTTTCATTGAGTCACAGTTCCACAGGCTGTACAGGAGGCATTGCTGGGGAGGCCTCAGGAAACTTAAAATCATGGCCAAATGCAAAGGGGAAACAGGCACATCTTCACATGACTGGTAGGAAAGAGAGAGCGGGGAGGTGCTATACACTTTTACAACCATCAGGTCTCTTGAGAACTCACTATAATGAGAATAGCAATAGCAAGAGGGAAGTCTGCTCCCATGATTCAATCACCTCCTCCAACATTGTGGATTACAATTCGATATGAGACTTGGGTGGAGACACAGAGCCAAACCATATCAAACATTAGTATGTGAAAGTAGTTATTATGATAAAACATATTTTAACCAACATACAATTAGTTATACGATTTTTATAATGTTTTCAGTGTTAAAATTTTTGAAAAAACTGCAGAAAAACAAGTGGAAATGAACAAAATTACATTGACAGTAGTAAGTTGTAATGTTTAATTCTTTGAATGTTTCAGTGGGAGCTAGAAATTGGTTTGATATACTTTTTAGTTCAGTTGGAATACTTAACACTTCTCCACTTTGCCTAATATATGCTGCAGCAATAAATTAATTTTCCTTCTGAGATTTCTAGTAATTTGGGGAGTGCTTATTTGCAAAGAATTGAAAAAAAAAGTGACACAAATTGATATATCACGCAAACTATGTGGTTTTGTATTTTCAACTAATTGCTGAAGAGCACTTATACACAAAAAATATCAGATTCCTCAAAGAGGAGATATTTAAGGCAAGCAAAGAAATGTATAGGTCAGTTTCCTTCAAATAATTTTATTTCTTACTCTTAAAAATCTTTTATTTCAGATTCAGGGGCTACATGTGCGGGTTTGTTACATGGGTGTATTGCATGGTGCTAAGGTTTGGGCTTCTATTGATTCCCTTACCCAATACTAAACATAGTACCTAATTGGTAGTATTCAAACCCTGCTGCCTTTTCTCCCACCCTATTTTTGGAGTCCCCGGTGTCTACTGTTCCTATCTATATTTTCCAGTGTTTAGCTCCCACTTATAAGTGAGAATATGCAGCGTTTGTTTTTCTGTATCTGCCTTAATTTGCTTAGGAAGTGGTCTCCAGCTGCATTCATGTTGCTGCAAAGGACATGATTTTGTTCTTTTTACGGCTGTGCAGTATTCCACAGTATATATGTACCACATTTTCTTTATCCAGTCCATCGTTGATGGGCACCTAGGTTGATTCCATGTCTTTGCCATTGTGAATAGTATTTTGATAAACATATGAGTGCAGGTGTCTTTTTGGAAGAATAATTTATTTTTCTTTGGGTAGCTACCTAGTAATGGGATTGCTGGGTCAAATAGTAGTTTTATTTTTGGTTCTCTGAGAAATCATCAAACTGCTTTCCACAGGAGCCAAATTAATTTACATTCTCTCCAACAGTTTATAAGTATTCCCTTTCTCTACAGCCATGCCAATATCTGTTGTTTTTTGACTTTTTAATAATAGCCATTCTGACTGGTGTTCCTTTTGCCCACTTTTTAATGAGGTTATTTGGGTTTTCTGTTGATTTGTTTAAGTTCTTTATAAATTCTGGATATTTGTTTTTTGTTGGGTACACAGTTTACAAATATCAAATATTTTCAATGTAGAAACTTGGATCTTTGATTTTTATGATGATAAATTGAGGCATATTGCAAGAAAAACATTTGAATCAGAATATTTACCAATATTATCATAATAGTGAATTACATTTTTACTTGTCCCTACATTTTGGTAATAACAATTAAATTTTGCTAAATAATAATTAAGTGCTGGTCCAAGATGGTGGACTGATTATTCTTCCAGGGGACCAATTTCAATGACAATAAATGAGAAAATGATGTGAATCAGTAACAATACTAATTTAAGCTAATTTCTATATTTCTATGGTGTACATGTTCTTTGAAACAACAAGTATCTATCGCTGTAAGAATAAGACATTTGGAAAATGTCTTATATATGTGAGATATGTCATATATATGTATGTAAATAAACCATAACCTTTCTATGGTATATGATGTGAGCTATTTTCAAATATGTGAGTTCCAACTTCCCTCTGTTAAGGAACATTTAACTTTGAGTGATTCATGTGACTTCTGAGACCAGCTGTCCCCAGCCTCTGAGATTCAGATAAAAACAAGTATCCTTAGCTCTAGATTAATCCAGTGGCACTGAGCATCTATGGTGATGAAGGATATGTTTTCGGTAGTCATTTTACCAAAGATGGTGCTGTGAAAACCATCAAAATATAAATCATGGCCTTAACCATCTATCTGAGAAGACAAGACTAATACACTTGAAACACAAGAAACAAATGCAAGATAATATACATATATTTGTCATTGAATTTTGTAATACAGCCTACAAATGTTATAGAGGCTCATCTAAATGAGGAAGTCAATGATGCATAGTATAATCAAGATATGCTTCCTAGAATACATTGTGTAGATGGATTTGAATAGGCAGATGGATAAAGATGAACATTTAAGACATGAGCAAATGCCTACACACCTGAAAAAATGTGGCAAGTCTGTATAGGAGAGAAGAACATATCTGAGGGCTTGAGCTACGGTGTGATAAGGAGCTCATTTGAATAATCTGGTGGAATCAGATGGGCTATGGAAGCCTGATGGAGTAACACAAGCAGATAATCAACAAAGATGCTTATCAGCTCTAAGAAGGAATAGAAAAAAATTTCAGAATATAAACCATGGAACATGTCTCAAGGAAATAATTTTTATATGTATAAAATTTAACCTAAATATAATTCTATAATGTAAACAGAAAAAAATAATGGACTGGAAACTATTTTCATCAAATATGAACATTATAAATTACTATCATGTGTTACTCAATGTACTTTAAATTTTAGACATTTTAAAATGATTCAATTTTTCAATTTGTCTTTAAATTTATATATAATATATTTGAGATATAAAAAAACCAAACTGTTTTTCTTAGTCTCACACACTCACCACTCAATACATTACTTCACCTCTGGTCACCAAAATATGTATGGATTTTTCCCCGCATGCAAAGTAATTCTCCAGCAGACACCACTAGGGTGGCCTATTATTGAATTCAATTCTGACACTATCTACTTGGATATAGGGTCAGATCCCACACAGTAAGGGCACAGTCTCACAAGACTTCCCTTCACTTCAGATGCCAACTGCAGGTCCCAGGATGTGACCTGTACTTCTGGCCAACTGGCTATAAATTGGAGGTTCCCATTACCCCCTGTTTAGGTTCAATTAATCTGCTAGAATGGCTCACAGAACTCAGAGAAAAACATTATTTACATTTACTCATTTATTACAAAGGATATTATTAAGGAAACTAATGAACAGTTAGGTGGAGAAGCTGCATAGGGCAAGCTTGTCCAACCTGCCTTATTTTGTTGAGATTGTTGTTGTTGTTTTTGTTGCTGTCCTGTTTTGTTTTGCTTTAGACTTTTAGCAACCTGAAGCCATGGTTTTTAGTTTCTGTCTATAGTGATAAGCAGAAAAGAGGAAGAAGGAAGGGGCTTTACTGGCCCAACCGGGAACAGAAACTAAGAACTCATGACTGTATTCCCTCCCTTGGACATCACTGAAGGTGTGAGAGAAGGGGTAGGGAGCTTCCGTGCCCTCTCTGGTATGCCACCCTCAGGCACCTCCATGAGTTCAGCAATTCAGAAGCTCTCCAAACTGATTTTGGGGTTTTATGAAAGCTTCATTATGTAGAAATGGTTGATTACATCATTGGCCATTGGTAATCAACTAAATTTTCAGCCCCTTTCCTCTTCCTGGGGAATAAGGGGTTGGGGCTAAAAGTTCTTATCCTCTAATTACATGGTTGGTTTTCATAGCAATCAGCTCCTATTCTAAGGCTATCCAGGAGCCTACCAAGAGTCAACTCATTAGAGCAAGAGATGCTCCTATAATCCAGGATATTCCAGGGATGTAGGAGCTCTGTATCAGATACTCCTATCACTCAGGAAATTAAAAAGTTCTTCGGAGCTCTGTGTCAAGAACCAGGGTCAAAGACCAAATATAAGAACAAAAGATACTCCTAGCATCCCTATCTGGCAAGGGTTTTAGAAGCTCTGTCTCAGGAATCAGGGACAGAGACCAAATACATAATTTTTATTATATCACAATATCACATGGCATAATTCACTTTTATATTTTGTATATAGTTCAATAAGTTTTACCAAATGCATGAAGTAATGTAGCTACCACTACAATCAGTAACACAGAATAGTCTCATCACCACAAAACAACTCTCCCTGGAATCCCCTTTGTAAGCACTCTCTACTGATATGTAACCTCTAGAAACCACTGATCTGTTTTCTGCTCCTATAATCTGGTGTACTTCAGAGTCTCAGAAAAATGTGATAATAGGAAATGAATGATAAAAAGCTATAAAACCTACAGAAAACAAATAGCAGAGTGCCAATAGTAAGTTCTTCCCTTTAAATGTAAATAGATTAAACTCTGCAGCCAAAAGATATAGATTGGCAGAATGGATTTTTTTAAAAAAATCCACACAGGATCCAACTCTATTCTGTCTATAATAAACTCACTTTAGCCCTAAGTACAAGCACAGGTTGATAGTGGAAATACGGCAAAATATATTCTATGCAAATAGTAATAAAAAGAAAGAAGGGTGCCTATACTATCAGCCAAAATAGACTTTAAGTGAAAAACTCTTATAAGAGACAAGGAAGGGCATTATATAGTGATAATAGAATCAGTTCACCAAGAAGACATAACAGTTTTAAACATATATGGACCAAACACCAGAGCTTCAAAATATATGAAATATTTTCCTAAATCAGAGTCATGGGTATTTTCTCCTAGATTATCTTGTAAAGTTTTATAATTTTACATTTATGTCTATAATCCATTTTTAATTTTTTATAAAGAGGGAGTTATAAGTAGAGGTTTATTTTTCACATAAGATGCCAAATTATTCCAGCACCATTTATTAAAAAGAAAATTCTATCTGTTCTTTGATCTTTATCAAAGATCAATTGACCATATATGTGGGCATCAGTTTATGGATTCTCTATTCTGTTACATTGACCTGCATGACTATCTTGATTACTGTAACTTAACATCAGATAGTGTGATTCCTCTAACTTTGTCATTTTCAAAATTATTTTAGAATTTTTGCCCCTTTACCATGCCCTATACAATTTAAGAATCAGTTTGTGCTTTATCAGGATAAGAAAATTGCCTTTATTTGTACTTTGCTGAGAGTTTTCATAATATGTGGATATTCAATTTTGTCAAATATTTTTATGTACCTAGTTGTGTGACTGTTAGATTTTATCAAAGCATTGTAAGAAAATTGCTATGAGTACTGCAGAGGATTAGCTCTTCTTGTTATTCCCAGATCAGCCCTATATTTTGACTGGAATTTTTCATTTCACTAATATGTATCTAGAGGACTGTATATTCTTCCCTATTTATTTAAGCAATTATTTATATACATTTAGAATTAAAAATAATTTAATACTTTGAGATATAATTCAATACTACTTTGCTTATTTTATTGCACAAATTGTTCTAGTTTTGGCCACTGGGAGTTCTTTCTGTTGGCTCCTGTATTCCTTTGATATACCCCCATCATTGAGGGTTTTTAAAATGTGGTTTATTATTAATGAAATTAAAATGATCTATTCATAGCACCTGAGATGATTTCAGATATCATATTATGCAAGCATTAAGATAATATTAAGAATTAGTCTGGTAAATGAAAATCATAGAATCAGAGTACTTACTCAATGTCAAGTTTTGCTAATAATTGCAATGACACAAGCAGTTATATGACACAAGTGAAGCAGAAAGTGTTCTGGGACCCCAATGTGACTTATTGGGTCATTTCTTCTCACATGAGATGTGTTCTGGTACAGATCTTGCACAGAAGAAGCCACTTAGGTCATGAATTACTGAGTTACATAGTTTATGTGACATTTTCCTTGGAGCCATCCCCTGTAAACCTAAAGATTCCAGGTCTGTTTACCACAGGTGATTCTAGATAGGCAGCTATATTTTACTATATGTATTTCATAGTTCTCTCTTGCTAGCCAAGGTCACATACTTTGTTTGCCAGGAGAGCTGCCATTATAATGTTTACAAGGCAATTAGACAAGATAATATGCTTTCTTTCTTCCTTTGATGCATCACCCAAACTCTGCCATGAGAGAGAAGGGCATGCAGGTCTACTTCATAAGTCCTTTCTTTCTAGATATTCTGGTACAGTATTTTAATGTATTTTATGATACAGATACTCTAGCATTTAATATATTTTAATGTATCATGTTTAATATAAGCTCGATAAAGAATCATCACTTCACATACTTTGGATAATAATTGTACACAGTGCAAATTCATGGAGAAAATAATCAGAACCATTAATGCTGATAATTTTGGGGCATTTAAACCTTTTTCAGGTCAATGGATTAATAGATTTATTAGCTCTTGCAGAATGCAAGCATATTACAGATTTATAGTATAAGTGGTTAAAAACATTTTTATTTCACTGAAAATTCATGTAAAGTGAAGCCTTTGCAAAACTGTAACCTTTATGCTTTTAATAAAACAGTATTTCTGTTGTACATGGTAATGATTTTGTTCTGGAACACTATGTATAAGCAGATTTTGAATTGAAGGCAGTGGAGCAAGTCTGTCAAAAATCAATTCAATTGATTTCCATTTATGTAGATGCATTGAGTTTTACAGTGGTTGAAGCTCTCTTTAAATTGATTGGATTCAGAATGCAGGCCAGTGGTCCGCATCCATATTCTACACCTTTTTTCCAAAACTTGGTAAAGAAAAATGCTTTAGAAACTTTCCTGAACAAATAATATAAAGATCATACCATCTATATGTTAACCAATTAGTTATGAAATCTAAAATCATTAAGGTTACATTTCAAAAGTGAAGTTACTAAAAAGGTGAAATTCAAATCTAATAGAAATAGGGTAAAATGCAGAACATTTATGAAACATAAAAGAGGGACTATCTGTGTTAGCAATTAAGGGCTGTAGCAATTTCTGATATCAGATTCCAAATTTGAAGAGATCCAGACACTTCATATACAGGTTTATTTTGCCCTAATATTTTGTCTTATTGAGAATTGTGGTAAAGAGAGAAGACCTGAGTTTCATTCTTATAATGGTTTGAGACATGAGGAAGTCACTGAACATTTCTGGACGTAACTCACTTGCATGATTTCAACTATCACATATACTTGGATGCTTGAATTACAAACCTATGTAGACTAGACTTTCCTGCTAAGCTGAAAAGCTGTATATGAACATTTCTTTCATGTTAGCTCCAGTTGACTGTTTCTCAGGTACTTTCAATTTCACATGTCCCAAATTTTTCTGATTTTCCTCTGGCCTCTGAATGCCCTTTCTCTGTGAGCAGCATCGTCACACACCTTGTCACCCAATCTCAAAAATGGAAAGACACCTTCCAAATAGCCTCTTCTCACCACCCTTATCCTATTCCACACCCTGTTTCAAACACTGTGAAGGTTTTTGGGGTAGCTGTTCAAAGGACCTACCACAATTAGTTTCTGAAAAGAACAAAAAAATTACTAGCTCCAGCTGGTTGACCATCACAATTGAGATCATGCTTGATTCTGCCTCTGATGTAAGATTTTCATTGCTCAAGGCAGTCAATAAATTTTGATTCTTAAAGACACACTCTGATAATTTTCTGTGAAGTAGGAAACTCACTCAAGAAGACCAGCCTTTGAGTGGTATCACAGTCTAGACTTTAAATTTATAAGGTGGAAATGGGCTATAGTTGGAATAGATTCTTAGCTCTGTGGATTCTATTTCTATCACAGCTCTCCTATCCACCTCCCTCTCCATTGCCCATGAAATGGCCTAAATCCAGGCCTTTAACACTTTTTATTTGAATTATTATGGAAATAGTTAACTGTCCTTACTGCCTCCAGACATGCTTCCCTCTAGCTTCCTCCTTCATATTGATGTGCAATGATATAAACTCCAAATCTGATCCAAATCTGCTGAAAAGCCTTTAATAAATGACTTCCTACATTTTTTCAGGAAAAAGTTTAAGTTTTGTGGCTCATCACATACCACATTTTTTGAATGAATATACAGTAAAATAAAAAGTAGTAGAAATACCATTTGACCCAGCAATCCCATTACTGGGTATATACCCAAAGGATTATAAATCATGCTGCTATAAAGACACACACACACACACACACGTATGTTTATTGCGGCACTATTCACAATAGCAAAGACTTGGAACCAACCCAATGTCCAACAATGATAGACTGGATTAAGAAAATGTGGCACATATACACCATGGAATACTATGCAGCCATAAAAAATGATGAGTTCATGTCCTTTGTAGGGACATGGATGAAGCTGGAAACCATTGTTCTCAGCAAACTGTTGCAAGGACAAAAAAACAAACACCCCATGTTCTTACTCATAGGTGGGAACTGAACAATGAAAACACATGGACACAGGAAGGGGACCATCACACACCGGGGACTGTTGTGGGGTTGGGGAATGGGGGAGGGATAGCATTAGGAGATATACCTAATGCTAAATGATGAGTTACTGGGTGCAGCACACCAACATGGCACATGTATACATATGTAACAAACCTGCACGTTGTGCACATGTACCCTAAAACTTAAAGTATAATAATAATAAAAGAAAAAAAAGTAGTTGAATGAATATAGAGTAAACAAAAATGGGTGGGCCTCATGCTTCTATAAAATACAAGGCTTTATTAGGTAAATTAAAAGTTTCTTAAGCTTCCAACATTTTCTTATTCCACAGGAAGCTGTAAAATTTTCTGCACTGGATCCACACTTTGTCTTTATATTCTCCTCTCAGCACACCATTTCCCAATATTTGGCAACCCACAGGTTAGCATCGAAAATAAACAAGTCAGGGTGGCTGGCAAGGTGGCCAAATAGGAACAGCTCTGGTCTGCAGCTCCCAGTGAGATCAACGCAGAAGGCAGAAGGTGGGTGATTTCTGCATTTCCAACTGAGGTAACCAGCTCATCTCATTGGGACTGGTTAGACAGTGGGTGCAGCCCAAGGAAGGTGAGCTGAAGTAGGGTGGGGCATCACCTCACTCACGAAGTGCAAGGGGTTGGGGAACTCCCTCCCCTAGCCAAGGGAAGCCATGAGGGACTGTGCCATGAGGAATGGTGCATTACAGCCCACGTACTATGCTTTTCCCATGGTCTTCACAACCTGCAGACCAGGAGATTCTCTCGGGTGCCTGCACCACCAGGGCCCTGGGTTTCAAGCACAAAACTGGGTGGCCATTTGGACAGACACTGAGCTAGCTGCAGGAGTTTTTTCATACCCCATTGGTGCCTGAGAATGCCAGCAAAACAGAACCGTTCACTCCCCTGGAAAGGGGGCTGAAACCAGGGAGCCAAGTATTCTAGCTCAGAGTATCCCACCCCAACAGAGCCCAGCAAGCTAAGATCCACTGGCTTGAAATTTTCACTGCCAGCACAGCAGTCTGAAGTTGATCTGGGATGCTTGAGCTTGGTGGGGGGAAGGCTACTCAAGCCATCACTGAGGTTTGAGTAGGCGGTTTTCCCCTCACAGTGTAAACAAAGCTGCCAGGAAGTTTGAACTGGGTGGAGCCCACTGCAGCTCAGCAAAGCCACTGTAGCTAGACTGCCTCTCTAGATTCCTCTTCTCTGGGAAGGGCATCTCTGAAAGAAAGGCAGCAGCCCTAGTCAGGGGCTTATAGATAAAACTCCCATCTCCCTGGGACAGAGCACCTGGGGGAAGGGGCAGCTGCAGGCACAGCTTCAGCAGACTTAAACGTTCCTATCTGCTGGCTCTGAAGAGAGCAATGGATCTCCCAGCACAGCGCTCAAGCTCTGCTAAGGGACACACTGCCTTCTCAAGTGAGTCCCTGACCCCTGCACATCCTGACTGGGAGACACCTCCCAGCAGGGGTCGACAGACACCTCACACAGGAGAGCTCTGGTTGGCATCTGGTGGGTGCCCCTCTGGGACAAAGCTTCCAGAGGAAGGAACAGGCAGCAATCTTTGCTGTCCGGCAGCCTCCGCTGGTGATACCTGGGCAAACAGGGTCTGGAGTGGACCTCCAGCAAATTCCAGCAGATTGGATGTTATTGGTTTATAGAAATGCTACTGAATTTTGGACATTGATATTCTATCCTGGAACTTTGTTGAAGTTGTTTATCAGAGCTGGGACCCTTTTGTCAGAGACTGGGATTTTCTAGGTATAGAATCATATTATCTGCAAACAGAGATAGTTTGACTTCCTCTTTTCCTGTTTGGACACCTTTTATTTCCTTCTCTTACCTGATTGCTCTTGCTAGGACTTCCAGTACTACAATGGCTAGGAGTGATGAGAGTGGGTATCCTTGTTTTGTTCCAGTTCTCAAGGGGAATGTTTCTGGATTTTGCCCATTCAGTATGATGCTGGCTGTGAGTTGTCACGGATGGCTCTTATTATTTTGAGTTATGTACCTTCAATACTTAGTTTGTTGAGGGTTTTTAAACACGAAAAGATGTTGAATGTTATTGAAAGACTTTTCTATGATGATCATGTGGTTTTTGTTTTTAGTTCTGCTTATGCAATGAATCACATTTATGGATTTATGTATGTTGAACCAACCTTATATCCTAGGAATAACGCCTACTTGATTTGGTAGATTAGCTTTTCGATGTGCTGCTGGATTTTTGTTGAGGATTTTTGCATCTATGTTTATCAGGGATATTGGCCTGAAGTTTTCTTTTTCCATTGTTTCTCTGGCAGGTTTTGGTATCAGAATAATGCTGGCCTCATAGAATGAGTGAGGGCTCAGCTCAGGCTCTTTGTTCACTCCCCAGCTTGCAGGCAGCAGGGGCAGGGACCTTGGCAGTGACAATGTTAGAGGGCGTTACACTTACCTCTTGGAGCTCCAACCCAGAGAAATGCAGAGCCTCTGCTAACCAAAATGATCAGCCCGGGGTGGAGTGGCTACATCACACACCCAAGTTGTAGGCCTTGCCTGGTGGTGAGCAGGGGGTGGGGGCTCACAGGGAAGACAGTCTGGCCTCTTTGGGAAAGAGCAAAGAACCTGAGTGCCTGTGGTGTGCTGGAGGTGTAATAAGGCACTCAGGTTCTTTGTTCTTTCCCAACCTGGTGGCAGCAATAGCAGGCACCGCTGTAGCAGTGGTGTCAGAGGGATCGTCAGTTGCCTCTGAGAACTCCACCCCAGAGATACATGAAGCTACTGCCAATGGGAATGATCAGCTGGGGGTGGGGTGGCTGCATGGCAGGCCCAATCCAGGGGCCCTGCCTGGTGTAGAGCAGGGGGTCAGGGGTTCACAGGGAAAAGAGACTGGGTTCCTCTCTGTATGGCAGCTGCAGCATGCTGGAGGTACCAGCAAAACAGTCAGGATCTTTGTTCTTTCCCCAGCCCGAGGGCAGCAAGTGCAATATCCCTGCAGCTGAGATGGTAGACAGCCTTTGGGTCGTCTCTGGGATTTCCTCTCCAGATAAACGCAGTGCCACCACTGACTGAAGTGCTCAGGCGGGGGCAGGATGACTGTGCTGGGGTCCAGGTTGGGAGGCCCTGCACAATGAGGAGTAGCAGGGGCAGGAATCCACATGGGAAATAGTCTGGCTGCTTTTCTGTATGGCAGCTGCACTGCGTTGGAGACATACGATAGTCCTTAGGCTCGTCACTTACTCCCTCTGCCGCCTCAGGGCAGTAGGGGTGGGGGCTGCAGCAGCAGCAAAAAGGCAGAACTTTCAGTTAACTCTGGGAGCTCTGGCCCAGGGAAGTGCAGAGTCGCTACTAGCCTAAGTATTCAGGCAGGGGTGTGTTGGCTGCGCTGGGGACCTGGGCCGGTGGGCTTTGGCTGGCAAGGTGTGGCGAAGGTAAGGCCTATAGTCTGTCTGCTCCTCAGCACTGTGAAAGCAGCATGTATCTTGGGAGCATGCAAGAGGGCTTGGCCTCACCTGCTGGCAGAGCTATGGCAGCTGACCCTGGGATGCTCAGGAGCCCAAGGCCCTTGAGGCTCCATATGTGCCTGAGTGGCAGCTCTGCCCAGACTCCGCACAGCGCTCTGTCAGTCTGGAGGCCCTGGAGAGAGAGGGTCAGGGGATCTCCTGTGCCCAGGATTGCAGAGATGCATGGCAAGAGTATGGGCTCCTGGGGGCTCTTGCTCACTCACCCTTTCCCTGTGGTGAGAAGCCTTCCTTGGCTCCATGCCAATCCCAGGTGGGCAGCTGTCCTGTCTCACTCTTCTCTCGGGGTTTTGTTGCTTCCTTGATGAGTCCCAACGTGTCCTCCTGGGCAATCCAGTTGAAGAGGTAGTGTTTATTGGCCATTCTGTCCCTTTATATTATGCAACCCATCTGAGCCATAGTCCTTCAGCCACATCCATGACCAAGTGCCTGGGAGATTTAAATAAACTCGGTGCTCCGCTTGTGTAGTAAAAACAGACTACCACCTAAGCTGAGATTTTTAATCATCACTTATGGAAAGGATATCCATGAAAGTCCATTAAAACTATGAATATATACAGATTGAATATCTGATAAGACACATCTTGAAAATACGTAAATATTTTGATGCATAATGTTTAAGGAAGGAGAAAAGAACAGAGACCTTTTTTTAACCTTTTCGTCCTATGTGATATCTGTATTTAGAATACAGTTAACTCATCTGCAAATCCGATTCTAAATAACAGAGAAAAAAATCTATGTTAATTTTTCCCCATTTCACTTGTATTATTTGGGGATATGTAATTTCTAAAAGGCAATAGGCAATACAATGATATTTTAATTTTTAAAAACAAGCAGTTTTTTTTTTTTTTTTTTTTTTTTTGCTTTTCTCACTTGGAATGCCAATCAACAAGGGTTTTTTGGTTTTTTGGTTTTTTGCTTGTTTGTTTACTCCACTTATAATGAAATCAAGTAGTTTTTCTGAACAGAATAATATATTCAGGGGAAGAAATAGCTTATAAGATTATTGACTGAATGTGAAGCTCAAACATTAAATGAGATGAAAAAACTAAATTAGTTATTCCCTGAGACAAACAGGGATGGGAGAATACCTCTGGGAGGCAGCTCCTTTTCCTCAGTTTTACTTATGTATTTAGTTCAACATATCCACACATAGTGCTTATCATATACCAGGTACTATTGTAAAATACGTAACTGTTGATTTACTGGATTCTCATAACTCCCTGGGAAGGTTATTATTATCATTTTGCCCTTTTACCTGAGGCAAGTGAGGCTCATACACGGTGTGATGGTTGATTTTATGCATTTACTTGACTGGGCATGGGGTGCACAGACATTTGATCAAACATTCTTCTGGGTACTTCCATGAGGGTGTTTTCTGATGAGATTAACATTGCAATCAGTAGACTAGTTAAAGAAAGCAGATTGTCCTTCTTAATGTGAGTGGCCCTCATCTAATCACCAGAAAGTCTGTTAAGTAGAACAAAAAGGCTGATTCTTGAGCAAATAAGAAAGAACTGCTCCTGCCTGGCGGTTTCAGCTTGGACATTGGTGTCTTCTGTCTTCAGACTCAGCTGAAACATTGGCTCCTCAGACTCACACTGGAACTACACCATTGGCTCTCCCAAGTCTCTAGCTTGTCAGTTGCACATCTTGGGACTTCTCAGCCTCCATAATTACATGAGCCAATTCCTTATCATAAATTTTATTATATATATGCATGTGTACACACACACACACATGCACACATATGCACACACGCACGCACACGTGCATGCACACACACACACGCACTCACACATACACACACAATCTGTTTATCCAGAGGACTCTAATACAGGGAGTAAGTGTCTCAAGGCCACATAGTTACAAAGCTCACCCAGGGAGTCTGACTCCAGGGCCCATGCTCTGGGCATCAAATATCACTCAATGTTCACATAAAACATAATGTCTTAGGCACATTACATGTACAGTAAGTCATAACTTAATGTCATTGATAGGTTATTTGAAATTGCAACTTTAAGTGAAAAGACATACTGTATGCCATAGGAACTTAACTCTTATATCAATTAGCATATGGTAAAATTGGTTTTGTTATATAGTACAATATTTTACTTAAAGTTGCAGTTTCTTTTTTTTTTTTTTTTTTTTGAGACAGAGTCTCCCTCTGTTGCCCCGGCTGGAGTGCAGTGGCGCGATCTGGGCTCACTGCAAGCTCCGCCTCCTGGGTTCACACCATTCTCCTGCCTCCGCCTCCTAAGTAGCTGGGACCACAGGAGCCCGCCACCAAGCCCAGCTAATTTTTTTTTTTTGTTGTATTTTTTTTTTTAGTAGAGACTGGGTTTCACCATGTTAGACAGGATGGTCTTAATCTCCTGACCTCGTGATCCACCCGCCTTGGCCTCTCAAAGTGCTAGGATTACAGGCATGAGCCACCATGCCCAGCCTAAAGTTGCAGTTTCTAAGAACCTGTCAATGCCATTAAGTGAAGACTTACTGTACTCCTGTGAGATCAATACTAATATCTCAATTTGAGAAATGAAAAATTTGAGTCTCAGATGATTTAAGCAAAATACCCAAGGTTACATAGTTCTATGTAGCTGAGGTAGAACTTGAACCCAGATCTTTGTGGCTCCAAACACCATTTTCTTTCCAATTTGCCTTCTGTCAGTTATCTACCTTTAATTAATATAAGTATTTATCTACCTTTAATTAATTACTATACATAATCATGAAATAAGCTGAATTATCTCTGCATTTTAAGATCTAGATAAAATGGGTTTATTACCACACTGGTGGAAAATCCCAGTAGCCCTCCTGCATTTATGTGAATTTCAGATTCCCTGACTCTGAATTGACAAGTTCTCTAAACTCTTTTTTCTCTTTGCAGCATCTAGAAACTTCTTACTTCCACATGAGGAATGCAATGTCATTTGTTGGATTTTCACATGACAACAAAAGAAAATAATAAACAAGACCTTGCTTGCATGGAAAATTCATTGCCTATTGTAGGAAAAGTCAGGGATGTCATTACACAGAGCAAAGAAAATAACAGAGGTTAATCAATGTTACTGCTAGCTTGCTCTTATATATACTTATTTTCATTTCTGATGCTTTTTTCCTCTCAAGGGTAAAAAAACAAACATCAAACCTCTATAAATCTCTCATGCAGGGCACCCAGCTTTCTGCAGCTCTGTCCTTCTTTGGTTTGTAATCCACACTTTTGAAGCCCTTCTAAGTGCATTCATAGACAAGGCCATCTCTCCCCTTGGCCTCTGACTGTGGGGCAGGGGGTAAAAAGTGGGAGGTGGGTTATATGCTTCTAGTTGGGTAAATGCTAAGCGTTTTTATGTGGGTTGCATTTTATTTTTGCTTTCTAACAAACATAATTGAACATTCAGAAAGGGTAAGTAACTTTCCAAAAGTTTCACAGATACTGAAAGATAAGTCAGGGTTCATACTTTGGTCTGTCTGATCACAAGCCAGACTAAGATTTGAACTTCTATGAGACTGTTTCCTCAAATTTAAAATCAGAATCATGTTATCTAATTCACTGGCTGAACCAAGCTCATTCCTCACCCATTTTTTATTGGTACTTCTTAAAGAATGTGGTCCTCACTCTCTAGATTCCATGTTTTGAGCGTAAAATTCCTATCCCTGTACCCCAGGCAGAGAGGACTGGACCAGGCGTGGACCTCTGACCTACAAGATCCAAGGCATTATGTTTGCCTGGTTCATCACCTCCTTCAATTGTAGATGCTGCAGATGCTGCCCTCTCTGTAGAGGTTTAAGTAAACAGGAAAGAATGTTTAATGAAAATAAGGGGAACAAAGAAACCATGTGGAGTAAAAGCAGAGATGACACATCAGGAGGCCACAAATGAACAATAAGTGAAACATTAGTTCCTGGACCTCAAACCTTCATGCCAGCATTCAGGAGGCTTCCTAGGCAAGGAAGTAAATTGGTGTGAGGTGACTGAACTGCAAGATGAGGTGGAATTTCAACATTCAGACTGCCCTCTCTGCAGAGGTTTAAGTAAACAGGAAAGAATGCTTAATGAAAATAAGGGGAACAAAGAAACTATGTGGAGTAAAAGCAGAGATGACACATCAGGAGGCCACAAATGAACAATAAGTGAAACATTAGTTCCTGGACCTCAAACCTTCATGCCAGCATTCAGGAGGCTTCCTAGGCAAGGCCTGTCAGCTGTCCTATTTCTTCCACTAGATCTCTTTCTTTTGTTTTGTTTAAGCTAGTTTCAATGACAGGCAACTATCTCTTGTAATGAAATGATCCTAAGATAAAGGGTTATTGTAAAGTTCAAATGTAATTAGATAAGGAAATGTGCGTACATGTGGTTAGCACATATCTAGAAAATGATGGTTATTAAAGAGTAACTGTTTGGTTACAATTATCTCAATCTTAGCACTATTAAAATTTCCCGGAGGTCAGCCTGCTTTTTTCAGGACAAGGATTATAATATTCCACGAGATTCAAATTAGTCATATATTTTTAATTTGAAAAGAAAACTACAAAAGATGTTATAATTCAATGTAAGCACACTTTATAGCAAATTTATTGTTTGATTTCATTTTCATGCTATATTAAAATTTTTTGTATCAGTGCTTGTCCAACATGGTACAATGGAAACAATCACATTGGAATAATCAAATTTTTGAATTACTTATAATATGCTCTTTCATTTTACCAGATTTTTTGAAACAAAAAATGAATATTGAAGAATATTCATAGTATCTATAGCTATTTTCTGTTCAGTTTCTGAAAGAATGAGGAATAGTAGCTTTTCAAAAGTTGGATTTTGGTTTTTGTTTAATTATAATATCATTCAAAGGACTAATAAAGACTAAAAGGAACAATGACTTTATTGTAAAGATACATATAGACTGACTCTTCAAAGTCACCATGAGGAAGGCTGCACTGTGGCTATTTAAATGTAAATATATTTAAATCAAACAAAACTAAAAATATAGTTTTTTAGTTACATGAGCCACATTTCAAGCGCTCAATATGTTGCTACCATATTGCATAGGTATGGAAGATTTCCTTCACCGCAGGAAGTTCTGTAAAGCACTAGCTTTCTCCACATCTTTCTTTCTTTATTAGGCATTGTTTTCCATAAAATTTTCTACCTGCTATGACCACTCAAAGCTCTACTTCCATCTCACCCATGGGCAAAATATGCGCTACAGTGGCCATTTACCTTTTTGTTAAAGTCACAGAAAGAATGTAGTAACACTCTTATTTTTTTTAATCCAACAACCTCTTTTAATTGTGAAACTGCTGCCTCTGACTACAAGCATGAGCAATTGACCAGGTCTAATCTCATCAACCATGGCTCCTTATATTCCTTACTCTAGTTGTGAGTCCAAGGGTAGGCATGGAATCGTATTAGGATCATAGATCCTCTATGAGATTATAATATTCCAATATTGGGGCAAGATAGGTCTCTCTTGCTTTTACTTGGAACAAGTGATCGATGGAGATGGCAGAGGCCATCTTGGCACCATAGGGAAAAGGCCTGCTTGAGAATGAAGCTAAGCAAATGCAAACAGTGCTGAGAGATGTGGCATTGTTCCTAAATCTCAACGTGTGAAAAAACCAATTCCTTTAGCTTGAATGTGGTTACAGCTGTTTGCAAACAAAATATTTCTGAGGCTGAGGAGGGAGGATTGCTTGAGCCCAGGAGTTTGAGATCAGTCTGGGCAATGTAGCAAGACCCTGTTTCCATGAAAAAAAAATTACCTGGGCCTGGTTGTGTGTGCCTGTAGTCCCAGCTACTTGGGAGGCTGGGGTAGGAGGATCTCTCAAGCCCAGGAAGTCAAGGCTGCAGTGAGCCATGATGACACTGCTGCACTCCAGCCTACGCAACAGAGTGAGACCATTTCAAAAAAAAGTCTGGTTAATATATGGGTATTTGTGCATTTTATGGCATTGTGTATTAAAAGATACATATTTACAATACTACATTATTTAACTCTCTAAGTAGATTTCTATATAGTATAATACTGCCATTATGTTTTGTCTTTGACATTGCATATTGTCAATTTTATTCAGTTTATTTAGTGCATACTTTATGTAAGGTACTCTCATATTCGACAAAAATTCTTCTAATAAAATAAATGGACAAATCAAGAATGTATCAAAGAATATGAGTTCTGTCTTGATCATTGGTACAGTTTGGATATTTGTGCCCTCCAAATCTCATGTTGAAATGTGATCCCCAGTGTTGGAAGTGGGGCCTGGTGGGAGGTGTTTGCGTCATAGGGGTGGGTTCCTCATGAAAAGCTTGGTGTCCTCCCTGTGGTAATGAGTGGGCTCAGGTTCTATTAGTTTACAGGAGGTCTGATTGGTAAAAAGAGTCTGGCACTTCGTTCCCTCTCTCGCCATGTGAGAGGCCAACTCCCCCTTCACCATCTGCCATGATTGTAAGCTTCCTGAGGCCTCACCAGAAGCAGATGCTGATGCCATGCTTTTTGTACAGTCTGCAGAACTGTGAGCCAAAATAAATCTCTTTTCCCTATAAACCACTCAGCCTCAGCCGACCGCGGTGGCTCACGCCTGTAATCCCAGCACTTCAGGAGGCCAAGATGGGTGGATCACGAGGTCAGGAGATCGAGACCATCCTGGCTAACATGGTGAAACCCCGTCTCTACTAAAAATACAAAAAAAAATTAGCCTATCGTGGTGGCGGGCGCCTGTACTCCCAGCTACTCGGGAGGCTGAGGCAGGAGAATGGCGTGAACCCGGGAGGCGGAGCTTGAAGTGAGCCGAGATCGCGCCACTGCACTCCAGCCTGGGCGACAGAGCGAGACTCCGTCTCAAAAAAAAAAAAAAAAAAATCACTCAGCCTCAGGTATTCCTTTATAGCAACGCAAAATTTACTAATACAATCACAATTACTTTTTAAATGCAAACTAGCTGGGAAAGTTGTCTGTCTCAAATATTTAAGACTATAATTTTATGATCATACAACTCATACTCCCAGCACTCAGTAAAGACAACTTATATTTCTGTCAGTCTTTCATATGCACAATTAGAAAATGATTAAAATAGTCTGATAATAGATTTCCCTGTTAAGTTCAGAAGCCCAGTATTCTTTCTTGGTTTTTAACTGGCATGCTACTTTTAATTTTATATTTATTTCTGTTAATGATGAATATAGAGGCAATAAATACTACTTTTCTTTATATAGGATTGGATTACAATTAACTGATGAATTTAGGAAAGGACTTAAAGATTTATTTTTATCATCTTGTAATTTAAAACAAAACAACAGGGCTATAAACTCCAACTATGCAAGTAAATGTAAAGCTCAACTTCAAAAAATAAATGACTTGACAATGATGAAAAAGTAGAAAATGTTTGAGAAACTTTATAGAAATATCCTTTTACTTCAAAAACAGGAGAAATGTGTACTACAGGTAGGCCCCTACTTACAGACTCCTAATTATTCATATGTGAATTCTCAGAAGGCAAGGGCTGGGGGTAATACTGCTTTTAATGAAAATCTGCTTTTATGAGTTTTCAGATGCCATAACCAAACTGACATTGTGTACCGTTGTTCTCTGGGGAGCTTCATGCGCAGAATGAACTCATATGTTACATGACCTTGGGTCAAACAATATCTTAAAGAAGTAATCAGTATAACATTTCAGAAATTGAGGTGGCCAAAGTCGGTCCAGGAAAGTCTCTCAGGATTTGATATGCTGAGTGCAGGAGAATTCATTTTCCATTCAGAGAAAAGGTCGTACAAAGTATTCATGTGCCTCAAGTGCTGAAAGCAATATAGAAGAAGAAAAATTGGGCTTAAACAAAATTTTAAAAAATCTGTCTTCATTTTCTCCCCCATGATCCTTTATATCTAGGAAGGCTATTACTGTGGAGAGGACTTAATATGGACTATTTAGACCAGTCATTTGAATAAACGTCCTAACAACAGCAGAAAAACATGATCAGTGTTCTGCAGAATCTGGACTTGTAATCAAGTAGTCAGTGTTTAAGAGACAAGTTTAGGTCATGGAAATATACTGGAGCCAAAAATCAGAATTCTAGTTTTTGCTCCAGCACTGATTTGTTCAGCTATGAGTGATGTTTTCAGATAGATTTCTTTAGGGTAGGAAGCAATAATGTTATATGACTTGGAAAGGCTTGATGAATGTTACTGAGTAAATAGATGTTTGCTGATTGCTGTTGAACAGTGGATCAAATTATTAAAGAAAAGTTAGGATAGAAAAATCCAAATACAGGCGGGGTGCGGTGGCTCACGCCTATAATCTCAGCACTTTGGGAGGCCGAGGCGGGCGGATCACGAGGTCAGGAGATCTAGACCATCCTGGCTAACACGGTGAAACCCCGTCTCTACTAAAAATACAAAAAATTAGCCGGGCGTGGTGGCAGGCACCTGTAGTCCCAGCTACTCGGGAGGCTGAGGCAGGAGAATGGCGTGAACCCAGGAGGCGGAGCTTGCAGTGAGCTGAGATTGCGCCACTGCACTCCAGCCTGGGAGACTGAGCAAGACTCGGTTTCCAAAAAAAAAAAAAAAAAAAGAAAGAAAGAAAAGAAAAATCTAAATACAAAATTATAACAGTATGTAGCCATTTAGAGTCCATTAGTTACAAAGCTGTTAAGATTATAGATACTGCATATTATAATATATACCTGTGGAATTTCTGGAACTGATATTGTTTTTGTTTAGGCAGTTGCCAGTTTGGCAACATTTTACATTTTCTGTAGTGAGTGAAAACAAATTATTTGATCTGTAATTACTATTTTATGAAACATATTATTTGACTGTTAAATCATCAATTCTTTTGGAGCTGGCCAACAATGTACCAATTTATTTTTAGTAGTGCAGCCCATGATAAAGAAAAGCAGAAAGCCACTAAGGACAAAAAGATTACTGAGAGCTCCTCCTCATTGTACTTAAATTTTGTTTAGGATGAGATAAATGGAAAAAGAGCTTCAGACTTTGAAGATCTAGAAATTTGGGCAAATTTTCCAAATGTTCGTGTGGATGAGTAAACTGTCACATTTCCAGAACGAAGAACATTGTTTTTTATTCTGCATGGAGTAGTATTAGGGAAAATGTTCAATTGAAAAAGTTACCATATAAGAATTATATCCAGAGTATCATATTTAATTGATTTTTTGCTTACGCAAAAAAAAAAATTCAATTATCAATGTTTTTGAGCAAAAATAAGGCAACAGGTCAGGCTCTAAAAATAAATATAAGACTATAAAAGATGCATGTCTTATATTCTACCATGGTAAATGGGGCAGTGGTAAAGGAGAATGCAGAGTCCTCCTTCTGGTATACAGAATTTATATTATTGCTTTATTATTGCCTCACACACATCAACCCTTGAGGCAGAAAAGATGTGTTCATAGAAAGCAACTTACCAGTGACCGTGCCAGACATGTTCAAATATGCTTCACTATTTGAAGCATGGTAAGAATACACTAATATTATCTACACTAATAACTAATAACATGGTAAGAATACACTAATAACATCGACAGGAATTCAGTAAAGATAGAAATCTGACAATAGTAACAACCATCATTAATTAATGAGTCCTTGTTATATACCAGGCACTGTGTTAGTGCTCTCTGTCTTTCTGTCTGTCTCTCTCTCTCAGAAACTATGCATATTCATATATATTTATATAAAATGATCATACAATTCCAGCAGCCACATAAAAGTTTGGAAGCGTTTCCCCTTTTTTCTCTTTTTGAAGAAATGGGGAAACACAGGCACAGACAAATATGGAAACTTTGCAGCATTCATGCAGAGGATGCAGAATGGAGCCTGAATTAAAATGCTCCCTCGGATAGAAGAGGCTTTCTTTCTAGAAAGACTGTGTGGTGAAGGTCCTGGATTGTGACAAATATGCTATTTCCTCTAAACCCAGACTCCCTCCTCTTCAGGTGGTTTGAACCATCTTTCCTACCCCTAAACCTGTAGATTATGCCTCCATCTCTCCCATCCTTACACTCCACTCAAAAGGTAAGCTGCTCTCTTCGTTCTTTCTCTTAGTCCATTCTGCCTCCAAATGTCTCCACCATACTCTCTCTGGAACACCATTCCATTCTCATCAACTCCCTCCACATCCTCTACCTTACACACCTTGACTTAAGTGAGCCTTCTATAAAGACACTGCCCACCTCCCACCTCCAGCAATTGCAAAGGGATGCTTCTCAGAGTTGGAGGCTTCTTGGGGTTGGGAGGAGAGGCCAGTGTTCTCCACCCTCAGTGCAGTTCCAGACCATTCCTCCTATGAAACAAACCCTTTCCCTTGAGGCTGACAACATCCAGCCATGTGACCCTGTACTTCTTTCTCACACTCTTTTGCTTTTACTGAAGACTTTGAAGCTTTTTCTCTAAGTTTCACCATCATTTTTGTATCTGGCACATAGTAGTTGCTAAATTATATTATTAAAAAATTCACAGTGATTATTCTTAATAAATTATGTGTGATACACTCACAATTCATGGTGAAATGACCATGTATCTCGAGAAGAGAGTTGAAAAGGACAATGAGGACACCCCTTCCCATACTCCAAACTCTAAGTTGCATGATCTTGTCAGTCTCAGGATTGTCAGCCATCCACTCCCACAGCCAAATCCTAGACATGCTGGAGCTTCGAAATATTCGATTATAATATCACATACATACACACTTATTCCAAACTGCATTCCTCCAGCCATCACTCATCACCTCCACTCTGCCTTTCTTCATTGTATTGTAAAGAATGAATTGGGTTAGTGTGACAGTCTTTATCAGTATTCCCATTACTCTACTACTTTGTCTTCCTACTGTACCTCCTGTGGAAAAAAATTCCACATCATCATCCACCAGACCGTCTTCTGTTCTCCTCCTACACAAACAACTCTCCTACAGATGAAGAAACTCATATAACTGCATTAAAAGTTCATTTGAAAGGCATAGTTGCCAAACTCAGTTGGAATACCACCTGGTATTTCTATATTTTCCTGGGCAACTTTCTCTTTCACTTCCCACAGAGCATATTTCAAACTTCTATTGTGCTTTAGTTTTCTTTATTACATCACCATATGAAAGTGTAATTCATTTATTCTGCACTTACTTACTAGACATCTGTTATGTGTCAGGCAAAGGGTGCTGGGTATTATGGTAGAAAAAAGTATAACATTTGAGTTTGTTCCCTCTCACTTCTGCCTTTGTTCCTAAAAGTATTCACCTATCTCTGTGCCCACCTTGCCTAGGGGAAGATATATCTCCCTCCATGCCCAACCATTCTACCTGTACTCTGTTAGCTCAGCCATTACCTCAGTTAGCTTATCCCTCTCTCCTCTACCTGAAAATTCTCCATCCTACTGGCTCACTGCCCCAGCAGCACTTACACTTATTTATTTCTGTCCTATCTTTAACCAATCAATATGACCACTCTCAACCATTATGTTTGCTTCTAAGTATTTCCCTATATCTTCTACATTCTTCAGACCCGCGGTACAGTTGACCACGCTCCCCTCCTCGTTCATTTCATTCTCTCTCCAGCCTCCTGCAGTTTGGCATCTTCACTATTCTACCGCAGCAGTCCCTTCCAGGGTCAACAAAGCCTCTTTATTAGAAAATGCACAGGGCATTTACTTTCTTCAGTCTTTGAACTCTGCAGGCATTTTGTGTGTGTGTGTGTGTGGGTGGAGACAGAATTTTGCTCTTGCTGCCCAAGGCTGGAGTGTCATGGCACAATCTCTGCTCACTGCAACCTCCACCTCCCGGGTTCAAGTGATTCTCCTGCCTCACCCTCCCAAGTAGCTGGGATTACAGGTGCCTGCCATAATGCCTGGCTAATTTTTGCATTATTAGCAGAGACAGGGTTTCACCATGTTGGCCAGGCTGGTCTAGAACCCCTGACTTCAGATGATCTACTCGCCTCAGCCTCCCAACGTGCTGGGATTACAGGAGTAAGCCACTGTGCCTGGCCAGGCATTTCTTTTTATAAACGGTGTACCCTGCCTCTGGGCCACCAGAGGTTCCTGGTCTTCTTCCACTCACCTCTATGTTCGGTTACTCTGCCTGTCATGACATGCGGTGATCCTCTATGTTCATTCTTCTCTCCTTACAGTTTGTGTGTTCCATGAATGACATTATTTACTCCCTCAAATCCAAGTGCATATTTTATTTGTGTGAATCCCCAATAAGTAAGTTCCTATGGACAGAGGCTGTGCATGTTCGTTGTTTTAGTCCTGACACCTATCACAGCTGCCTGACAACCCAGTGCCCAGCAACACAGAAAAATGCACAGACTGAATAATACAGGAAATTGTAGGCTGGGCGCGGTGGCTCAGGCCTATAATCCCAGCCCTTTGGGAGGCCGAGGTGGGTGGATCACGAGGTCAGGAGATCGAGACCACGATGAAACCACGTCTCTACTAAAAATGCAAAAAAATTAGCCGGGCGCGGTGGCGGGCGCCTATAGTCCCAGCTACTTGGGAGGCTGAGGCAGGAGAATGGCGTGAACCCGGGAGGCGGAGCTTGCTGTGAGCCAAGATCGTGCCACTGCACTCCAGCCTGGGCGACAGAGCGAGACTGTGTCTCAAAAAAAAAAAAAAAAATACAGGAAGTTGTAACCAGGAGGACCCACTGAAAGTGGAGTGTATTCTTTCACTCAGTATTCACTGGGAATGCACTATACACTAGTTCCAATGCTTGTGTTGGGAATTCAGTGAAGAGCAAGAAAGACAAAGTAGCCCCTGGCACTTACATTCTAGTAAGGGAAATAGTCATTAAACATATGTACTATACAGGGAGTCAGAGAGTGACAAGTGCCACGAAGAAAATAAAGCAGGGAAGGGAGTTACAGAGTGATAGAAGGTAAAAGTGCGCCAGCTAGTTAGGGTAGTCTGGGAAGGAAGGCTTTTTGGTGGCATTAACCCTGAAGAAATGAATGTAATGAGAAAATGCCTAGCGGCTATTTGAAAGAAAACCATTTCAAAAGGAGGAAATGGTAAGTACGGTGAAGTGGGAAAGGCTTTGGGGTACTTGAGGAGCAGAAATCAGGCCAAAGGGATTGGAGCTGAAGTTCTGATTCTAGGTAGAATATAGGAGGCAGTGGCACTGCATCACTCCCACTGCAACAAGTAGTTCAAAAAGTAAAGAAATTGGAAATGTAATCGTTTTAAAGATATCCGAGAGCTGTGGTGGCATAGATGATTAGATGGACTACAAGTGAAGTTGAGATGACTCCTATTTCCTTCACTGAGAGGCAAGGTTTCTGTTCAGACTTGCCCTAAGCTGAGGTGTTTCGCCAGGGGAAAGAGAAGACAATAGAGCTTACTTTCTACGTAGCTTCATTGAGGTATGACTCATGCACCGTACAATTCACCCATATAAAATTTACAATTCAATATTTTTTAGTGTTTTAGAGATATGTGCAACCATCCCCACAGTCAACATTTGAACATTTTTATCACCTCAGAAATAAAAGCCATGGCCGGGCGCAGTGGCTCACGCCTGTAATCCCAGCACTTTGGGAGGCCAAGGCGGACAGATCACGAGGTCAGGAGTTTGAGATCAGCCTGGCCAATATGGTGAAACCCCGTCTCTACTAAAAATACAAAAATTATCCAGGCATTGTGGCACACACCTGTAGTCCCAGCTACTTGGGAGGCTGAGGTAGGAGAATTGCTTGAACCCTGCACTCCAGCCTGGGTGACAGGGCAAGACTCCATCTTAAGAAAAAAAAAGAAAGAAAAAAAAGGCACATGCTTCAGCTATTACTCCTTGTCTTCCTAAGCAGCAACTAGGCTTCTTTCTCCCAGTAGATTGTCCTATTGTGGACATTTCATATGAGTGGAGTCAATAATATGTGGTCTTTTGTTACTGACTTCTTTCAGTTAACATAATGTTTTCAGGGTTCTCCATGTTGTGGCATGTATCAGCTCCTCATTCCTTTTTTGTGAGTAAACAAAAAATAACAAAATTTAACATTTTAACCATTTTCAAGTGTACAGTACAGTACTGTTAACTGTATGCAAGTTGTTGTGCAATAGGCCTCTGTAACTTTTTCATCTTGCCAAAGGGAAACTCTGTACCCGTGGAAAAACTCCCCATTTCCCCCTCTTCCCTAGCTCTGGTTGTCACATTCTACTTTCTGTTTCTATGAATTTGATTACTTTAGAAAACGTATACACAGGGAATCATGCAGCATTATTCCTTTTATGACTGGCATATTTCATGTAGCATAATGTGCTCAAGCCTTATCCGTGTTGTAGCATACGGTAAGATTTTCTTCTTTCTTTAGGCTGAATAATATTCCAGTGAATATATGGTTTATACATTAATGATTTGTCAGGAGATATTAGTGTTCTTCCAACTCTTGGCTATTGTGAGTAATACTGCAATAAAGATGGATGTGCAAATATCTTTTCAAAATCCTACTTTAAATTTTTTTGATATATACCCAGAAGTGGGATTGCTGGACTATATGGTAGTTCTGTTTTAAATTTTTTGAAGAACCTCTGTTTTCCATAGTGGCTACACCATTTTACGTTGCCACCAACAGTGCACAGGGGTTTCAAGTTCTCTATATCCTTGCCAGTATTTCTTATTTTCTGTTTCTGTTTTGTCTTTTTGGATAGTGATCTAGCTAAGAGATGTGAGGTGACATCTCATTGTGGTTTTGATTTGCATTTCTCTGATTAGTGATATTGAACATATTTTTATATGTTGGCCATATTGATGTCATCCTTAAAGAAACGTCTATTCAAATACTTTGTTAATAGGGTTTTTTGTTTGTTTGTTTGTTTGTCTAGTTTTGATGTTGTTGAGTTGTAGGAATTCTCTATATGTTTGGATATTAACCCTCATCGGATACATGGTTTACAAATATTTTCTTCTGTTCTGTACGTTGCCTTTTCACTCTCTTCATTATTTCCTTTCTGTGAAGAAGATCTGAAGTTTGATTTAGTTCCATTTGTATATTTTTGCTTTTATTTCCTCTGCCTTTGGTGTCATGTCCAAGAAATCATTGCCAAATCCAAAAACATGAAGCTTCTCCCCTATATTTTTATCTTACTAGGTAATTTTATAATTTTATAAATTTTAGTTTTATAAATATAATTTTATAAATTACAGTTCTATAATTTTAGGTCTTACATTTAGGTCATTAATCCATTTTGGTTTGTTTGTTGTTTTGAGACAGGGTCTCTCTCTGACAACCAGGCTGGAGTGCAGTGGCATCATCACAGCTGACTGCAGCCTCAACCTTCTGGGCTCAAGCAATCCTCCTGCCTTACCCCCACCTCTCCCAGTAGGTGGCACTACAGGGTGCGCGCCACCACACCCGGGGGAATTTTTACATTTTTTGTATAGACGGGTTCGCAGTGTTGCCCAGGACTTGAGCGATCCTCCCACCTCAGCCTCCCAAAGTGGTGGGATTACAGGCGTGAGCCACTGCACCTAGCCGTTAATTCATTCTGAAGTGATTTTTGTATATAGGTACAGGAAGGTAAGGGTCTAACTTCATTATTTTACATGTGAATATCAAGTTTTCTAAGCACCATTTGTTGAAGACACTATCTTTTCCCCATTGTATAGTCTTGATGCCCTTATGGCAGATTATTTTACCATATATGTGAGAGTTTATTTCTGGGCTCTCTATTCTGGCCCATTGGTCTATATGTGTGTCTTTATTCCAGTATTATGCTATTTTGATTACTGTAGCTTTACACTGTTTTTTGAACTTGAGAAGTATGAGACCTCCAGCTTTGTATTTCTTTCTCATAACTGTCTTGACTATTTGGAATACTTTGAGATTCCTAATGGATTTTGGATTTTTTTTCTGTTTCTGCAAAAATTTCCAATGAGATTTTTATACGGACTGCATTGAATCTGTAGATTTGGGGGGTAGTATGAACACTGTAACCATATTCTTTTCCAATCCAGGAACATGGGATGTCTTTATATTTATTCGTGTCTTCATTAATTACTTTCAGCAATATTAAGAGTATTCAGTATACAGGTCTTTTGCCTCTTTGGTTGAGTTTATTCCTAAGTATTTTATTCTTTTTGATGCTCTTGTAAAGGGGATTTAAAAACATTTTCTTTTCTGATTATTTATTCTTAGTGTCTAGAAATGAACCTGATTTTTGTGGGTTGATTTTGTTTCCTGCAACTTTACTGAATTAGTTTATTAGTTGTAACAGTTGTCTCTGTGTGTGTGTGTGTGTGTGTGTGTGTGTGTGTGTAATCCTTCAGGTTTTCTACATGTAAGATTATATCATCTGCAAACAGAGATAATTTTATTTCTTCCTTTCAAAATTGAATGCTTTTTACTCCTTTTTCTTGTCTAATTGCTCTGGCTAGAACTTTCAGTACTGTGTTGAATAGACATGGCAAGACTGGGCATGCTTGCCTTGTTTCTATTTGTAGAGGGAAAGCTTGAGTATGATGGTAGCTATGGGCATTACCTATAGGGCTTTTAATATGTTGATGTAATTTTCTTTTATTTCTATATTATTGAATTTTACATGAAAGGGTGCTGAATTTTATTAAAAGCTTATTATTGCACTAATTGAGATGATCATGTGACTTTTTTACCTTTCTGTCAGTTAATATAGTGTATTGCATTGACTAATTTTTGTATGTTGAACCATCCTTGCATCCCAGGAATAAATACCACTTGGTCATAGTGTACTGCTGAATTAAGTTTATGATATTTTGTTGAGAATTTTTGCATCAACATTAAGCAAGATTATTGGTGTGCAGTCTTTTTGTGGTGTCCTTCTTTAGCATTGGTATTAAGGTAATACTGGCCTCATAAAATGAGTTTGAAAGTATTTTTTCTTCTGAAATTTTTCAGAGGAGTTTGAGAAAGAGTGATGCTAACTACTCTTTAAATGTTTGGTAAAACTCATCAGTGAAACCGTCTAGTCCTGGGGCTTTTCTTCATTGGGAGATTTTTGATTACTAATTCAATCTCCTAAGTTATAGATGTGTTCAGATTTTAATTTATTCACAATTCAATCTTGGTAGGTAGTATATTTCTAAGAATTTATTTCTTCTAAGTTATCCAATGTACTGGAGTATTGTTCATAGTAGTCTCTCGTAATCTTTTTACTTCTGCGTCCTCATTTTTAATGTCTCATTTCTGATTTGTGTTACTTTAGACTTCTATTTTCTTACTTATTGAAAGAATTTGTTAATTTTTTTATTTTTTTAAAAAACTCTTATTTCATTGATTTTTCTATTTTTTTAATTTATTCTCTATTTCATTTATGTTTTCTGTAATCTATGACCTTCCTTTTGCTAACTGTAATCTAGGACCTTCCTTTTACTAACTTTGGATTTAGTTTGCTATTCTTTTTCTAGTTCTTTGAGATACAAAATTATCTCCAATTATTGATTGGGGTTCTTCTTTTAAAAATACAAACATTTACTGCCACAGTTTTGGTGTGTTGTGTTTTCATTTTCACCTGCTTTAAAATACTGTTAAATAGTGATTTCTTGACTCATCAAGTTGTTCAAGAGTATATTGCTTAATTTCCACATCTTTGTGAATTTTCTAGTTCAGAGTTTTCTAGTCCAGATTTCTAGTTTCATGATTATTAGAAAATATAGTTGGTTTTCTTTCAGTTTTTTTTTGAATTGTTAAAACTTGTTTTGTGTCCTAATATGTGTTCTGTCTTGGAGACTGTTTTATGTGCACCTGAGAAGAATGTGTATATTAACATAGGGTGGAATATTGTTTATATATCTATTAGAGTCAATTCACTTTTAGTATTGTTCAAGTTCTTTATTTCCTTATTATTTTTCTTTCTGGTTGATCTATTTATTATTGAAAAAGAGTATTGTAATCTCCTCCTATTATTTTTTTTAATCTAATTCTTCCTCCAGTTCTATCAATGTTTGCTTCATGTATTTGGGTGCTCTGCTGTTTGGTGCATATAGACTTATAAGTGTTGTACTGTGAATTGACACTTTCATCAATATGATGTGTCTTGTTTTTCTCTTGTGACAGTTTTTAGCTTAATGTCTATTTTGTCTGATATATGTATGGGCACCCTTGCTATTTTGGTTACCTCTTGCATGGAATATATTTTTCTATTCCTTCATTTTCAGCCTGTGTGTGTTTTCAAAGCTAAGTGAATCTCTTGTAGATAGCATGCAATTGGATCTTTTTAAAATTGATTCCGCCACTCGGTCTTTTGACTGCGGAGTTTAATCCATTCACACTTAAAGTAATTATTGATGGGGAAGGACTTACTATTGCAATTTTGTTAATTGTTTTCAGTATGTCTTAGAGTTGTTTGTCCCTCTTTTCCTCTCTTGCTGCCTTTGTGTTTCATTGATTTTTTTGTAGTGTTATGCTTTGAGGACTTCCTTATTTTCTTTGGTATGTCTTCTATAGCAATTTTCTCTGTAAGTTACCATGGGGATTATATAAAACATCTTATAGCTATAACAATTTATTTAAACTAAAAATTTAATTCAATTGCATACAAAACCTCTACTCTTTTACCTCCAATTCACCTTACATTATCAATGTCACAAATTATACTTTTAGTATTTTGTATCCATTAATATAATTTAATAATTATGGTTATTTTTATGCTTTTATTTATACCTGATTTAAAAATGATTTATGGACCACTATTGTAGTATGACAAGATTCTGCATTTTTTTTTTTTTTTTAGACAGAGTCTCACTCTGTCACCCAGGCTGGAGTGCAGTGGTGCAATTTCAGCTCGCTGCCAGTTTTGCCTCCTGGGTTCATGCCATTCTCCTGCCTCAGCCTCCTGAGTAGCTGGGACTACAGGCACCCGCCACCATGCCCTGCTACTTTTATTTTATTTTATTTTTTATATTTTTAGTAGAGACAGGGTTTCACCGTGTTGGCCAGGATGGTCCCGACCTCCTGACCTCATGATCCGCCCACCTCAGCCTCCCAAAGTTCTGAGATTACATGCTTGAGCCACTGCACATGGCCTAGATTCTGCATTTGACTATATGTTTACCTTTACCAGAGAGCCTTATACTTTTGTATGCTTTCAAGTTGGTATCTAGCTTTCTTTTATTTCAACTGAAAGGACTACCGTTAGAAATTCTAGCAAGGTAGGTTAATGGTGATGAACTTCTTCAGCTTTTGTTTATCTGGGAAGATCTTTATTTCTCCTTCATTTTTGAAGGGCAGATTTGCTGTCTATTCTTAGTTGGCAGTTTTCTTTCTCTTTCAGCCCTTTGAATATACTACCCCATTCCCTTTCAGTCTGGAATGTTCCTGCTGATGAGTTTGCTGATAATCTTATGAGAGTTCTCTTGTATATAAGTCACCTTTCTCTTGCTGCTTTCAAGATTGTCTGTCTTGGACTTTTGACTGATTATAATGTGTCATGGTGTTGGATCTTTAGGTTCATCTTAGACAGAGTCCTTCAAGCTGCTGAAATTTGGTTGTCCATTTCATTTTTCAGATTTGGGAAGTTTTCAGCCATTTCTTCAAATAAGCTCTCTGCCACAGGCTACTCTTCGTTGTGCAATCTGTGGACCCAGTTGTCATCTGCCACCACTGTCTAGTTATCTTTTGACTGCCACAAGTGGACTCCAAAAAATCTCCAAAAGAAATTGTTACCATAACAAGATGGCCAACTAGACACAGCCAGGAAGCACTGCTCCCACTGAGAGACACCAAAATATTGAGTACACCAACGTATTTTGAGCCCATCTTCAGAGAGAAAATGCTGAGAGTCATTACAGAGGTGATGCAGACAACAAGGCTGAAGAGGGAGGAAGCTGGAAACCCTGCACAGGATACTTGCATGACAGGGCTAGTTCCCAGACCTGGATGCCTCCTGGGGAAGGGATAAGTGAAGGGATGGAGGGACAGGCCACTCTCACTGTGGACCTCTGGGATCCTAGGTACATAGAACTTCACATTCTCCATGGACATTTGAGCTGGCAGGGGGATCTTCAAAGAGAGTTGGCAGAGACAGGGCTTCACCGGCATGGAGCCTAGGAGCTTTTGTGCATGTGGAGCTGTGGCAGAGCATGGCCTAGACACCCATCCCCCAGGGCTCCCCACCTCCCTACAGGCAGCTCTAGCCTCAGCTGATTGCTGGCCCAGGAGAGAGTGTGGCTGGCTTCCCTGTGGGACTGGGAAACTTCCAGGGCCCCTGCCTGGCCACCCTGCAGGAGGTGTGCACAGAGTAGCCTCTGCTGCCAAGCCTGGGTGCTTTGCTTCACCTGAGTACCTTCCTGGTGGCCTGGGAGCACTTTGGATCCCCCAGAACAGCTGGGGCCCAATCTCAAGGGTCTGGAGGATGAAGCTGAAAGCCAGTCCTAGCTCCCCAAAACTACACAAATACATGGAAATTGAACAGCTTGCTCCAGAATAACTCCTCGGTGAACAATAAAATTAAGGAAGAAATAAAAAAATTCTTTGAAATAAATGAAAATAGGGACACAGCTTACCAAAATCTCTGGAACACAGCTAGAACAGTATTAAGAGGAAAGTTTATAGCACTAAGCACCTTCAGCAAGAAATTAGAAAGGTCTCAAATTAACAATGTACCTTTGCAACTAGAGGAACTAGAAAAAAACAAGCCAACCCCAAAGCAAGCAGAAGATAATAAATATCTAAAATTAGAGAAGAACTGAATGAAATTTAGACACAAAAATCCATAGAAAAGATCAATGAAACAAAGTGTTTTTTCTTCAAAAGAATAAACAAGATCAATAAACCACTAGCTATATTAACAAAGAAAAAAAGAGAAGATCTAAATAAGTACAATCAGAAATGACAAAGAAGACATTGCAACTGATCCCACAAAAATACAAAAGATCCTCAGAGACTATTATGAACAGCTCTATGTACACAAATTAAGAAAACCTAGAGAAAATGGATAAATTCCCGGAAACACACAAATTCCCAATATTGAACCAGAAAGAAAATGAAAACTTGAACAGACCAATAAGTTCCAAAATTATATCAGCATTAAAGAAACTGCCAACCCCAAAAGAAAAAAAAGAAAAAGAAAAAGAAAAGCCCTGGACCAGATGGATTCACAGACAAATTCTCTCAGACATAAAAAGAAGAACTGGTACCAATCATATTGAAACTATTCAAAAAAATCGAAAAGGAAGGGCACCTCTCTAACTTATCCTATGAAACCAGAATCAGTCTGATACCAAAATCTGGCAGAGACACAACAAAAAAAGAAAACTTCAGGCCAATATACCTAACGAACATAGGTGCGAAAATTCTCAACAAAATACTAGCAAACTGAATCCCGCAGCACATCAAAAAGTTAATTTACCACAATAAGGCAGGCTTTACTCCTGGGATTCAAGGCTGATTGAACATATGCAAATCAATAAATGTGATCCACCACAGTAACAGAATTAAAAGCAAAACCCATATGATCATCTCAGTAGATGCAAAAAAAGCTTTCAATAAAATCCAACATCCCTTCATGATAAAAGCCCTCAACAAACTAGGCATCTAAGGTACATACCTCAAAATAATAAGAGCCATCTACACCAAACCCACAGCCAACAGCATACTGACTGGGCAAAAGCCAGAAGCATTCCCCCTAAGAACAAAAACAAGACAATGATGCCTACTCTCACTGCTGCTATTCAATGTAGTACTAACAGTCCTAGCCAGAGCAATTAGGCAAGAGGAAGAAATAAAAGACATCCGCGGCTGGGTGTGGTGGCTCACGCCTGTAATCCCAGCACTTTGGGAGACCGAGGCGGGCAGATCACGAGGTCAGGAGATCGAGACCATCCTGGCTAACACAGTGAAACCCTGTCTCTACTAAAAATACAAAAACAAAAACAAACAAACAAACAAAAAAGACATCCGCATGGGAAAAGAAGAGGTCAAATTATCTCTCTTCACTGACAGTGTGATTCTCTCTTTTTTTGAAACTGAGTCTCCCTCTGTTGCCCAGGCTGGAGTGCAGTAGCACCATCTCAGCTCACTGCAGCCTCTGCCTCCTGGGTTCAAGTGATTCACCTGCCTCAGCCTCCAGAGTAGCTAGGATTACAGGTATTCACCACCACGCCCGGCTAATTTTTGTATTTTTTAGTAGAGATGGGGTTTCACCCTGTTGGCCAGGCTGGTCTTGAACTCCTGACCTCAAGTGATCTGCCTGCCTCAGCCTCCCAAAGTGCTGAGATTACAGGTGTAAGCCACCATGCTTGGCCACTGATAATATGATTCTATATCTAGAAAACCCTAAAGACTCTGCCAAAAGGCCCGTCAAACTGCTAAATGACTTCAGTAATGTTTCAGGGTACAAAAATAATGTACAAAAATCAATAGCATTTCTATATATAACTGAGTACCTCAGCCTCGAAATACATTTTTAAACTATTTTTTTCCTTTCCTTCCTAATCTCAGAATGTAGCCTTATAGTGTAAGACTCTTTGTTATGCCCTTTCCCTACAGGCATATCTGTGTACAGTGCTTGCTCATCTAACTATGTGCTTGCTTAGAAATTCCAGGAGCCAATTTTGAAACAAACCAGGCAGAGAGACCAAGCCACAGATCTTCCCACTCAAGGGGAGTTACGCCCAAGTCAGGATGATGCAAATCAGATCTCTAGATGGGAGATTACTTGAGATAACTATGGGAACAAGACATGCAGATATGCACTCCCTTTTCACTACTCATGTCTATATCCCACACCTTTTTCCTTCTTAAACCCCTTCACTCAGCCCAGAAGGCTGAGATGGCTCTTTTGAGGCTTATGCCCAGACATTGTCCCATCTGCTAGCATTTGACCAATAAAAGTTGCTTTCCTTTCACCACACCTCAGTTCTCATGCTTTGACTTCTGAGAGGAGAGCAGCTGGACTTGAGCTGGTTACATATACACCAATAATGTTCAAGCTGAGAGCCAAATCAAGAACACAATCCCATTTACAATAGCCACACACAAAAATGAAATACCTAGGAATACAGCTAACCAAGAAGGTTAAAGATCTCTACAAACCTGACAATGTTGGTGTTGTCGTGTTTGGAAATGATTAACTGATTAAGGAAGGAGCTAGAATGAAGAGGACAAGAGCCATTGTGGACATTCCAGTTGGTGAGGAGCTGTTGGGTCATGTGGTTGATGCCCTTGGTAATGCCATTGATGGAAAGGGTCCATTTGGTTCCAAGAACCATAGGTGAGTTAGTCTGAAAGCCCCTGGAATCATTCCTCAAATTTCAGTGCAGGAACCAATGCAGACTGGCATTAAGGCTGTAAATAGCTTGGTGCCAATTGGCCATGGTCAGTGTGAGCTGATTATTGGTAATGGACAGACTGGGAAAATCTCAATTGCTATTGACACAATCATTAACCAGAAATGTTTCAATGATGGATCTGATGAAAAGAAGAAGCTGTACTGTGTCTATGTTGTTATTGGTCAAAAGAGATCCACTGTTGCCCAGTTGGTGAAGAGACTTACGATGCAGATGCCATGAATTACACCATCGTGGTGTCAGCTACGGCCTCAGATGCTGCCCCACTTCAGTAACTGGCTCCTTACACTGGCTGTTCCATGGGAGAGTATTTTAGAGACAATGGCAAACATGTTTTGACCATCTATGACAACTTATCCAAACAGGCTGTTGCTTACCAATCAGATGTTTCTGTTGCTCTGCCAACCCCCTGGTTGTGAGGCCTATCCTGGTGTTGTGTTCTACCTATGCTCCCAGTTGCTGGAGAGAGCAGCCCAGATGAACAATGCTTTTGGTGGTGGCTCCTTGACTGCTTTGCCAGTCATAGAAACAGACTGGTGATGTGTCTGCTTACATTCCAATGAATGTCATTTCTATCACTAAGGGACAGATCTTCTTGGAAACAGAATTGTTCTACAAAGGTATCCACCCTGCCATTAATGTCGGTCTGTCTGTGTCTCGTGTCAGATCTGCTGCCCAAACCAGGGCTATGAAGCAGGTGGCAGGTACCATGAAGCTGGAAGTGGCTCAGTATCATGAGGTCACCACTTTTGCCCAGTTCAGTTCTGACCTCGATGCTGCCACTCAACAACTTTTGAGTTGTGGTGTGTGTCTAACTGAGTTGCTGAAGCAAAGACAGTATACTCCCATGGCTATTGAAGAACAAGTGGCTGTTATCCATGTGGGTATTAGGGGCTATCTTGATAAACGGGAGCCCAGCAAGATTACAAAGTTTGAGAATGCTTTCTTGTCTCATGTCAGCTGGCACCAAGCCCTGTTGGGCACTACCAGGGCTGATGGAAAGATCTCAGAAGAATCAGATGCTGAATTTGAACCTTAAACGCCTGTGGATTTACATCAAATACCAGTTCAGTTTTGTCATTGTTTATTCTAGTAGATTAGTTTCATTTGTGAAAGGGTTACTCTCATACTCCTTATGTACAGAAATCACATGAAAAGTAAAGGTTCCATAATGTGAAAAAGAAAAAAAGATATCTACAAGGAGAACTGCCAACCACTGCTGGAAGAAATCACAGATGACACAAATAAATAAAAAAAAATTCCATGCTGATGGATTGGAAGAATCAATATTGTTAAAATGACCATGCTGCCCAAAGCAGTTTAAAGATTTAATGCTATAACTACCAATGTCATTTTTCACAGAACTAGAAAAAACTATTCTAAAATTCATATAGAACCAAAAAACAGCCCGAATAGCTAAAGCAATCCTAAGCAAAAAGAACAAAGCTGGAGGCATCACACTACCCAACTTCAAACTATACTATAAGGCTACAGTAAGCAAAACAGCTTGGTCCTGGTACAAAAAAAGACAGATGAATGGAACAGAATAGATAATCCAGAAGCAGTTCTGCACACCTATAGCCATCTGCTCTTTGACAAAGCCCACAAAAAAATGGGAAAAGGGTCCCCTATTCAATAAATAGTGCTGAAATAACTAGCTAGCCATATGCAGAACAATGAAACTGGACCCCTACCTTTTATCGTATACAAAAATTAACTCAAAATGAATTCAAGATTTAAATGTATGACCTCAAACTATAAGAATCCTGGAAGAAAACCTAGGAAAAACAGTATTCTGGACATCAGCCTTGGCAAAGAATTTTTGGCTAAGTCCCCAAAAGCAATTGCAACAAAACCAAAAACTGACATGTGGGACCCAATTAGACTAAAAAGCTCCTGCTCATCGAAAGAAACTGTCAGTAAACAGACAACCTACATAATAGGAGAAAATATTTGCAAAGTATGCATCTAACAAAGGTCTAATATCCAGAACCTATGAGGAGCTCAAACAAATCAAGAAAAAACAAACAAATAACCCCATTAAAAAATGGGCAAAGGACATGGACAGATACTTCTCAAAAGAAGGCATACAAGCGGCCAACAAACATATGAAAAAATGTCCAACATCACTATCATCAGAGCAATGCAAATCAAAACCACAATAAGATACCATCTCACCCCAGTCAGAATGGCTATTATGAAAAGGTCAAAAAACAACAGATGCTGGTGAGGCTGTGTGTGCATAAAAGGGAATGCTTATAAACTGTTGAGGGGAATGTAAACTGGTTCAGCCACTGTGGAAAGCAATTGAAGATTTCTCAAAGAACTTAGAACTACCATTTAACCTACCAATCCCATTATTGGGCATATACCCAAGGGAAAATAAATCATTCTACCAAAAAGACACATACACTTGTATGTTCATAACAGCATTATTCGCAATAGCAAAGACATGGAATTAACCTGGGTGCTTATCAACGGTAGATTGAATTTTAAAAATGTAGTAGTAGTACATATACACCACAGAATACTACACAGCTATAGAAAATAATGAAATCATGTCCTTTTCAGAAACATGGATGCAACTGGAGGCCATAACCCTAAGTAAATTGTTATAATATAGGAATGGAAAACCAAATACAGCTTGTTCTCACTTGTAAGTGGGAGCCAAACACTGAGTACACATTGACATAAATATGGTAACACTAGGCACTGTGAACTACTGGAAGGGGCAGGAGGGAGGAGAGATGGGTTGAAAAACTGCCTGTTAGGTAATATGCTCACTACCTGGGTGATGGAATCCATATCCTAAACATCAGCATTATTCCACATACCTGTGTAAAAACTTGCAGCTATGTCCCCTGAATATAAAATAAAATCAAAATTATTTTTTTAAAAAGAAATTGTTGTCATTACAGGAAGTGGTAGATATTTTGGGTTCTGCCTAGGCTGTTTCTGAATCAGAAGGGAGTCCATATGATTCTGTTTGACATAAGTATCCCTGCTCAAACCTTTCTGGAAGGAATCAAGTTTATACATGGAGACATCTGTCATCTCTCTGAGGTAGAGAAAGCCTTCCAGGATATAAATGTTACCTGTGTGTTCCATATTGTCTTTTATGTTATGTCAGGGTGGAAACAATTGAATCAAAAACTGCTTGAAGAAGTCAATGTGGGGGACACAGGCAATGTCCTCCAGGCTTGCAGGAGGATAGGAGTAATAAAATTAGTTTACACTAGTGCTTTTAATGCATATTTGGAGGTGAAATGGTCAGAAATGAAGATGAATCTGTCTTTCTTAGCTCTTCACCTCTAAAGCAATCACTACTCTCAGACAAAATTGACTATGGACAAAAAGATAGTGGAAGTAAATGGTGTTTTTCCTCCCCTACATCCCTAACATCCTGAATCCCTTCCCTTAAGTCTGTGACCACTGGGATACTTGGTCCCACTAAGATAGCTTTCCTCCACTATGATTCCTCATCTACATGTTCAGTGTCATCAGAAGAATGATGTCCTTTTCCAGATAGCTGAATTACACAGCATTTAAATTTATCTTATTTCATTTTTTATGAGAAGTTATAATATTGGAATAAAAAGCAGAAACAAGGAAAGAGATTTTCTGAAGTATACATTTTATATGAGCCAAGGAATTAGTACCTGGAAAAATAAACTGTGATGTTTAAAATTAGTTTATATATGGAGATAATTATGTTTCTTGCTAAAATGCCTATCACCCTACTGATTCTCAATTTGAAATAAGCATTATAACTTTTACATGTATGAATATGAAATTTTACAAATTTGACAGGAGAGGCCAGAGAATTAGCTTGCTCTTTTTCCACCATGTAGGAATAAAATAAGAAATCAGCAGTCTCCAATCAGCAGTTACTGGAACTCAACCATGCTGATGCCTTGATCTTGGACTTCCCAGCCACCAGAACTATGAGAAATAAATATTTCTTGTTTAAGCCACGCAGTTTATGATAATTTGTTATATCAGCCTAAACTGATTAAGACAAAAATGCTAAGAAACAGAAGGACCACATAGTAAAATTCCATAAACTGTTCTGGAATTTTATATCTACTACTAAGGTCTAGAATCCAGTAGGTCCTCATGGATTGAATATGGCACCAGCAAGGGGGATGTGGACATGAGCCAGATCCTAACACAAAGGATATTTGCCCTCAGACCTCCTTTATGGTTCCTTCCAGGAGTGTGCAGCCCAGAATAAAGGTTTGATGGAGTGACTGGTGCCACAGGTATGAGCAATCGGCTCATAATGGGGGCAACAGTTTGGAATCAGAGAATCATGATTATTCTTGTAAATGATACTTATGGACCAAAGAGGCACATTGGGCTCAGAACATAGCATTTTTTCCCCTAGGTCTGTCAGCCTATATATCTTTTACAGGCCAGGTATGTCAAGAGTCTACATTTGGGAGAGGTCATAAAATCCATATAATATACATTTTGTACACAATTTCAGAATTTGTAACAGATTATACTCAAGATACTGCATTTTATCTAGTGTGTTTTTACATTATAATTTCACAGGGTAACAGCTTCTCATTTTCAATGCTAGGTTACTTTTATGTGATATTCACATTTTGTACCAATCTGGTGTTCAGATTTTATATTGCTTGATATGATTTTTTAAGTGCATAATCACTTTCTTAAAGTTTCTGTTTAAAAACTTATGGGAAGCATGACATAATATAAATTATATTAGAGATGGAATACTTAATATCCCCTAAAATACCAGATAACTTAGACCAGTATCCCAGTATTTAAATATATAGTTGATAACTCAAAGTAATTTATCACTGTTTCTCTGTAATCATTTTGATGTCACAGGTTGTTTAAGGCTTAATGATGATTAAGAACATTTAGTGAATTTATGAACACTTTAATGAATTGATTTAACATTTCAGCTGTTTATGTGCAAGGACCCATAAAATTATCAATTTAAATGACTTGAGAATTAAAATATAATAGTTTATTCTTGGAGCATCACTTTTTCTCTCTCCAGTTATTGGTCAGGCTATCAAATGCTTTTTTAAAAATCTAAGTTTTAAATATTTTTATTTATTTATTTATTTTGAGATGGAGTTTCACTCTTGTCGCCCAGGCTGGAGTGCAAAGGCATGGTCTCAGCTCACTGCAACCTGCACCTCCCGGGTTCAAATGATTCTCCTGTGTCAGCCTCCTGAGTAGCTGGGATTACAGGTACCCGCCACCATGACCCACTAATTATTGTATTTTTAGTAGGGGAAGGGTTTCACCATGTTGGCCAGGCCGGTCTCAAACTCCTGACCTCAGGTGATCCGCCCCGATTGGCCTCCCAAAGTGCTGAGATTACAGGTGTGAACCACCATGCTGGCCTAGATATTTTTACATGAGATTGTGGATGATAATCTCATTTTGGGTAGATTTGTATTCTGGGTAGATTTTTATCAGGGATCCTGATTTAAAAAGAAAAAAAATAAATTTTTTTTCTGGTTATGATTAGCATTTTTCATTAATTACCACCTATTTTAGTTAAAGTAGCTCTATTTAATTCATACAACATTTTATTTGTTAGTGCATGGTGCAATTAAAACAATAGTTACAATGTCATGAAGGACCTGCGCCAAGAATCACATGACACCACATAGCCATCAGTACCTATGACAATGCTACTTTTAAATTCTCATTTTTTAATGAGAATATTGAGGCTCCAAGATGTTAAGTAACTTTCCCAAGAATACACAGCTAGTAGATTCAGATTTATAAGGCCACAAAGCCTGGGTTCTCAGTTACTACTCTGCTCACTGGAACTTGTGGGAGCAAATTCTGATCAACTTATAAGCTCTTCTTCCCCAAAAGATCTTATCTTGGAGAAGAAGGAGACCTCTATACTGCAGAGCTAAAGTTTTGAGTAGGTCGTGCTTGACTTCTGGGGCATGAAAACTGGTTTTATGAAGGTAAAATCATCAGCATTTCCATGGAGCATCTTGTGTTTCTCAGGGCATGGGAACCAACCATCTGCAGTATAAAGTAAATTTTTAACTCATAAGTCAATGGAATTGTTGTTGGTATGGATATCACCATATTATTTGGCAGGTGATTCTTATTTTTTTTTTTTTTTTTTTTTTTTTTGAGACGGAGTCTCACTCTTTCGCCCAAGCTGGACTGCAGTGGCGCTATCCCGGCTCACTGCAAGCTCTGCCTCTTGGGTTCATGCCATTCTCCTGCCTCAGCCTCCCGAGTAGCTGGGACTACAGGCGCCCACCACCACGCCCGGCTAATTTTTTGTATTTTTAGTAGAGACGGGGTTTCACCGTGTTAGCCAAGATGGTCTGGATCTCCTGACCTCGTGATCCGCCCTCCTCGGCCTCCCAAAGTGCTGGGATTACAGGCGTGAGCCACCGTGCCCGGCCTAGGTGATTCTTATTGAAATATCATAAAGGGCAAGTATTGTGACAACTTTTCTCCATGATTAATAAAACAAACAGATAATCTTTATAATACTAATCATTGCTGTTTCTTTATAAAATGTTCTTGATTACTTAAAGTACTAATAAATTAAAAATCAGATTTTTGCAACATGTAGAAGGCTCTTTTAAAAAAACTATAATATTATTCTATATTGTATTTCTGTAGGTATAATATCACATCACCATAATCTGCATGGTCTAATAAAATAATAGACTGTTTCTCAATAAATAGCTTTCCCACAATATGGAAACATTGGCAATGTTTTGTTTTTTTTTTTGTTTGTTTTGTTTTGAGATGGAGTCTCGCTCTGTCACCCAGACTGGAGTGCAGTGGCATGATCTCGGCTCACTACTACTTCCGCCTTCTGGGTTCAAGCGATTCTCCTGCCTCAGCCTCCTGATTAGCTGGGACTACAGGCATGTGCCACTACACCAGGCTAATTTTTTTGTATTTTTAGTAGAGATGAGGTTTCACCGTGTTAGCCAGGGTGATCTGGAACTCCTGACCTTGTGATCCGCCTGCCTCAGCCTCCCAAAGTGCTGGGATTACACGCATGAGCCACCACATCCAGCCGGCAATGTTTTTTAACATGTAGTTTAGTCTTCAGACCCTCTCAAATTACTTACTGAACTAAAGTATGCCTTTTATAAGAAACAACATTCAGTAATATAAAAATAAACTCTCATCTCTTCTTTACTTTCCATTTAATTTAAGGTACATTTTGGAGGACATTCTTGTGCTTACTTCATGTAACCTCACTTGCTTTTAGGTGAATTCAAAATTCTAATGTTAATCCCTTGTATTAGGGTTCTCTAGAGGAACAGAAGTAATAGGATATATGTATATACGAAAGGGAATTTATTAAGGAATATTGACTCGGATGATCACAAGGTAAAATTCCAGGATAGGCTGTCTGCAAGTTGAGGAGCAAGCAAGCCAGTGGTGGTTCCGTCTGAGTCCCCAAACCTCAAAAGTAGGGAAGCTGACAGCGCAGCCTTCAGTCTGTGGCCAAAGGCTCAAGAGCCCCTGGAAAACCACTGGTGTAAGTCCAAGAGTCCAAAAGCTGAAGAACTTGGAGTCTGATGTTCGAGGGCAGGAAGCATCCAGCACAGGAGAAAGATGAAGGCTGGAAGACTCAGTAGTCTGCTCTTCCATCTTCTCCTGCTTCCTCGCTGGCAGCTGATTAGATGGTGCCCACCAGATTGAGGGTGGATCTGCCTCTCCCAGACCACTGACTCAAATGTTAATTTCCTTTGGCAACACCCTCACAGACACACCCAGGAACAATACTTTGCATCCTTCAATCTAATCAAGTTGACACTCAATATTAACCATCTTCTTACTGAGCAGTTAACTCATAATAACACTGCCAAAGAGAACTCTAACAGTTAACAGAAGCGTCGTTTGTTGTCCTAAGTCTGTCATAATATTCTGTATAACCTTTGAAGAAACATTTAAATTTTCCTCTTTCAAGCAATGAAATATGCATTCCTTAAATTGAAAGAACATGAGCTTCCTTGATGCGTTGCCTGACATGGTGGGAAAGGTGAGCCCCTGAGTCGGAGGACTCATCCCGGATCCCATTCTCTCACAGGCTTGTGAAAGCAGAAGTCACCTTCCTTCTGACCTTGGCATGTATCCTGCTTCAAGAATGGAACTGGAGGCATATCTATTCTTATTACAAAGAAAATTTAAGTCATTCTCCTATAGAATTTTAATTTCAATCATTGTTTTAGGAATTTGCAAATATATGGCTTGCTTTGTCTTAACTAATAGAAAAAGTGTCCTTTTTCAAAAAGAGAAGTGTTAATGTAATGATAATAGTAATGACTTCACAGAATGTGTGTTCTGTTCCAAGCACTTTAAGCATATTAACAATTTAATCCTCACAGTAATCCTTGGAGGATGATATCATCCTGATTTTGCAAGTGAGACAACTGAGGCACAGAAAGGCCAAGCCTTATATAGCAGAGCTGGGATTTGAACCCAGGATGTCTGGCTCTTAATGCTGTTAGTTTACATTCTTAACTGTGGGCCAGATGTGTGTAACTGACTATCAAACGTGGTTCTGACACAAAATTCTACATCTAAATTCCAATCTCCATTTTACATTTCTGCTAACCTGACGGGGGAAAAACTTTTATTTTAATATGACCAGGGATCCACATTTTGAAAAATATTGCCAGTGCAGTCCTGACAGCCACTTCTTCATTCTTAAGCACCTGGGAGGAAACTGTTCAGAAGTGGTTGGTTATGAAATGGTAAAATCAGCTCTGCCCTGCTGATGAATCCAGAATAATTACCAATGACTAAGTCCAGCCTCATGACCACTTCTTGAGTGACATTGAGTTTGCATCCTAATTTGAAGTTTACAATTCTGGCAAGATATTGGACAGCTGCAGGGATAATTTTGTTCACAAATATAGATGCAAAATTCTATGCTGCGTTAAAGCTATTTTAAAGAGCATATTTTAGGACTAGTGTTTATTTCCTTGTGTCTAAATTTCCTGTTTTGCATTTGCTTCAGCTAAGATTGTTTTGGGCTAAACTTATCTTCCTACACAGACCCTTGATAGCATGTAAATCAAAATAATCATAGGCATATTTAATTATATGACATTTGTTGTCTCTACACTAAAGTTTTTCTAACATTCTTAAATTTTGTCTACATAATGAATATATTTTTAACAGAAAAAAAAACTATAGGTTTGATTGCCTGCTTATTTAAATAAAAAGAGAAAGAAGAGATAGAAGAACTATGAACTCTTTATTGGTTGCCAAACAATAAAAATACCTTTTTGGGGCCGGGCGCGGTGGCTCACGCCTGTAATCCCAGCACTTTGGGAGGCCGAGGCGGGTGGATCATGAGGTCAGGAGATCGAGACCATCCTGGCTAACAAGGTGAAACCCCGTCTCTACTAAAAAAAATACAAAAAATTAGCCGGGCGCGGTGGCGGGCGCCTGTAGTCCCAGGTACTCGGGAGGCTGAGGCAGGAGAATGGCGTGAACCCGGGAAGCGGAGCTTGCAGTGAGCCGAGATTGCGCCACTGCAGTCCGCAGTCCGGCCTGGGCGACAGAGCGAGACTCCGTCTTAAAAAAAAAAAAAAAAAAAAAAAAAAAAAAAAAAAAACCTTTTTGGGAAAAAAGTAAACCCCATTGTTTCCTTGAATGTGCTTGTTCTTTCAGCTCAGTCCTAAGAGTGGATGATTACTGAGCACAGGGCCCTGAGATGAACTGAGGGACTCGCATCTCATTCAAGCCTCACAAAGCAGTGGAAGGATTAACGTTTTCTTCATTTTATAAAGAGCACACTGAGACTAAGAATGGTTGATTAGTTTGCCCAAGTTCTCAAGAGTAGTAAAATTTTGAGCCGTTAATTTAAAACAGACCATCTGGAGGTAGACTAGAGCTGAGAATGATCTCAATTAAAGGAAGGAATTCTGTCACTTTGTGAAGTTTTATGAAGAGATAAGATAGAAACCAACCTACTGAGTATTAAACAAAAGGCTATTTCCCGAAAACATCCTTCCACATTCATTCTTCAATCAGTAAAATTTTACTACCATTAAGGCAGAAAAAGGGTTAGACACAATTCCTTCCTTCAAGAAGTTTAGAGGTTAATAGGGACACTACAATATTCGTGACATAACTTAAAAGCTACATAAAAACAGTATAGAAAGGTAAAGATTTCTCTGTGAAAGAGGTATAAAAAAGAAAATATTTTCCTCATGGTAAGCTTGAAGTTTCTTCCTCCCTGGGAGGCTTAAAGGAGTCTTCGTGATGGAGATCTAGAATCCATCTTTAGTTGGTTAGTGTGTGCACATATGAGAGGGAAGGCCATGCTGGGCCTGATCCAAGAATGAGGCTGGAAATGGGTGTACTTTTAAGAAAATGAATAAATAAATAAATGATCTTGTTTGCCTAGGAGCCTGCAAGGGACTAATGGAAGCTGTGAATAGAAAGACCCTTTGGAACCAATTTGGAGATGTCCTTGAAAACGAGGGGAGTATAGAATTTTCTCCAAAAGAAGATAAGAAACCTTTAAAGGATTGTATCTGCGGAGGGGCAAGATAGTAACAAAATCTTCGAAGAGGAAATAAGCCTTTACCTCACCGCTGTTCACCTTGTTTGAGGGCTTACCTTTCACAGCATGGGCCCCTGCTCCTGGCCCTCCCCATTGCCTAGGCAGAGTTTCACTCTTAGCCTCTGTCAAGTGTGATCACCAGCTGACTTATCTATATCTTTTTTTTTTTTTTTTTTTTTTGAGACGGAGTCTCACTCTGTCACCCACGCTGGAGTGCAGTGGCGCAATCTCGGTTCACTGCAAGCTCCGCCTCCCAGGTTCACGCCATTCTCCTGCCTCAGCCTCCCGAGTAGCTGGGACTACAGGCGCCCACCACCATGCCCAGCTAATTTTTTGTAGATTTAGTAGAGACGGGGTTTCACCGTGTTAGCCAGGATGGTCTTGATCTCCTGACCTCATGATCCACCCGCCTTGGCCTCCCAAAGTGCTGGGATTACAGGCGTGAGCCACCGTGCCCGGCCATCTATCTCTTCTTATCAGTAATTGGGCAGTCTTGATACTGAGCTTCCCAGCTGTGGACCCACAACTAAATTAATGTAAGACCCAAAGATCTGAAACGCCCTTTAAGATGCCACCCTTGAGAATAAAGAATGTTAGATACCAGCAGAGGTTTATGCAAGAAGAAGATGGAGTGGTGGAGAAAAACTGGGAGTAAGAAAATTAAAGGAAGAGAAAATAATAGAAAAGAACAGTGATCATTTGTATTAAATAATGAGAGTGAAAATAGGGCTAACAGTATTTTACAGGTGTAGTGGATCACAGGTTGTTGACATGTAACCAACAAGAACTGGACGATATGGCTGCAACCCTTTGTCTGCAAAAGCTCACATGTATTGGCTAGTAATGTTCAAGTAATTAAGAGGACATTAATCAGTTAAATATCTATCCACACATGTTTTCTCTAAAAAAATTCAAGTCTCCATTTTTTTTCTGTCTAATACTTCTGACTTCAAGGATAGAATCAAGAGAACTGGGACCAGGAATTGCAACTATTGCAATGAGGCAAATCCCCACAATGTCCCAGGTCAGAGTTGAGAGAGGCAGCTAAACAATGGGACTGTACCCACCTATGACATGACCTTTTAAAACAGCTCTTTTTTTGTGCTTCTTTAGATGGATAGAAGTGAACTTATATCTATGCTTTGATTTTTGCAAAATTCTTAGTCTGTAAAAGATATAGTTGTGACTAGGAGACTAACTCTCATTTGCCTCAGTCCTAAATTCAGTGTGTTCAGTATAACATTGAGGAAATAAAAATCATAATAATGATTTCAGAAGTGACATATTAACTCCATATTTTTGAAAGAAAGTGTGGTCAGGCTCTGTGCTAAAAAAAATTCTACCTACTGATGTTGCAAAAGCGTGTCTTGAGATGATCTTTACAATGAAAACTAGATTTCTGTGAATGTGCAATGACTTTTGGGTCCTTTTCTTTTCATATTCAAATATTATTTCCCTTCTGTGATATTTCCCCTTATTTATGGGTTTCTTTAATCATATGCATATATTTTTTATGTTGAAACCTAGTAAAGGTATAAGCTTTTGTTTCATTTTTAGCATGAACCTAAGAAGCTCTTCCATCATGATCTATGGCTTTCATTATTGATTCTGTTTATAGACAGGATATAAATATAATATGAAAATCAAAAACAAGTTTTAAACAAAAATTGTTTTTAAAATTAGATTTTTCTCTTCAACTTAAATATTTTACCCTTCCAAAGGGTGAGGGAAGGGGGAAAGATGAAAGTGGCAGAATTAATGTAGAAATAAAATGTTTGGAGCAGAGCTTGGGCTTTTTCCCATAGAGTGAATACTAAATTTTATCAGTATAATGATCCATCACAGTTTAAAGAAGCAACACATTTTCCAATTACAATGATAACTTTTAACATATCTAACATTTTAACATCTCTGTATCTTCTAATATATTAGACTTGAAAAATTCTGTAGTGATTGCTTGTCTCAGCATTTTGCAAACATCATCCTTGCTGTACCAAAACAGAGTTCGCCAGTTTTGGAAAGATGTGTGCGTGGCTGAACCTCTTCTGGGACTGGACAACGGACAGCAACTACTATACGTGCAAGTAGTTGTTCTCTGGTGAGCTGAAACAGTTACTCACATCACTTCCCATGCTCTGAGGTTCAGATGAGGAGCGCTGGTAGAGAAAGGCAGCTCTAGATCTTTGTAAGAAGGTAATAAGACACGAAACTGTGCCCTTCAATGGAAAGTATTAATATAATACATCTCTCCAAGGAAGGGCTGACAATGGGAGTTGAAAGCCACCAGACAGTAAGTGGCTCTCAAAATGAGTGGGAAGGTAGTTACACAAAGTTGGTGCCCCCATACTTGTCTGGAGGCCTAGCTGAAGAACCAATCCTAGCATGCCCCTCCAATCATCGTGGCCACTCTAGGAACCAGCCCTAGCCACAGCCCTACTAGGCAAGAGTTGTCATGCTTCTTTTACAAACTTCGAGTAGACTTAAAGTTTTCCTTTTGTCTTCTTCACCAGAGAAAGAAAAAGTTTACTTTTGGACAGGTTGCATTAAAGCACTTTAGATATTCTCTTTTCTCTGGTGGAAGCCCGTATCTTAGGAGACATGGGGAACCTGCTGCTGGCTCACCTGTCACAGAACTGGATCATGAAGCTTTCATCTGGTTTTTCCCAGGTGGGCATTTTAAATTTCTGCTTCAAAGTCTGTCTTTGTACTTTTAATAAATAAGACATTTGTACTGATGGAATCTGCAAGACAGGCTTGAAGGAAAAAATAAATGTCTCAAAGTGAAAGTCAGTTTCTTTTTACATGAACAGTCATGTAAAAAATGTATTAAAAATAGCCTTTTTGACTTGGAGATCTATTATGTTCAGTAGCTAAACTATAACACAGAAGACCACATGGAGCACATACATGAAATATTGTTGAGGTGGCCATTTGGAGTCCTGGGTTCTAGTAAGGACTCCACTTCAATTGGCCGCATGATCCAAGGACGGGCATATCACTTCTCCAGGACTTAGGGTCTTCATCTCTAAAGTGAAGGCTGAACATAACAGGTACCCTTAAAGCTGCAAAGCATCACACAACATTTCACACCTGTTTACCTTCTCATTCTCTTAGATAACACTTTTTCTCTCTTTTCTCTTTCCTCAAAATGCCAGTGTCTCTTCTCCCAGTCTCATTCTTAGCTCCCTACTTCACCAGAAAACTGAGGCAATCAAAAAAGAATGTCCATGAGCTTCCAACATCACATTGGCTTATGGCTCTGATCTGAATGTGTCTCCTCCATAATTCAGGTATTGAAACTTAATGGCCAATGTGACAGTATTAAAAGATGGGCCTTTAAGGCCATGCGGGCTCCTCCCTCATCAAAGGGATAAAGGTCTTTCTAAAAGAGGCTTCACACAGCGTCTGGCCCTCTTGCCATGCTACCTTCTGCCAGGTGAGAATGCAGCGAAAAGGACCTCACCAGATGCCAAAAGGACCTCACTGTCTCCTTGATCCTGAATTTGTCAGCCTCTAGAACTGTGAGAAAATTAATTTCTTTTCTTTTTTTTTTTGAGACAGAGTTTCGCTCTTGTTGCTCAGGCTGGAATGCAATGACACAATCTCGGCTCACTGTAACCTCCGCCTCCCAAGTTCAAGGGATTCTCCTGCTTCAGCCTCCCAAGTAGTGGGCATTACAGTTGTGCGCCACCACGCCTGGCTAATTTTGTATTTTTAGTAGAGACAGGGTTTCACCTTGTTGGTTAGGCTGGTCTCTAACTCCTGACCTCAAGTGATCCACTGCCTTGGCCTCCCAATGTGCTGGGATTACAGGCATGAGTCACTGCACCCAGCCAATTTCTTTTCTTTACACATTACTCAGGCTGTGGTATTCTGTTATAATAACACGAATAGACTGAGACCAAAATTGATACCAGGAGAATGGAGTGTTGCTACAACAAATACCCGAAAATGTAGAAGCAGCTTTGGAACTGAGTAATGGGTAGAGGCTGGAACCGTTTTAAAGGGAATGCTGAAAAAGCCTGTATGGCCCAACATGGCACATTAAGGGTGATTCTGGTGAGGGCTCAGAACAAAAGGAGAGCTGTAGGGAAAGCCTGAACCTTCTTAGTTTATCTTAGACAAGTTCTTATATTATCTCAGTGGTTGTGACGAGAATACTGGTAGAAATATGGACAGTGAGGGCCTTTATTATGGTATCTTAAAGAGAAATCAGAAACACCTTACTGGAAACTGGAAGAAGGCCATCACTGTTACAAAGTAGCCAAGAAGTTGGCTGAATTATGTTCCTGCCTCAGTATTTTGTGGGAGGTAGAACTTAAGAGTGATGAACTAGGATACTTGATGAAAGAAATCTCTAAGCAGCAAAATGTTGAAGGAATTGCACGGCTTCTCTCAACTGCTCATAGCAAAATGCAAAAAGAGAGAAATGACTTAAAGATGGAATTTATAATCAAAAGGGAAGCTCTCACATGTAAAGAATGTAAAGATTTGAAAAATTCTCAGCCTGGCCATGTAAATAATAAAAAAGCATGTTTAGTAGAGAAAACCAAGGGTGTGCCCAGTTGACAGTCCGATAAGCAAATTAGTGTGAATAGCAGGAAGCCAGGAGCAATTTATCAAGATAATGAGAAAATGACCCCAAAGACATTTCAGAGATCTTTGAGGCCACCACATTCTTCACAGGCAGAGTGCTAGGGCCTTGGGGGCTGAACAGGTTTGAGGGAGGGGCCCAGGGTGCCCATGGGAACTTGGGGCTTACCATCCAGGGCCGCCTCAAATCTCTGCTCCCTGCATTCTGGCACAGTGCTCCTTGGCTGCCCCAGCTATGGCTCAAGCAGGCCCAGGTGTGACTCAAGTCACTGCTTCAGGAGGTATAGGCCATAGCACTTGGCAGCACCCATGTAGTGCGAACTCTGCAAGTGCACAGAGTTCAGGAGCTTTGAAGGCCTAGCTTCCTCCCCTAGGTTTCAGAGAATGCCACAGAGTGTCTCCACCAGAGGAATACACAGTGGAGCTGTGTGAGTGGGGCCACCTCAGAGAGTACTCACTAACACAAAATCTAGTGGAACTATGGGGGTAGGGCCATGCTGGAGACCTCCACATTTTAGAGTCACCAGGATGCAATGCCAGCGTGAAAGAGCTGCAGGTAGGAGACTCCAACCCATGAGGGCTGTGGTGTGGGCTGTGCCCAGCAAAGCTATGGGGTTGTGGCCTTTGGAGCCTTGGGGATCCAACCCCTGCCCCAGTCTGCCTTGACGGTAAAACATGAGTCAAATAAAATTATTTTCAAGCCTTAAGATCTAATGTTGTTTGCCCTTTTGGGTTTTGGATTTACTCAGAACTTGTTACCCCTTTCTTTTAGCCAATTTCTGCCTTTCAGGATGGGAATGTCTATCCCACACCTATACCACCATTGTGTTTTGGAAGCTAATAACTTATTCGACTTTGCAGCCTCATTGCTGGAGGGAAATTTGCTTCAGGATGAATTGTTCCTTGAGTCTCACTCATACCTGATTTACATAAACCTCTGGACTTTAGACTTTTGAGTTGTTGTTGGAATGAATGAAAACTTTTGGGGCTATTGGGATGGAATTAATAATGTATTTTGCACATGAGAAGGATATGAATTTTGAGTGGCCAGAGAAGAATGCTATGATTTGAATGTATTTCTGCCAAAATTAATATGTTGAAACTTAATGAAGAATGTGATCATATTGAGAGGTGAGGCCTTTAAGAGGAATTAGGCCATGAGGATTCCTCCTCCATGAATAGGATTAAGGACTGTCTTAGTCCATTTTATGCTGTTACACAGAATACCACAGACTGGGTAATTTATAATAAATAGAAATTTATTGGCTCAGTATTCTGGAGCTGGAAAGTCCAAGATCAAGGGGCTGACTCCTGCCTAGGGCCTTCATGTGTGTCCTTTCATCGTGAAGGGCATAAAAAAGGGGTGAGAGAGAAAAAAGCAGGCCAAATAGGTCCTTTTATAGGGAGCCCACTCCCACAATAGCAGCATTAATCCATTTATGAAGGCAGAGCCCTCATAGTGTAATCACCTCTTAATACTATTTTAATGATAATTAAGTTTCTAACACATGATTTTTGGGAGGACACATTCAAACTGTAGCAAAGCCCTTAAAAAACAGGCTAAATGCAGCATTTGGCTCTCTTGCCCTTCTGCCTTCTGTCATGTGCACAGGCAGCAAGAAGGGCCTCACCAGACATCAAATTCTGGCATCTTGATTTCGGGCTTCACAGTTTTTATACCTGTGAAAAAATTAATCACCCAATCTGTGGTCATCTGTCACAGCAGCACAAAATGAACAAAGACACTTACCCACCAGTACCTACACCCTCAGAGTCTGCCTTCTCACCTTTTAACTTTTAACCTTTTAACTACCCTTACACATATACAAAGCTCATACTTCAACTATTCAAAAATAGAAGTCGCAAGATTAGCTCACCTCTGGCCTTTGGATTTTTCCTTGGAAGATTCTATTAGCATCCAGTCCTGCTATATTCCCTATCCTTAAGGGCACGACAACAATAGAACACAAACAAAAAGAAACTTTTCTTGGCTTTACTTTCTCTGCGAGCTCCTGTCCCATTTCTATTCTCTTTTGCAACACAATTCCTTGAAGGAGTTATCCACACTCTTTTAAAATATTTTTCTCTGTTATTCTTGTAAACACAGTCCAATCAGATTTTTCAGCACTCCCCCTACACTGCTCTTGTCAAAGTGTCCAACAAACCTCACATTGCTAAAATCAGTGGTCAACTCTCAATTCTCACATTACTCACACTATCTGCAGCATCTGATATAATTGATTACGACTCTTCCTTGTTAATTTTTTTCTTGTTTCAGTCAGTCTTTTGGCATTAGTTCCATCCATATGCCACTGACTTCCAAATGTGGCTCTCTTAGCCAACACCTCTCTCCCAAACTGCAAACTAAAATTCCAAAAGGCTTATTTGACTCTTTTTAGATGTCTTAGAGATATCTCAAACTTATCAATGTTCAAACCTGAACTCCTGATCTTTGCATTCAAAACTTTGTTTACCTGTAAACTTCCTAATCTCATCTGGTGGAAACTCAATTCTCACACTAGCTTACACCAAATATTTAAGAGTCAGACTCATTTGATGGTCTCTTATGAGCTCACACTTGCAGTTTCACTCCTATGGAGCTCAGCCAGGGCTAGAACTTCCATTATGGTTTAAATCATATGGCTGGTAGTTGTGCTGACTACTGGCTGACTCTGGGGCTCTGTTCTCCTCCGTCAGTCTAGCTTAGCTTTCTATCAGCATGGCAGCTGCATTCCAAGACATAAAAAATGGAAGGTGTGGGGATTCTTGAAGTTTTGTCTTTGGAGTTGCACATTGTCATTTCTACCACATGATATTGGTTAAAGCAACTCATAAGATTAGTCCAGATTTAAGGGGAGGTAAGATAGAGTCTATGTCTTGATGGAAAAGTGGAAAAGTCATATTGCAAAAGGGCATGTAAGATAGAATGGAGTGTTGCAGTCGTCTTTGGAAACAATCGACCGTATAGGACATCTTCAAATTACAAAATAAGCTACTTGCCCTAGAATGTGCCCTCTTTCCCCTTCTGTTACAAGCACATGACCCAGCTGTGATTAGGCAGATATGGACCATACCCTAGGGCATGGAATAGCAAAAAGTTGAAAGAAACCTGTACTTGGATAATCATGCAAAGCTGAGTTGCTCATCCCATGACTGTTAGGTAAAGACAAAAAACTTTCTTCCATCTCCGTTTCTACCCGTTCCCTTTCACCCTCACCCCTTGTATCTTTGATGTTCCCTGAACTGGCCAGGCACTCTCCAGCCTTAGTCCTTTTAATTGTTCTGTCCACCTGAAACATTCTTTCCACAAATATCTACAGAGCTCGCTTCTTCACTTCATGCAAGGGTTTATTTAAATATCACCCACTTAATAAAGTATTTTTGACCACACTTTTTAAAATAAAAATCCATGACTAATGAAGACTGACACACATTTAGTCCTTTGAACAATATCTAGATAAAAATGTCTGTGGAGTGAAAAGAATAAATGCTGACTTTGCTGTTCACTGGTTTTCTTCAGGAAAGTCTCATTATTTCTCAGACTACTTCATCAGAAAATGGAGATAACAATGGCTTTCTTTTACGGTCATTGTGAAACTTAGATGGCCCCGTGTTTGAGAAGTCCTCCTTATGAGGTCGCCCTCATGATTGCTCTTCACTTGAGTTCAGGCTCCCGCTCTTTGTCACTCCCCTTTGTGGAGACAGACAGACTTTCTGGAGCTGACTAACCTTGACTAACCTCTCACTACCCAACCCACATCTGGCTACAGGGGAAAGAACATTGTCACAGGAACTAGGCTGGTTGTACCATCCCCACAAGAGTGTATTCAGATTCTTCTTGAGAAGAGTCTAGAATTGCACCAGAACTCTGATCCCCAGCCCAAAAGCTTGCATCAATGTGGTATTTTTATAAACATGTACATACTGAAATGACTACCATAATCAAGCTAATTAGCATATCCATCACCTCACATATTTACCTTCCTTTTTTATTGTATGAGAACTCTTAAGATCTATTCTCTTAGCAAATTCCAAGTATACAATACAGTATTATTAACAATAGTCACCATGCTGTACATTAGATCTCCAGGACTTATTTCTCTTGCATAACTGAAATTGGACTCTTTACTCAACGTCTCCCAATTTCCCCTACCCCCAACCCCTGGCAAACATTACTCTATGCTCTGCTACCTGGATATTTTGTCTCTCTACGTACATTTTAGATTGCACAAAATAATTTGCTGTTGTAATGAATGGCATTGCACTGGATCCACAAATCAAGTTAGGAAGACATCTTGACAACATTGAGTCTCTCTATCCATGTATATGGAATAGCTCTCCATGTATTTAGTTCTTTGATTTCTTTCATCAGCTTTATAGCTTTCCTCATACAGATCTTATACAAATTTGGTAGATGCATACCTATGTTTTTAATTTCTAGGGGTGCTAATGTAAATGATATTCTGTTTTTAATTTCAAATTCCACTTGTTTATTGCTGATGTATAGGAAAGTGATTGATTTTTGGATATTAGCTGTGCTCTTATTTTTATTTCCCTCATTTTCCTTGTTTTGAATTTACTTTGTTCTTCTTTCTTATTTCTTGAGTAGGAACTTAAGAGTATTGACTTGAGGACACAAATGATGCTGAATAGCCAAAACAATATTTAGCAAAAAGAACGAAGCTGGAGGCATTATACTCCCTGATTTCAGAACATGTTATAAAGTGATATTAATTAAAACCACATAGGTACTCCTATAAAAACAGACACATTGACCAATGGAACAGGATAGAAAGCCCAGAAATAAACCCAGCCACTTGATTTTTGACAAAGGTTCCTAGAACACACAGTGGGGAAAGCACAGCTTTCTCAATAAATGCTGTGGGAAAAACTGAGTATCTGCATGTAGAAGAATGAAATGAGATCCTTATATCATACCATATACAAAAATTAACTCTAAATTGATGAAAGACTTAAATATAAGACTTGAAACTGTAAAACTATTACATGAAAACAGAGAAAATGATCCAAGATATTGGTTTGATCAGCAATTTTTTTGGATATAACCCTGAAAGCATAGGGAACAAAAGCAAAAATAAACAAATGGGATGACATCAAGATTAACTATCTTAATTATATTATTTGATGAATAGAAGTCATTAATTTATAGAAGTTCAATTTAATAAACTTTAAAAATATTTGGTGTCTTTTTGGTCCTATTTAAGAAATCTTTGCCTATCTCAAGGTCATGGAAGATATTTTGTACTTTTTTGTTATAGAATTTGTATTGTTTTTACTGTCTAAGCTTCCACATTGTGGCCTATGATCCATCCTGAATAAATGTTGCTAAAAATTAAACTTTGACTTAGCTTACTATAAATGATATTTATATTTATGTATTACATAATTTATTTACATATTCTCATATGTAATACATATTATTTTACTATAAACACTATAATTAAGGCAGAATAGATAGTTTAGATACATATTCATGAAGATGCCACTTCCATTCAACGGACAAAAGGATAGTCTTTTCAATAAAATTTACTAGGTCAGTTAGATATCTGTAGATGTGGTGGGTAATTTTGTCTTTAAACTTGGCTGGGCCACAGTGCCCAGATATTTGGTCAAACATTATTCTGAATGTTTCTGTCAAGATTTTTTCATTTGGATAAGAATAATACATAAATCAGTGGACTTAGGGTATGCACATTACCCTCCATAGTGTGGATGGGCCTTCTCCAATCAGTTGAAAGACTTAATAGAGCAAAGACTGGCCGGGCACGGTGGCTCACGCCTGTAATCCCAGCACTTTGGGAGGCTGAGGTGGGCAGATCACGAGGTCAGGAGATAGAGACCATCCTGGCTAACACGGTGAAACCCCATCTCTACTAAAAATACAAAAAATTAGCCGGGCGTAGTGGCAGGCACCTGTAGTCCCAGCTACTCAGGAGGCTGAGGCAGAAGAATGGTGTGAACCTGGGAGGTGGAGCTTGCAGTGAGCTGAGATGCCACTGCACTACAGCCTGGGCGACAGAGCAAGACTCTGTCTCAAAAAATAATAATAATAATAATAATAGAGCAAAGACTGACACTTCCTGAGCAAGGAGGAATTCTGCTAGTAGACTGCCTTTGGAGTCAAACTGCAACTCTTCCCTGGGTCTCGAGCCTGCTGGCCTAACCTGTAGATTTTGGATTAACCAAGCCCTTACAATTGTGTAAGCCAATTTTAAAAAATAAATCTCTTGATATAGATAGGTAGATAGATAGATAGAAGGACAGATAGACATTCTGCTTTTCTGCTGGTTCTCTTTTCCTGGAGAACCCTGACTAATACAATTCGGAAAAACACGTATCTTGACCTGCACTTCACCATGCACAAAAATTAATTTAAAATGAATCATAGTATCCTGCTCATTTTTAATTCTTCAGATAAAAATTTACCTACTATATCTTTAGAATAAACTTTTAATAAAAGTTAATTAAAATTAAGTTTTAATTTTATTTTTATGTTTTTTTCTCTCCCTTGTGAAACAGTAGTACACTTGAAAACAGGAGAATTTTTTTTAATGTTACCAACGCAGTTCCTGGTAACAAATTTTTAGAGGCTACTATGTGTCAGGCTCTGTGATAAGCATTTTAAGCACTTTACTTCCATAAGTCCTCGGAATAATCATACCCTCTTATGTAAGTATTATTATGACCACCAAATCACAGATAAGAAAACAAGCATTAGAGAGAAATTAAGTCCAACTGATTCTAAATGCAGGACGCTTGTACACTAGGTCTCCCTACATGGCTCCTCAATAAATAAATTCATTAAGAAATAAGAAGGGGCTGAGCGCAGTGGCTCAAGCCTGTAATCCCAGCACTTTGGGAGGCCTAGGCAGGCAGATCACGAGGTCAGGAGATCGAGACCATCCTGACTAACATGGTGAAACCCCATCTCTACTAAAAACACAAAAAAATTAGCCGGGAGTGGTGGCGGGCGCCTGTAGTCCCAGCTACTCGGGAGGCTGAGGCAGGAGAATGGCATGAACCCAGGAGGCAGAGCTTGCAGTGAGCCGAGATCGCGCCACTGCACTCCAGGCTGGGCGATAGAGCAAGACTCCATCTCAAAAAAAAAAAAAGAAAGAAGATGGGCTTAAAGTTTCATAAAATATCAGTCATATGAGAATAAGGAAAAGGAAAAAAGAATGTAAATGAAAGATAAAGACAGAGAACAAGAAGAAAACACAGCGGAGAATCAGAAATAAAGAAGATTGTTGAAAGAAGAGAATATATTACTATATTTATTTATTGAATATATTGATTAGGCTCTGTTCTAGGTGGCGGGATAAAGATAGATGTATTATCTATGTAAATAATATATAAATAATAAATATATATTACATAATTTATAAACAAGATAAATTATCTATTTATAGTCCAATCATGAAGATGGCACATTAATACCTGACAATAACAGGTAGAAATAGAGCCAGTGAAGATGAGACAGAAAGCATCATAAGGATCGGGAAACACAAGGACAACATGGAATGGGCTGGTTTTGGAGTTTTAACTCTGCCTCAAGAAGTTATGGTACTTGCCTAAGCAAAGAGGTGGAAGTCTTACAGAAAAGGAAAATATGAACGGACATAGCTGAGTGTTGGAAGAAAAGATGAGGGTTGAGCTAAGTTGAGCTGCCAGGGTAGAGAGTAGGGCAGAAGTTAATTTCCAACAAGGTGCTCAGAAGGATCTGATCATGGAAAGTCTGGGTTTTATAGATTTCATCCTTTTAACAGAGGAGCAGCTAAAGCAGACCTTTCCTTTGGGACGATTGTCAGGACGGAGGACACAGGGTCCGTTAGAGAAGGGTAACAGAAGTGACGAATGACCATGGAAGCTTATGGGTGGTTTAGGCATAAGGTAACCAGGGCCTGAGACCAGAGAAATTCCAGCAGCAAGAGAAATAAGAGAAAATAGAAATGGGAAGTATAGGAAAAGGAAACATTTTAAAGCTCTTATTCCATCTTTGGGCGAGGTTATACGTATACGGTCTAGAGTTTTTTCTCTTGTTGATGGTGAAAGGGAATAAACAGCATGAAACTCACCCTGGAGGCTAAGATAGTTTGACTCAGAGTTCCCCCCACCGCTTGACCTTTCATGACCCTGGGTACACACTAACTCTGAAGTTAGTGGGCAAGGTGGGCAGGGGCTCATGGACTCCATAAAATCCATCTGACTGTTAGCTCTGTCTTTCACCAGGTGGGGGGGCCAGGGGCTGTGGCTTAACCTCATTGTGCCTCAGCCAATTCTTCTGCATGTAAAATGAGGATATTCACTATGTGGCCATTGTGAGATGATCCATGAAAACCTGTGTAGCACTGAGCACAGTGTTCTCAGTAAATGCTGAGCCCTAATACCCAATATACCCACAGCTCCATGCATGTGCTCCTTAGCAAGCATACGCAGACAGCTTGGCTTATCTGCTTGTGTCACATTATAAAAGTTGGCTTCCTGGTTATTTCTACAGTGCAGCCCATAATACCGATTTCCTTAAGAGCAAAAAAAAAAATGCCTTATTTCTTTCCTCAAAAATGAGAATTGGCCTTTTAAAACTTTTCCTCAAATGACAGGACTGGTGCTGTAAATGCTTATGAAGACTGGTCCCTTTGCATGTACGGGCTTATCTTCCTGAAGATATGAAGCTGTGGCTAGCTGCTTTCTTCTGTTTCCTAACGACCACAGAATGCACAAAGTAGAGGTGCAAGTGGAAGCTGCAAAGAGCTCTACAACCTCTGTCAAGGTGCTTGTCCTTGCCCAAGCTATTACTGTTCTTGGTGGAGATTATTCCCCGCTGATCTAAAATATGCTCTAAGGCCAAGGTGGGCGGATCACACGAGGTCAGGAGTTCGAGACCAGCCTGGCCAATATAATGAAACCACATTTCTGCTAAAAAATACAAAAATTAGCTGGGTGTGGTGATGCACACCTGTAATCCCAGCTACTCGGGAGGTTGAGGCAGGAGAATCGCTTGAGCCCAGGAAGTGGAGGTTGCAGTGAACCAAGATCACACCACCGCACTTCAGCCTGGGTGACAGAGAGAGACTCCATCTCAAAAAAAAGTAATAATAAATACATCATAAAATATGCTCTAATGTTGGAGCCAAAGGTCAGCACTGTCACTACACAAAGCCTCACTTTGAGTAGAGATGCCTGCTGCTGCTATTTCTTGGGACATGAGCATTCTTTAACTGAGTTTAAAAGTTCTTGAATTATAAATGGATAGAAATACAGCTTCACAGAGGTATGCTCATAAAGGAGTCTTCACACTTGAAGATACAGTGGACACATACACACACGCACACACACACACGTTTAGAGAAGTTCCCTTAATCAATCTGACAGCATGTAGTTATAAAAAACACAAATTGGCCGGGCGCGGTGGCTCACGCCTGTAATCCCAGCAGTTTGGGAGGCCGAGGCGGGTGGATCACGAGGTCAGGAGATCGAGACCATCCCGGCTAAAACGGTGAAACCCCGTCTCTACTAAAAATACAAAAAATTAGCCGGGCGTAGTGGCGGGCGCCTGTAGTCCCAGCTACTTGGGAGGCTGAGGCAGGAGAATGGCGTGAACCCGGGAGGCTGAGCTTGCAGTGAGCCGAGATCCCGCCACTGCACTCCAGCCTGGGCGACAGAGCGAGACTCCGTCTCAAAAAAAAAAAAAAAAAAAACCACACAAATTTTATGAGGTGACGGTACAGCTTCTGCTTCCCTATATACTATACCTCTGGAGAACGAAGAGCACTGAATACTATATTTTTACTTTCTATGTTTGGAACTACACTTATTATCATGCCATTACTCAACAAACATGCATCACAATGTCCCCATACCACCATGAATGGGCACAAATAACCCCATCCTATTGTGGTGGGGTTAATTTTTTAGGACAGCAGGTGCTGTCCACTGTTAAGAGCGTCAGTTTGCCTGATTTTTTCAAGTTTATTCTCCAAGAGCCTTTCACTCAGGTTGGGTCTGCAAAGCACCAGCAAGTCCAACAACTCAACCAAATGTCTACAGCTGCGGGTGGCAGATAAGTATAGCAGCTAACCCAAAGCAAATAAAAACAACTCCTAGGGGAAATAAGAGGGATGCTGGGAGGGCTTTTTATTTGAGTGCCACTGTGGTCTTACTGATTTGAGTGCCCACTTGTTTCAGAATTTAGGGTGTGGGAGTGACCAAGGAGCACAGTGACTAGAGGAAACTAGAAACAAAATAGACATTGTTCACTTTGGTTGCTAAATTTAATATGTCCCTATTGCACTTTTTGTTTTGGGAAATTTTTCCAACATTAAGAAAAGCCCTTTTAAAGAAGAGTGTTAAAACATTGGTTACATGAGAACCAAGGAGGATTCACCTTACAAGGTGAAATTATGTGTTTTATTCAATTTTCACACTACTATAAAGAAATACCTGAGACTGTGTAATTTATAAATGAAAGAGGAGTTTTTTGTTTTGTTTTGTTTTCACTCAAAATTCTTCAGTTTTTACAAAACTAACAGGGTGGAGTGGGGAGGCTGGGGGGCAGGCAGCCTCAGGAGTAGGGCTGGTGAGAGGCGCTATGCTTCTGTCTCCACCTGAGACTGGCTCCCTGCCGTGTTGCTCTTCCACTCCGCCTTCATCTCTGTGTCAGTGGGATGGTCTCCTGAGCAAGCCTCTGCCTTGGCCTTGTTCTCCTCCTCAGCCAGCCTCTCAAACATTTTGGCATAGAACTTCTTCCGGGCAAGCTGCCTGTGGATCCGCTGCTGACACACAGCCAGCTGGGCCCTGGCGGCTTTGTTGTTGGGGTAGAGCTGCAGGACCTTCTGGAAGTCAGCCCATGCCAGTTCAAAGTCATTCACCGCCAGGTGGGCCTCTCCCCGGCGGAAGGGGCCCTTCTCGTTGTTGCTGTCCAGTTCTAGGGCCTTGTTACAGCTTTCAATGGCAGCAGAGAAGGCCTGTAGTTTCAGCTGACACATGGCCAGGTCGAGGTGAGAGGCCAGTGGAGGGGCCTGTGCCTTCTGTGCTTCCTCATTGGAAAAACTAGACATATTCCAGCCAGGACACAATCTTCTTACACTGTAGTAAAGCTTGCTTGTATTTGCCTTCCTTGAAGTACACACTGCCCTGCTCTTTCACTACGGTGTTCTGTTCCAGCTTCTCTTCTGAAATCATCTCCCAAGATTCCTTGGCCTTTTCAAAACTCTTGAGATATAATTCATATTTCAGCTCGGCATTTGGTGGGATTTGGAACTTTTCCTTCCCAACACTGCCAAAAGCATAGCTGGGCTTGAGGTACACAGTGGAATGTTCTCCTTTCTCCAAGTGCTGAATGGCCCTCTCGAGATCATAAGGCAGATCCAGGTTCTCCCCCTCACTAACCTCAAAGCGGAGCGCCCGTTGGTCAAAGAGCTGGTCCTTGCAGCACCCTTCCAGCGCAACCTCCACCATAGCGCCCTCATCGGGCTTGACATAGCCTTCACCGTGAGTCCCTATTCTGCGGATGATTCCCCCATCTTTCAAACACAAGCGTGGCGTTATGGGGAGATCGTTGGAGGACTGTCTGCTGAACTCTAGGCATATTCTGGTTTGCAGGTGATGTGGCCCACCTCCCCCACCTTCATGGTTGCTACGGCAATGTCCCAAGCCTTGATGACCTCCCCTTTTCCCAGGTCAAAGGAGAATTTGTCCTTGCGATCCACACTGGAGTCAAACTTTGTGCCCTCTAACAGCCAGCCAGTGTAGTGGACAAAGACTAGGTCCCCAGTCATGGGCATCTCTGTACCTGTGCCCTCTGTCTTGATGACTTTCAGCACTCCTTCATCCTGTTTGGGGCTGACATCCACTTCCTTCTTGGGCAGCGGCACCGGCTGCGCCGCACTCTCGGTCGCCTTCATCTCCTTGGCTGTCATCTCTGCGTGGCGCGAAATTTTTCCGGGAGATGGCGCAGGCGCGAGTGCACTCTGGGCCGCAGGCGGGGGCGCTACCTGCAGGGCATGCGGGAGGACGGACACTACCGCGCTGACTGCTGACCGCGCGGAGGCTGGAGCACCTCTCAGGAAACAGGTTTAATTGACACAGTTCCACGTGGCTGGGGAGGGCTCAGGAAACTTACAATCATGGCAGAAGGCAAAGGAGAAGCAAGTATCTTCTTCACGAGGCAGCAGGAAAAAGAAAACAGGCGAAACTTCCTCTTACAAAAAAACCATCAGATCTCACAAGAACTCACTCACCAGCACCAGCACAGCATCGGGGAAACTGTCCCTGTGATCCGACCACCCCCCACCAGGTCCCTCCTTGGACGTGTGGGGATTACAATTCGAGATGAGATTTGGATGGGGACAGAGAGCCAAACCATATCAGTATGTCTATTCAGAAAAATGTTTATACATATATATATATATATATATATTTTTTTTTTTTTTTTTTTTTTCAGAGTGTTACTCTGTCACCCAGGCTGGAGTGCAGTATCGCGATCTCGGCTCACTGCAACCTCTGTCTCCCGGATTCAAGCGATTCTCCTGCCTCAGCCTCCAGAGTGGCTGGGATTACAGGCGCCCACCAGCACGCCCAGCTACATATACATATATGTATTTTTAGTAGAGACAGGGTTTCACCATGTTGGCCAGGCTGGTCTTGAACTCCTAACCTCAGGTGATCCGCCAGCTGGTGTAAGCCACTGAGCCTGGCCAGAAAAATGTTATTTATATTCTAATGGTACCAACTTCAATACGCTTTATCACTCTGAACCACAGTTTTTTAATTTAATAAGGAAAATTGGGTAGAAAAATATATTAAAATATATATTAATCTATCAAATACTACACAAAGACAAGTCTTTAAATGGGTTGGGCAATATGCTGAAGTTGATCACCAGTAAAACGTTGAGTAACCCCTCCATAGAATTCCCATAGAAATCTCTTCGTTACCATAAACCTAAGATCATTGCTCTCTCTCACTACCACAGGGATGTGATTTTAGCATTTGTATCCAATTTACCGGTAGCCTAAGCCATCAGTGAGATATTTGGCATTCTGTATCTAAGCCTGTTCCCTCACCACCACACTTCTTCATTTCTCTTGGTTCTATTCTATCTGTAGAAGACACTGAAAAGTGACGAGATGTGCTGTTGAAAATCTGTTTCAAAATCATACACTCATTGCTCACTAAATATTAGCTCTTCAGTCCCCTGGAGGTACCTGGGATCAGTCTCTCCCGCCTCTCTATGTAGAAGAGGGAGGGGTACTCTGACTGTTGGGCAGTTGTATATTCTCTCGGTTTTCAAAAATGTCTACTAATTAAATGCCATTGGACATGTGCTCCTACTTCCTGTGGGGGATGAGACACAGTGTGACACAAAAGACAAAATGTCCTTTCTGTACGTTATTATGTCGCTTTGTTCATATTCTGTGACCCTACACATTTATAATGTCACCTTTACCTTTCATTATGTTCATATGTGCACACTATATTCTGAGACCCCTCATTTCATTGTTGATTTGTCCATTTCTGAACAAACAGCAGTTTTAATTATTTTAACTTCAGACTTTTCAGTACGAAAAGTCATATCTGATTTTTATCTTGCTTGAAAATGCTTCTTACTCGTATTCTCCTCAGGATGAAATTCCCCTCATCCCGATACTCAGTAACCTCATTCATTCCATCCATTCCACCTGACTTTCTCCCCATCTATTAGCTCCTGCTGTATTCGTTTCTCATCTTATCAAGCTTAGGAAGAATATCGTCCATTATTTACCATTTCCTCTCTTGTATCATTAGTCAAAACTGTGTTTCTCCAAGTGTGGTCCATGAAACTATTGCCTCTGAATTACCAGGGGTACTTGCTAAAATGCATATTCCTAGGCCCCATTCAATCTGGAATGAATGAAGCTTGAAATCTGCAAATGGAATATGCGCCTCTGAAGTACATTATCATTTGATAGCTGCTTCCCTAGCCTCTCTGCCCATCGCATGGCATCACTCTCACAAACCCTGACTCAGGATGAACCTGCCTTTCTGCCTTCTTATGGCCTTTAACTAACTGGGGTGAGTGGTGTGACTGAACGAGCATTCACCACAATCCACTTCAACAGGCTTCAAACACCACTGATAATCCTGATACAGAAGTCAGCATCTGCCACACATTCTCCCTATCAGCAGTGACCCAAGTGTTCAGTCCCAGCCAGTACCTCACTTCACTTATATTAAGTTTCCTTTAATGGGCCACTGTTGCTCTTTTCTCCCAATACTTGTGAGTCTGAGACACCCTAGTTTATCAAACATGTTCTAAATGGCACTGAAGCTCAAAGAGAAATGGTCTGGATGCCACTTCCCTTCTGCACAAATGGCTCTTTTATATCTCTATAAATTTGCAAATGAAAAATAGATACTTCTAGAAGCAGGAGCAACCTCACTTATCAGACCATTGATAAGACAAACATAGTTACAACCATCCCCTGAACCATGCATTGGGCACTTGCCTTATACCTGTTATCATGAGAGGTACTGTCCAAGTGGTTCATGCCAGAGAAAAAGAGAGTTTTCCCAATGTAAATGAAATTAACCTCTAAGGATTTAATACTTCTAGTAATTTCAAAATGATTTTAAAAAATTAAACTTCTTCTTTGCTCCTTAAATTTCCCTGTACCTCACACTATAAATGAGTGCACAAGAAAGATAAAAAAAAAGATGGCACTAAAATTTTAGCTGTTATTTGGGAATGATGAAAACAGGAGTGATTTTTTAATTATTATTTTTACAAAGTAACATTTATTAATTTTGTAATTAGAAGGAAGAAAGATAATATTTATTTCACAAATATGCTCCAACTTGAAAATGCTTTGAAGATGAGGGGTGAGGTCAGCAGCCCGCTGTGTCAGTAAGGTACTTCAGCCTTGGGTCCTGTACACACTTACAACAGCAGGAAAATCTGGTGCTTTGGGAAGAGGTGTCCACAGGGGCTAAGGCACAAAATAAGAGGGCTGCATATGGACTGTGTGAAGTAATAAATTCCTGAAGGCCTGCTTATTCTATGTATTTAATATTTAAAATTACCCATTCAAGCATGGAAAAGACAATTTAGGGCCTTTATAACCAAAGAGGATAAGAATGATCTGTTCTCCTTAATGGAACCCCAGAGACTAGAATTTAACTATTTCCTGGCTCCATTCCACTTCTACCACCCCAATTTGAGTCTAGAACTCAAAGTACCATTCATCCTAGATTCTATGCACACGTACAAATCATCACATTTGTTTTACCTAGAAGTGTAATGGTAACTTAGTGTTGCAAGAAAAGCCCTATGTCTATTCAGAAAATGTTATTTATATTCTAATGGTACCAACCCCTCCCTTGACTTGGCTCTGTAACCATTCTGGTAAAAAGGAGGAATTAAGGTAAATAAGAGGGATTACGGGTTGAAGATGGACAATCACTCAAAACTTGAAAAGAAAAAGTCACTCCACTGCCTAAAGCACTTCAATGATTGCCCATTGCATTCAGAATAAAATTCAAGTTGCTTATCCTGACCTTTGAAGCCCTAAACCCTTCCATTCCTCTGCCTTTCTCAGTTTATCTTATGCCAGTCTCTCTCTATGCCATCCTCATGGACATGAATAGTCTTCTTTGGTCTGAAGATTATTCTTGGTTGCTTTATATACTGCTTAATAATAAGAAGACATTTGCCCCCTTTGAATTCCAAATAAGATAAAAGAAGTGGCTGGATGTTATCACAAGTACAACATTTCTGTTTGGGAAGTATGGAATACTTCTCAGCCATAAAAAAGAATGAAATTATATTTTTTGCAGCAATATGGATGGAACTGGAGGCCATTATCTTAAGTGATATAACTCAGAAACAGAAATTCAAAGACTGCATGTTCTCACTTATAAGTGAGAGATAAGTAATATGTACCCATGGACATGAAAAGTGGAATAGACATTGAAGACTCATTGGAGATTTTGGAGACTCCAGTAGACACTGGAAGGGTGAGAGGGAAGTGAGGGATGAGAAATTACCTGAAAGGTACACTGTACACTATTTGGGTGATGGGTACACTAAATGCTGAGGTTTCACCAGCACACAATATATCCATGTAACAAAACTGCACTTGTACCCCTAAGTCTATTTTTAAAAGTGATTAAAATCCATATGTTCTCCCCAACCAGCATTTGCCAGAACAATGGTCCCCATGCGCCTGCAGGGACTTGACCAACTATTAGGGCAAAGGCCTGCTACTTATCTACTTCCATGGTGAAGAAAACCACAACAGCTTTGGTGAGCAAGAATGTGGAATCCTTTGAGGAACCTCTGCTAGGGTCCAACCTGCAGACCCTGACCCAGCGATGGATGAATGAAGTACACTGACACACAGATATTCTGCTTTGCCAGTCCAGCTGAGTGTCTGAGCCACCTACAGACTCCCAGGAGAGTACTGTAAACAGTTGCAACTCCTCGATCAGTCAGTGAGACTTGCATTTATTTAGTAAAGATTAATTGACAAAGGTCATAGGAAAACACCATTAGAGGGTAATTGACATTGTGGACTTCCTGAGTAGAAAGCAATTAAGCACCCAGGGTACATCAAAGGTTAGTCTTAGGAAAACAAGTTAGTTAGATAAACTACTCTACATTATTTTGTATTTGTGCCTTAAGCTCTCTAGCTCCTGCAAAGAGACTCTGGCTGCCTTCAGCCAGACAATCAGAAGCTATGCAAACTCTCAGGCTTTCCAAGAGAGTTTGTGGCTATTACTATAACTATCATTAATATTTTTCCAACTGGCCTGATTGAACCCCCACAAAACTCAACTTCAGCAGAGAGCTGGAAGCAGGGTAAGGAACTGCAGTTGCCATTGCAATTCATTGAGAATAAAGAGAAACTAAAGGGACTTCAAACTCATTTGAATAACCTTAGTCTCTTTGTGTCGTAGAATATTCTTAAAATACTTTCAAGATAAATCATGATATGACTCACAGAGGGAAAAGATCTGTCATTTTGGAGACCTTAAAATACTTGATTTTTAAAAATGTGTGCATTTTACTTACCCTTGTGATATAAAGTACTAAGATTTCACAGGGGTTGTGTAAAAATGTGCATTTTATATTCAGAGAAAAGGCTGCAAGCACAGAGATGTCACTTCAGGGATTCAGTTTCTAGTTGTTATCTTATTGTCAATCCTTTCAGCTTGGTCATCTCTATATCCCCACACACCAGCTCATTAAAGTAAGATATTTGCTATGTTTTATGTATAATATAGAGAAAAGCAGACATCACTTTCCATAACTCATATGTTTCTGAAATGATATGTACTCTTTGTAAGACTCAGAAATCATCCCTCTCTGCTTACCTAATTAAAAAGTAGAAAATCAAATATTTCTGGTATGATGCTGCTTTTCACCATTTTAAATATGACTAGAAAAGGCTTGCATGCACCTTACTGTAGAAATAAAGGTAGACTACCCACATGAGAACAGGTGATTAATTCAAAGTTTGGGAGTGGGAAAGCTTTAGAGTGAGCAAAAAACGGGAGGGAAAGCGTGGGGGAAGGCTTCAAGTATGCTCTGATTGCATGTAGTTGGCAAGGGGAAGTTGGAAGTAGGTTAACTAGAAGCAGAGTATCTTATGTGGTTGGTTTGGGGAACATATTTTGCTTTATTTGGTTGGTTCTAAGTTGGAAACAAGGCAAAATAGGGAAGCTAACAGTCATTAATGATATCCTGGACCATTTGGGACCAATCACTGCCAATGATGTGGTTTGGCTTCCTGGACTGGTGGCTTCAGAGATTGTGAATCAGAATTCTATTGTCATATCATCTGACCACTATTCATTTGAATATTTATCCTCTCAGCCCCCCATTACGGTCATTCTCTTACGAGAGATTGACCAATTCAGGGGCAGCTAGAAACCCACATCTTCACCACTGTGATATTGCCGAGTGGTCTCCATTACAAACTATATTGTGAGGTCTTGACTTTTTGTTGTTGTGTCAGCACTGAGATGTGAGGTCAGTTGGACTTCCTGGGTCCAGTGGGGACCTGGGGAACTTTCCTTTCTTACAAGAGGATTGTATAAAGCACCAATCAGCACTCTGTAAAATGCACCAATCAGCACTCTGTAAAATGCACCAATCAGCAGATTCTAAAAGTAGCCAATTGCCCGGAGGATTGAAAAAAGGGCATTCTGACAGGACAGGAACAGAATATGGGAGGGGCCAATAAGGGAATAAAAGCTGGCCACCCCAGCCACCAGTGGCAATCAGCTCCCCCTTCCATGCTGTGGAAGCTTTGCTCTTCACAATAAACCTTGCTAGTGCTCAGTTTGGTTCTGTGCCATCTTTAAGAGCTGTAACAGTCACAGCGAAGGTCTGTGGCTTTATTCTTGAAGTCAGCGAGACCATGAACCCACCAGTAGGAACCAACTCCGGACACAGTATGGCAATGATCTCTGGTGAGAACAGCTGCCCAGTAGAATGTAAGACTTGGCAGAGGTTGTGATGGACCTGCATCATGGCAGGTATGACCAAAGTGTTGCACGTTTTGTAGTTCCGTGTGCAGGGTGGAATGGCGCCCAGCGGCTTTTTCTCCCCTGTTGCTTGGCGAGTGAGAGGGAGGGTTACAGTGTTACAGGATTCGTTCAGTGCCGCTTCACCAGCTGGAAATCTCTGTGGCTGCACTGACTTCTGTTCCGGCCCTTGCTCAGGCCTGCCGGGTTGCTCTGCCCACTTGGCCCAGCAGGCTGCGCTTGGCTCACATTACTGGCCCAGATCCTGTGGTCAGTGTGGCTGCGTGCTCAGCTCGTAGCTGGACTGGGCATGCTGCAATTGGCTTCCATATTGGGCGCTGGTATCTAGATGAAGGGGAGGTGGTGGCGCCGGAATACTTGGAGATGACAGCAACTACAAAGCCCCAAAGGGTGTTACAGCTTTTGCTTGGGGAGTCCTGAGGTCTGAGCCCCCCGGAAATGTTACAGTTCTCTCTGGTTCCTGCTGCCTGCAGCTCAGTGAACAGGGGTGCGTTACATCTCCTTTGTTACTGCCACCCGCAGCTTCGGGAGTTCCCACAACCAACAAGAATAAGGTGTGTGGACAGCAGAGAGTCAGAAAGGCAGAGAAGAATTTTATTGAGCGACAGAAAAGCTCTCAACACAAGAGGGGACCTGAAGTGGGTAGACTTCTGTGTGAAAGGGGGCCTGAAAGCCGGCAGCCATCTGTGTAGCTGAGTATAGGATTTTTAAGGGCTCAGAATGGAGGAGTGCATGCTGATTGGGCCGGGGGTGGTCTTGGAAAAATCACCATTTATTGGTTAAAAGGCATAGAGGATGTTCTCACTCCGGTTGTGGACTCTACCTAGAACTGGCAGTTGGGTTTTCAGGGGTCAGGCTGTCTTTGGCTTAAAGGTCGGGTTTCAAAAACAAAAATAATCACTAGTCCCTATAAAATGCTACAGAAGCAGAAATTCTAATTTTCCACCCCAGACCAAGAGAACATATAGGCCACAGACCATGAAGATCTGCCTTAGAATGGCAATTATCTTTTTTCCATAAGGAAATGTGAGATGTAGAGCCTGTTTTACTTTGCCTGTTTCGTTGATTCAAATATAGTGAGAAGTATTAGCAATAACACAGAGCTACCATGAGTAGCCAACAAGAAATCTAGAGAAATATGGTTATTATTACTTGTAACAATAGAGACAATGTCATTAATAACTTCTGCCAGAGTTATTGGTGATGAAACTATTGGTGATGGTTTTCTTACAGTTTTTTTCTGTTTGTACAATTCTCACTCTGATTATTCACACAGTGAGTCAGTAACTCCCCCAGGTAGACTGCCTGAATAATCAAGGGTGGCCGCATTTGGAAGCTCCAGTCTGAGGTGGAATTTCCAGACTTCCGTTTGGAAACTCGGGTTGGCCCACTGATATTTTATAATGGCCTATCTGAATCCTTAGAAACTTCTCCTTTGAAGATTTACAGAAGACAATAACTTTAGGCCGGGCTCGGTGGCTCACGCTTGTAATCCCAGCACTTTGGGAGACTGAGGCAGGCGGATCACGAGGTCAGGAGATGGAGAACATCCTGGCTAACACAGTGAAACCCCATCTCTACTAAAAAAAAAAAAAAAAAAAAAAAGGCCAGGCGTGGCGGCGGGTGCCTGTAGTCCCAGCTACTCAGGAGGCTGAGGCAGGAGAATGGCGTGAACCCAGGAGGCGGAACTTGTAGTGAGCTGAGGTGGCGCCACTGCACTCCAGCCTGGGTGACAGAGCAAGAATCCATCTCAAAAAACAAAAACCAACCAACCAAACAAACAAAAACATTAACTTTAGTTAAGGCTTTTTTTTGGCATAACGTTCTGTTAGAATTTTTTCTTTAGTTTTTCTATTACCTTCTTTCTTTGTATGGGCCTCAACCTTAAAATAGCCAACTCTAGAAAGTAGAGTGCCTTAACTTATTCATTTTCATGGGGTTTCCAGCAGAGATGATGAATTTCTTTTTTTCCCCAAAGCATCCCAAATTCATGTAGTACTCTAAAAGCATACCTGCTATATGTTTACTACATGGTCTTCAGCTAACTGACAAGCTCTAGTAAGTGTAATAAATTCCATTATATGGGTTGATTTTACCTCAGATAGAAAATATATTCTAAAGTAGAGCTTAAATTAGTGATAATTTTCAATATCAGTTTTGAGGTATGATCCATCAATGAATAACATTGAATCAGAGTTCACAATGAGAGCCAGTCTCTCATCAATCTGAGTGAGGTACAGAAACTCCCCTGACTTATAACCATCATGAGGTTCCCTTCTTCTGGCAGGGGGAGAAGAGTGGCAGTTTAAGGAATTGCATCAGTGAATAGTAAAGCGAGAGAGAGGGAGTAAAACTCTCATAACAAGTTGATCAGCTGGTTGAAAAGTATTGCATGCTCTTTGTCAGTGGTTATGTCTACACTGGCCAGGGAATCATGATGTGAGGTGGGGAGCCTAGAAATAGTTTAAAAGAAGCACCAACAAATGTTGCAGTGGAAGCTGTTGCCTTAAGACAAGGGCTATAAGCCTTTGCAGCTGGGTCAAGGGTAAGGATATGGAAAATGATGAATTTTTGATGGTTTCCATGACATTGAGTTAAAAACAAAAAAGCTTGTACAAGTTATCCATGCACAATTAGACAAAATGGCATATTGTAGTCAGGGGTGCCTAATTATGAAAGAGAGTGCCTAACTACCAAAGGAAGAGGCTACTGAAGAGCCTTCTTGAGTTACAGAATTTATATTTGGGCCCCCACAAAAGACAGTTTCTTACTAAGGACTCAGCCAATTCATAAAAAGAGATTGCAAGCTCAGAAAAATTTCGCAGCCATTGTCTACAATATCCAGTTAAACCTAGAAATCCTCTCAATTGTCATTTTGCGAGGCATCGAGGTGAAGTTTCGATAGTGTTCTGCCTACCAATAGAGGCAAAATAATTTCACCCTCTTAAGATAACTTACACCCTAAATACTAGCCTGTCTTTTGACAAAATTATAATTTATCTTTTGAAACATTATGTTCTTTTTCTGCTATGGCTGAGAGCAAGTATTTACTTGCTCTCACCTTCTCACCAGCTTCCTCGTTCTCTGAAGAAAGCAGTGGAGATCATCTGATCCTGCATATACTGCATCAAAACTCAATCACAAGTGAAATTTAGATCTTTTAAGTCTTGATTGAGGACTTGTGGAAAGTAAGAGGGGGCTTTAGTGAGCCCCTGGGGTATGACTATCCGGGTATATTTGTTGTCCTCTCCAGATGAAGGCAAAGTCGTTGACTGTTCTGGTTTGGAAGCACACTGAAAAATGCACAGTAAAGATTCAATATGGTCTAGCAAGTGGTTTTGGGCAGAATTGATGACAGGATAGGTACTACTAGGAAGCAAAGCAAAACAATTTTGTTGATCTTTCCTGAGGTCATGAAAAAAGTGTACCAGCAGAACAAGTGTGGTGCATGGGCTACTGCAGCGTATGAGAAAGTCTTTGGATATAAGGTCATCAACTACAGTTTTGAAGCATTCCTTTGCTTCTGGTTTTTCAAGGAATATCAGGGAAGTTTGACCATGGTTTACTAGGATACTTCTGAACTTGACTAGGTTCTGCTCCAATAATTTCCCATATAAATGGATTTTTTTAGTTTGTAGAGTGTTAGGTAGAGTGTTGAGGTCTTTATCTGGAGCGTATGTCAAATATAATGAAGGAGACAAACATATATCCAGAGACGACATATAGAGGAACCCTCAGGAGACTCTGCTGTGCATTTATTATTTTTCTGAGACAGAGTGTTGCTCTGTTACCCGGGCTGGAGTGCAGAGGTGTGATCTTGGTTCACTGCAACCTCTGCATCCCGGGTTCAGGTGATCCTCCCATTTTAGCCTCCCAAGTAGCTGGGATTACAAGCATGTGCCACCACACCAGCTAATTTTCGTATTTCTTTTTTTTTTTTTTTTTTTAGTAGAGGCAGGGTTTCACCATGTTAGCCAGGCTGGTCTTGAACTCCTGGACTCAAGTGGTCCACCCACCTCAGCCTCCCAAAGTGCTAGGATTACAGGCGTGAGCCACCATGCCCAGCTGGTGCACTTACTATTATAATTCTATTTGAAAATTAAGTCACTCCCCATTAAATTTGCAAGAGTGTTATAATAGAGCAGGGAGAAATGTTTTTAAGTCAAGTACCCAAAGGTTGTAGTTACAGTAGGAGATAGAAGGAATCTGTGGGTTATTTGAGATACCTGCTACTTGCTTCCTATGAGGAAAATGTTGAGCAAAATTGCCAGGGTTTAATGTAGAAAGAGTTAGTGCCTGGCTGGGCATGGTGGCTCACACCTGTAATCCCAGCACTTTGGGGGGGCCAAGGCAGGCAGATCACCTGAGGTCAGGAGTTCTAGAGCAGCCTGACCAACATGGCAAAACCCCATCTCTACTAAAAATACAAAAAAAAAAAAAAAAAAAAAGCAGGGTATCATGGTGCATGCCTGTAGTCCCAGTTACTCAGGAGGCTGAGGCAGGAGAATCACTTGAACCCAGGAAGCGGTTGCAGTGAACCGAGATTGTGCCAATGTACTGCAGCCTCAGTGACAGAGTAAGACTCCATCTCAAAACAAAAAAAGAAAGAAAGAAAAGAAAGAGTAGCGCCCATATTGCCAGGAATTGCTGAGGTTGGCCACCTATATTTATGGTTAATTCACCTTGAATGTTAAATTTTAAATCAGGATATTGGGTACCTTCATTGATGTAAATTAAGGGGTCTTTTGGTCTTATTTTTACTGGAAAATCATTTTTCAGGTGTCCCTTCTGTTTTCAATATCTGCAGGTGTCCTCTTCTATGGGTCGTCCACTCAACTGTTTGATCTGCAGGGCCGTAAGGTTATTCTGGATCCTGTCTTGTTATTGTCCTAGGGCTCTGCAAAAATGTCAGCCAGGTGTTGAAGTTCAGGTAAAGTGGCTATTTCCCATTCTAATTTTGATCTAATTATTGTCTCCAATTTCAGGTTTAATTCCATTAACAAAGTAGGTAAAAGAGCCGTTATTACACTTACACTTCTTTAACACTCAAATGTTGTTGAAAGGGGTTTTCTAGTTTATTCTGAAAATCTCCTATAATTTCTTCTTTTCTTTATTTACATCATTAAATTGTGGTCCATTTTATTTTTACTAGAAATGTTTCAAGTAAGGCTTTTAGGATACATTGCCCTACTTTTTGAGCCTCCTTTTGGCCCTCAGGCTTATTGTGGAAAGAAAGATGCTGTAGATCTCTGTCCCGGTGAATCCAACTGGCTTTTGCCATCAGGATTTAATGTCTGAGGATCTACAAACATAAATACAAGTTGATATAGTTCAGGTAACCCTGAGTTGTGTACAGCTAAAAGAATTTAGAATTCTGAACTCCTTTGGGAAATGCTTAGTCATAGCTTTTAATTCAGCTCGTGTTCAAGGTTTAAATTCTACTGCTGCTTGCGTATTTGGGTCATTGAAGAGATGGAACTTTAGAGGTAAATGACATTCCGGGATCTTAGGAGAGTCACTGGGAGAAGGTAGGGGGTCTGGAAGAAGAGGGAGGAGTCAATGAGGTGTGAAAGGAGGATGGGGGAATGAGGAAGAGTTGCAGAGCTGAAGTCAACTGGAGGAGAAGCCGGGGGAAGATTTGCTGGGCAAATGAGTTAGTTTGTTGTTAAGTTTGTCATACTGTTCATTAGCTCTGGCCAAAAAATATTTTAACGGAGTAATGTCTGAATCAGAATTTCATTTGAAAACTTGTGTACCAATCAAAAACTGCTGCCCATTGCCCCTGAGAAATATTCTCTCTTTTCTAAGGTGTTTTTCAAATGAACAATTTTGTTCAAGTCCAGTGTTCTCCAGATTAGCCACTGAAGGCCTAAATTATCCTTGGTATAGAGATGGGTGCAAGTGCTAGGATCATAGCAAGGGTACATATAAGAAATGGGAGATTTTCCTGGAGGAAAAAAAGGAAAAGAGGATGTACACTCAGAAAATTCCATGGGAGCTGGCAATGGTCAGTTGAAAGTAATATTTGTGCACTTTATGTCTTAGGCCCCCAACCTGATAGTTGGCAACCTCCAAATGCAGACTTGACAACTTGTGCCCACAGGCAAATGGAAAACCAGAATATTCCCTCTGCATCAAATCCAACCTCTCAGGGCCAAAAAAAAAAAAAAAAAAAAAAAGATGAACCTTATCCCATTTTATTGGTGACTGACAGGAAAGTTTAGGAAAGTTTGTCCAGATGGATGCTGGTTTGGTAAGAATTGCAGCTCATCAGTTGTGGAGCAAGCTGAGACACTCTTAGAGGAGCAATGCCTGTGTTCTGCACTGATTCTCCTTCTGATAACAGACAACACTTTAGACTTATCTCACAAAACAGAAGCACAAAAGAGAACAAAAAGGAATGAAAAGAAATGGCAGTATTTTTCCAAAGGTGCCAAACAAATGGGAATTGGTAGCAAAAGCTGAGTACCAAGCTGAGAGTCAATAACCAAGGATCTCAATACAAAGAGAACAGAGTTGAAGCCCAATTCTGTTCTCTCACAGACACTGTGTCAACACAGACTTGACAGGCCTCAAGAAGCAAGGCACAAGAGGCCTCCATAGATACTGCACTTGATCAGGGTCCAAAGTCCATGGTGATGAGCAGTTAAGAATGTGTCTCAGTGGAGCTTCTAGGAAAATTACAGAAATACAGACCAGGCATGGTGGCTCATGCCTATAAACCCAGCACTTTGGGAGGCTGAGGCAGGTGGATCACCTGAGGTCAGGAGTTCGAGCCCAGCCTGGCCAACATGGTGAAACCCTGTCTCTGCAAAAAATACAAAAATTAGACAGGTGTGGTAGCACATGCCTGTAGTTTCAGCTACTTGGGAGGCTGAGGCAGGAGAATCTCTTGAACCTGGGAGGCAGAGCCCAGATCTGCAGTGAGCCCAGATCGTGCTGCTGCACTCCAGTCTGGGTGACAGGGCAAGATTCAGTCTCAAAAAAATAAAAAAATAAAAAAAACAGAAAATTACAGAAATAAAGGAGACAACTTAATGAGAACAGAAGCTATTTATTTCTTGCTTGCTAGAGAAAGGGAGGCAGTCGCTATCATTTATGTTTGACAGAGACTCAGGCTGGGAGAATGGGAAAGCTTTATAGTGAAAAGGGGCAAGGCTTTGGGGTAGGTGGCTATGGGCATGGAGAGGTGCAGGTAGGCTAAAGAGAAGCAAGGCATCTGATGGGATAGGTTTGGAGAGAGTATTTGGCTTTCTTTAATTAGTACTAAACTAGAAGCAGGGGCAATCTTAGAGAAGTTGGCAGTCATTGACCAACCTCTGATTGTTTTCGGCAAATTGCTACTGAATTTGTGGCTTGCATTCCTGAACTGGCTGCTGCAGAGATTGTGGTTTGCCTTCCCAAGCTGGTTGCTGCAGTGGTTGTGGGTCAGAGTTCCATTGTCGTACGTGGTTTGGCCACTGTCTGTTTTAATATTCAGTCTCTATTACTAAAAGGTATACAAATGGCTAGGCTTCTCACTTCAGTTCTTCATGTACAAGCTCCTTTTAGAGGTTTCTGCACTAAACTATTGTAAAAAAAAAAAAGAAAAAAAGAAGGCCAACTCCATTTATCCAATGTCAACCTTGACGTTAAGAATGATGAATGTGGCAGCTGTTTCCTTCTGTTATTGATCTTTTTACTGACCCTTCCCATTGTGCTTTGTCAATGACTGAGTATCTTCCCTGGACCACTCTTATCTGAAGTCGTCCTCATCTCTCAGGGATTTTCAGCACCATCTGTCAGCCAGGCACTGTGACTCTGTCGTCAGTGACCATTTTTATTGACTTTTGTCTCTTTCTGGCCTTTCCATGGTGCCTTGGCCTTAAATGTCCTGCTAATTAGCTCAGTGGTGATTACAGTGCTGGTTTTGAGAGCACCCTGTTGTTTTTTCTTATCTAGGAGAATTTTTTTTCTCTCTTTATCTGGAAATATTACCTTGCTGGCTATGCTGAGTTAGGTCATTGACATCAGATCAGTGTTCTAAATCTGATCCTAGTATTCCCATCTACAATCTTCCCACACAAGCCAAGGGAAGAGACACACTTGATTAAAACCTTGCACTCTCTTTCCTATTTGGCTATTTTTTCTCCTCTTGGAGAAAGAGTTTCCCCAAAATACTATATGAAGTGTTATTTTGTAAGCCTACTTAACTTAGTTTTATATACTGTGCACAAACTTTACATATAATTTGAATAGGCTCAGTTTTTTGTTACTGTTTTTTTAGTTTTTCACCAAATTTTATATGACAGACTATTTAAGCTAAATAATTTGTTATAGTTAGAAGACTGTTTTCTCATTTACATACCAAAATCTACCAAAATGAATTTATTACACTTAAGAATTTTTGTTAATTACGATTATCACTTCTGTAAAATAAAATAAATCTAAGAATTTTATGAGCAAAGCTTTTTCAAGTCTACTATTTAGTTTAGCAATTATTCTAAATATCAATCTCAAAATTAGAGTAAGGGATTTCCCCTTTTAGGAAAAGATATCAATAATTATATAGTAAAAATTTAAAATTAAGATACAGACATTTATTCTGTGTTGGATCCCAAATATCTCATTAGAGAATGATCTTCTCTCATTGTCTGCTATTTTCTAAAATACAGGAAGATATAAAGTATAAATCTGATTTTTTTTCTACCAGAAGTTAAAGAACATAGAATATATTTGGTATGATTAACTGGGAGTTTGTATTTCCTCTGCAATCTAGAAATATTATTATTTTAAATATCTGCAATATTATTTATTTTAAAAGTTTTTAGTTTGAAAAGACATTTCTGAAAGCCCCAAATCTGTGAGCATTTGCTACTACAAAATTTTTAATTGTAAGCAATTGAGAGAGAAAAGTCCTCGAATTTGGCCAAGCGCGGTGTCTCACACCTCTAATCCCAGCACTTTGGGAGGCTGAGGTGAGCGGATCACGAGGTCAGGAGATCGAGACCATCCTGGCTAACAGGATGAAACTCCGTCTCTACTGAAAATACAAAAAATTGGCCAGGTGTGGTGGCGGGCACCTGTAGTCCCACTACTCAGGAGGCTGAGGCAGGAGAATGGCGTGAGCCCGGTAGGCAGAGCTTGCAGTGAGCCGAGATCGCGCCACTGCACTCCAGCCTAGGTGACAGAGCGAGACTCCATCTCAAAAATGAAAAAATAAATAAATAAAAGTCCTTGAATTTATGCAAATGACATAGCAATCACTTCAACTCTTAAATAATCTAACCATCATGAGATAAGAGAATGGATTTTTTTCTACTCGTTTGTATCTTGTCTTTTTGAAAGAGACTACTTGTTAATAATATGCTTCTGACAAAACAAAAACTAAGGAAAGTGTATGATACAGGCCTGAGTCTCTCTCCTCAAGTTCAGTTTTTAAAAATAAAGTATAATCAGGGATAATGTAGCCTCTACTTGTAAAGGAAGGCTGGCTTTATGTATTAATGAAATAGGCAGCTTCTTACACGATGTGATTTCAACAGAGCCAGGAAGTATGTCTTATCTTTAAATAACTCCCTAAATAACTCCTTCTAACACCAATATCTGAAATGTTGTGACTGATTTCTTTCTGTCCTGCCCTGAAGTTCTTTCCTGACTGCAAAGAACAGCACATTTTGAATGTTTCAAACTGTCATACATGTTCTCTCCAGAAGAGTGGAGTGATGCCCCACCAGACATTCTAAGTCACAGGATAACATGACATATTCCATGATTGTCAGTTTTACCATGTGGCAAGTAGTTAAAAAGATGAAGTTTATAGTTCCAAGAACACAAACTATGTTATGGAATAGGACTAAACACAAGGAGTAAAGTAGTCCCTTGTTTTTGCTTTAGGTTACTCACCTTGCTATCAGTAATTGTATTCACTGAAGTATTGAGGAACACATTAACGTTGGTTTCAGATTTGTTGACTTTAAGTTCCACATCTGAAGTATGTTGGCACTTTGACCTTGCATAATTCAAAGTCATGTCTCTGCACCACTGTTTCATTCTATATAAAGTGATTGACAATAATAGTTATCCCACCCAAGTTGGACTTCCATTTCTGTCAATTGGCCAAACTGGGTTTCCTAAAAAGCCTTGTAGCGCTACAAAATATCAGAAAATTTTATCAAGTCTACTTTTAAGTAAATGTGAAGCTCTCAAGGAAGCCCTGATGGCAATCCAGAAATAGATAAAAGCAGTACAGGAGCTACAGTTGCCTGGGGAACAGAAACTGACCTGGGTTACCCAGAGTTTGGGGTATTAACAACTACTCAGGGGAAAGTAAAAGTAGGCCTTGGACACATAAAATGTTGGGAAGGCTGAGCCAGACTTCTTGCATATAGCCGAGTCACAATAGGCTAAGAACATGAATTTAGGAAGGAAAGCAAAAAAATCTACAAGCAGTATGAAAAAAAAATCTCCAACACCTTGATACATTTTAATGAATCATCAGATGACAAAGAAATATACAAATTCTTGAAAGTGCCAGAGACAAATCAGAGATTCCTAGAGTGAAAAGAATGTCCACCTTTTAATGGGGTTGTTTTTTTCTTGTAAATTTATTTAAGTTCCCTGTAGATGCTGGATATTAGACCTTTGTCAGATGGATAGATTGCAAAATTTTTCTCCCATTCTGTAGCTTGTCTGTTCACTCTGATGACAGTTTCTTTTGCTATACAGAAGCTCTTTAGTTTAATTAGATCCCATTTGTCAATTTTTGCTTTTGTTGCATTGCTTTTGGCATCTTCATCATGAAATATTTGCCCATACCTGTGTCCTGAATGGTATTGACTAGGTTTTCTTTTAGGTTTTTTATAATTTTGGGTTATACATTTAAGTCTTTAACCCATCTTGTGTTGATTTTTCTATACGGTCCATTTTCTGCATATGGCTAGCCAGAGTTCTCCCAGCACCATTTATTAAATAGGGAATCCTTTCCCCATTGCTTGTTTTTGTCAGGTTTCTTGAAGATTAGATGGCTATAAGTCTGTGGTCTTAGTTCTGGGTTATCGTTTCTGTTCCCTTGGTCTATGTGTCTGTTCTTGTACCTGTACCATGCTGTTTTGGTTACTGTAGCCTTATAGTATAGTTTGAAGTCAGGTAGTGTGATGCCTCCAGCTTTGTGTTTTTTGCTCAGGATTGTTGTGGATATTTGGGCTTTTTTTTTTTGGTTCTATGTGAATTTTAAAATAGTTTTTTTAATTCTGTGAAGAATATCAATGATAGTTTAATGGGAATAGCATTGAATCTATAAATTGTTTTAGGCAGTATGGCCATTTTCATGATATTGTTTTTTTCTTATCTGTGGGCATGAAATGTTTTTTCATTTTTTGGTGTCATCTCTGATTTCTTTGAGCAATGTTTTGTAGCTCTCTTTGTAGAGGTCTTTCAGCTCCCTGATTAGCTGTATTCCTAGGTATTTTATTCTTTTGTGGCAATTGTGAATGGGAGTTCATTTGTGATTTGGCTCTTGGCTTGCCTGTTGTTGGTGTATAGGAATGCTAGTAATTTTTGCACATCGATTTTGTATCCTGAGACTTCGCTGAAGTTGCTTGTCAGCTTAAGAAGCTTTTGGGCTGAGATGATGGCATTTTCTAGATATAGGATTATGTCATCTGCAAACAGAAATAGTTTCCCAAGAAGGGAGTTAAAACAGGAACATCTCACAGCCATTACAGAAATTGAAGTATTTATGTATCTCAATTAAAACCAAACCATCATAAACGTATTTCTTTGAAAAATATCTTTTTTTTTTTTTTTGAGATGGAGTCTGGCTCTGTCGCCCAGGCTGGAGTGTAGTGGTGCCATCTTGGCTTACTGCAAGCTCCGCCTCCCAGGTTCACGCCATTCTCCTGCCTCAGCCTCCCAAATAGCTGGGACTACAGGCGCCCACCACCACACCCGGCTAATTTTTTGTATTTTTAGTAGAGCCAGGGTTTCACCATATTAGCCAGGATGGTCTCAATCTCCTGACCTCATGATCTGCCCACCTCGGCCTCCTGAAGTGCTGGGATTACAGGCATGAGCCACTGTGCCTGGCCGAAAGATTTCATTTTTAATGCCTGCTAAAATATTCCACTGTATGGATATACCAGAACTTACTCCTTGACTTAGTAATTAAATGTATTTATATTCTGTCTTGAGTTTGCCTCCCATGTTTCAAATATACTAGTCTTCTCAGTTACATTGCCAAGGCCATTATTTATATTTCGATGGTATTCTCAGCACCAGCTGCTGTGATCTTTGAAATGTATTCTTGACCTTAGATGCTCACTGCACACTTGACAGATTGAGAACTGAGTAGAGGTGCTTGTTAGTATCTGTATCTCAGTGGCTGGGGACAGCTGGACTCAGCTTGTGTGACTCATGCAAAGTCAGATGATCAGTCATAGAGGGAACTTGGAACTTAAAAGTGTAAACTGGAACTTACGCTTTTAAAAATTATTCTATCTCACATAGTGAGAAATCTTTATGACTCTTTAGTCTACAAAAGGGATCAGTGAACAGTTTCTGTAAGGTGACAGATGATATGGTATAGAGTAGTTCCCCTTATCCATGGTTTCACTTTCTGTGGTTTCAATTAAATGTGGTCAACTGTGGTCTGAAAATATTAAATGGAAAATTCTAGAAATAATGTATAAGTTTAGATTATACGCTGTTTTGAGTAGTGTCCCTCCTAGAACACGAATCACCACTTTGTCTAGCATATCCATGCCTTATACGCTACCTGCCCGTTAGTCACTTAGTAGCCTTCTGAGTTATCAGATTGACTGTTGAGGTATCACAGTGCTGTGTTTAAGGAGCCCTCATTTTACTTAATAATGGCACCAAAGCACAAGAATAGTGATGCTCGCTTATTGTTAGAATTGTTCTATGTTATTAGTAGCTATTGTTGTTAATCTCTTACCGTGCCTAATTTATAAACTTTATTATAAGTATATATGTAAAGGAAACACAATATGTATAGTGTCCTGTACTACTGAAGATTTCAGGTGTCCACTGAGGATCTTGGAAGGAATCCCCTGTGGATAAGGGTGCACCACTGTAAATATGTTCAGCTTTGAGGGCAACATAGTCTCTGTCACAACTGCTCTACCTGCAACAGCGCCAGACAAATCTGGCTAAACTTTAATCCAACAAAGTTATGAGTTGGTCTGAGCCCTCAGGCTGAAGGTCATGTAAACTGAGCATGCCCAGATGAACCAAGTATGCAACCACAAGGGGAAGAGAAGTGCCCAGACCAAGGAGAAGACCAAGGAGCAGGGACTGACTTAAGAAGCAGACGCAGTATGGAAGGATCCAGGATCCAATCAAATTGAGCTCTGGCATCAGCCCATTGTGGGATCGAATCAGATCATGCCTCCTGGAATCATCTCATTGCAGAATTCAATCAGATCACACCTCATTACCCTATGCTTATAAAACCCTACCCAAACACCAGCTGGGGGTGATATATTGGAGCACTTCCTCCTGTCTCCTTACCAGTCCACTTGCAATGAAGCTTTTTTTTCCTCAAAAGCCAGTGCCATGGTCTTGGCCTCCATGTACATTAGGCAGCAAGCCCATTGTTTGCTCAGTAACACCCTACATTTGCATCCCTTTGTATCGTGAAAACAGCCACAGAGACAATGTAAATGACTTTTATCTCATTTAAATGAATTGTCAACCTCAGCTAAATTACTACTTATCATATAAACAGAAAATGTAAATAAACTGATTATTTCTTTCCATCCATGTTTTTACTGTCTTCATGTATAGCATGTATAGGATTTTGAAGTTAACTGTTTCTGAAAACTTACTTGCAAATTTTTCAACACTGCAAAAATTGCTTAAAATAATGAAGCCAAGAAAATTAAGCCAGGTTAAAAACATAAAAGAAGAAAAGGAAGGAGGGCAGGCAGGTAGGCATTTGTTAAAAGCTTCTTTCCCTCAGCATACTATTATTTGCGATTCAGCTGTCTTGTTGTGTTTATCAGTAAGTTGATTCTTGGCCAGGCACAGTGGCTTCACGCCTATAATCCCAGCACTTTGGGAGGCCCAGGTACGTGGATCACTTGAGGTCAGCAGTTTGAGAACATCCTGGCCAACATGGTGAAACCCCGTCTCTACTAAAAATACAAAAATTAGCTGGGTGTGGTGGCGGGCACCTGTAATCCCAGCTACTCTGGAGGCTGAGGCAGGAGAATCGCTTGAACCCGGAGGCAGAGCTTGCAGTGAGCCGAGATCTCACCACTTGCACTTCAGCTTGGGCAACAGAGTGAGACTCCTTCAAAAAAAAAGTTGATTCTTTTTATTGTGAGTACTGTTCCATTGTATACCATTTGTTAGCCCATTCTCTTATTGATGGACAGCTGGGATGTTTAGATGTTAGAAATAAAGATGCCTTGAACTATCGTAAGTTTTCATGTGAACCTATGTTTTTTAATTCTCTTGGGATTAGAACTGCTGGGACAGAGGATCAGTGAAACCTTAATTTTTTTTTTTTCTTTTTGAGATGGAGTCTCTGTCACCCAGGCTGGAGTGCAGTGGCGCGATCTCGGCTCACTGCAAGCTCCGCCTCCCGGGTTCACGCCATTCTCCTGCCTCAGCCTCCCGAGTAGCTGGAACTACAGGCACCCGCAACCACACCCAGCTAATTTTTTGTATTTTTAGTAGAGATGGGGTTTCACTGTGTTAGCCAGGATGGTCTCGATCTCCTGACCTCGTGATCCACCCACCTCGGCCTCCCAAAGTGCTGGGATTACAGGCATGAGCCACCACCCCCGGCCGAAACCTTAATTTTATGAAATGTTTTTTATGTTCCAGACCTTAACTGATGAGCTTTTAAAACTAACTTCTAAATTTGAAATGTACATTTAATTATGGAATACGCTTTAATGTAATCTTTTGGGATAATCACCTAATATTTTGCCTTGAGATTTTTAATATAAATAACAATAAAATAAATAACTAATAGTAAATGAATACCTTCTCAATCTTCCTAACCTTGGAATATGGGGACAGGATGTGAAAATATCTTAGAGTTTTGAGATCTTTACATGGTTCCCTCAAGGCTTTTAAAAAGAGTATTTAATTGCTGGCAGTGGTAGCTTACGCCTGTAATCCCAGCATTTTGGGAGACCGAGGCGGGTGGATCACCTGAGGTCAGAAGTTCAAGACCAGCCTGGTCAACATGGTGAAACCCCGTCTCTACTAAATATACAAAAATTAGCCAGGCGTGGTGGCAGGCGCCTGCAATCCCAGCTACTCAGGAGGCTGAGGCAGAATTGCTTGAACCCGGGAGGCACAGGTTGCAGTGAGCTGAGATTGTGCCATTGCGTTCCAGCCTGGGCAACAAGAGCGAAATTTCATTCCAAAAAAAGAGTATTTAATTGTGTTGATTTTAATGATTACTGAAATTTTGGCTGTTTTTTTGAAACTATTTCTTGTTTCCTTTCTCTTTCCCTTGTAAATAAGCTGTAAGAGAAAACTGCTCAATCACAAAACGTAACAGAAGGCTTTCATGTCAGTGTCCAATAGGAGTGAATTTTTTATGGTGACAAGGTAGGGTTATAATCCAGATCTCTGGTAGGCACATCCATAAGGTGCAAGGTGTGTAGAAAATAGCATCAGTTTTTTTGGCTGGGTGCGGTGGCTCACGCCTGTAATCCTAGGATTTTGGGAGGCTGAGGACCGTGGATCGCCTGAGGTGTCAAGAGTTCGAGACCAGCAGATATGGTGTTCTTGTTCTCAAAGCCGAGGTGGGTGGATCACCTGAGGCCAGGAGTTCAAGACCAGCTTGGCAAACATGGCAAAACCCCGTCTCTACTAAAAATACAAAAATTAGCCAGGCGTGGTGGCAGGTGCCTGTAGTCCCAGTTACTCGGGAGGCTGAGGCAGCAGAATGGCGTGAACCCGGGAGGCGGAGCTTGCAGTGAGCTGAGATCCTACCACTGTACTTCAGCCTGGGCACAGAGTGAGATTCCATCTCAAAAAAAAAAAAAAAAAGAGTCTAGGATCCAGAGAAGTAAACTGTATTAATGATGTGGTCATATCCATGCCAGAGCTTATTTGGAAATGCACAGAATTGATTCCAAGATGTTTTAATAATGCAATCTGGGGTTTGCATCTCAAAGTAATGATCCATCAAGGATGGTCTTTAGAGCTATTTTCTAACTCACGTGCTTAGTGGAGACTCACATCAAAATGCCCTGTTAATAGGAATCAGTAGCTGGTAAACTGAAGCCTAATTCAATTGGTGTCATTTCCCTGCAAATTCGTACTCCATTTCTGTGCTATCAACTGAAGACCACCCACCCAAAGCTATTAGTATACAATATGATGTGTAACAGAGCTCCATGACTTCTCTGTGGAATAAATTATTTCACTGTAGTTTTTAAAAATATTTTTCATGTTTATACTCAGAGTAAATGAGCAATGTTACAACTATTCTTCTCTGTAAATTGTCACACCTTAAGTTCCTTAGGATGGCTCAACTCTTTCACATTTCCAGCATGGGAAATAATTGTTTAATAAAAATAAAACATAACAATGGATTCATGATCCAAAGAAGGCAAAATAGAAGATTTCTTGTTTTCTATTTCTCTTGACTCCTCAGCTAATTGTACCACCACTAAACCTTTCTTTATCTCCCCTACCTCACAGGGTTAATCTCTAATGCTGTTCAACATTTTATACCTATGTGGAAACTACCATTTAACTAAATTTTGTTTGATGTGGAAAAAAAATCATTCTTTCAATATTTGATAATTTTGGATAGCTAAGCACTTTTGTTAGATTTTTATTTTCTTCAAGAGAAATAAAATAGATGCAGTGGAAAGGATTACTTCTCAGTCCCCAGGGGTTGAACACTCACCCGAGGACTCAGTGCATTTGATTCCTGACACTTATTTAAGTCCCCTTTTCATGCTTACTTACTAGGACTTCTTAAATTTGTCTCCTTCCAGGTGAAATAATTCAAAACAACTCAAGAATGGAACTACTGATTCATTAATAAAGAACAGAAAATAAACAAGGGCAAAACTTGAGAACATAAATACACAAAAACACAAAGACTCACTTAATTTTTATCTCAGATAAAAAAGGAAAGTAGTTTGCTGAATTTGCCTTTCTACTAAGAAGTCTTTGCTTTCACTTGGTTGGGAGGGTACTTAACATGAAGAAGCAGGAATTCCTGGAAAACAGGCCCCTTCTACCCTAATGTGTTTTCTGTGGGGTCATTCAGTTATTGTCCCTAAGCAGAGGTAACTGGGAAATAGCCTTGGGCTGTAATTTTCCCATTTTACCTTAAGCAATATCATAACTAGCAAAGTGTGACACCCAGGAGGTTTGTTTTCTAGATAACACTCTCTTTACAATATAAGGGCTCTTTGAGAGAGTTAATATAATAAATCCTCAGAGTAAAGTCTAGGATACTCTTTAGAAATTAAATATTACTTGAAACATATGAAAGCCATTCAGCAGGTGACAGAGCTATTTACAAATAGATTAAACATCTTTCAAGTAAATTATTATAACATTCATTAATGTTGTTAGTGTTTATGCACTAAAACATAGCCCAAAATAACATATTTTATCCTCATATTGTAGCACAATTTATGTTACACTTGAACAAAAATCCCTCAATGTGCAGCTGATTTTAAATCCATCATCAGTTCTACTAGTCAAAAGTGGAGAATCTTTTTGCATTTGTACCTCTGGTAGCCAAAGTAATGTATCTTCTCTCCATGTTTCTTTATCCATTCATTAATGTGCTGTTTTCACATTGCTTCGTTTTGAAATTGTCCATGGCCCAGCTGAACCAAGCAGAAAGATTTCCCAGTCTGGTTGCATTGTATTTCACCTTCTGTTGTCAATTCCTTTGGTCTCCTAAGAATAAAATCCTTTGGTCTCATAAGAATAAAATGAGTTTTGTTTTCCTTTGAGCATGTAGAATATTTTTGGTTATTGTTCAAAAGTGAAGCCACAAATCAGAAAATGTTTTTCTTCTTCGTTTATTTGCTCCTCTAGCAATGTATATTTCATATATGTGAGCGCTTAGGTCTAAATTTCAGGTCTACATTCGGCACAGCATCTTCATGGACAGCTAATGAGATTGCAGATGGTAAAGCAGAACATGTGTGGTCCTGGGATAAACTACTCCAAATATCTTATTAAACCCTTAACCCTCCCCTCTCTCACAGGCCTCCTTTGCATAAACATTTTATATTACATTTTTATAAAGACATAGATGAATACCTCCACTGTAATTTTTCTTAAAATTTAGCACGATTATCTCCTTTGAAGAATAGAATGGTCCTTTAATCAACCAATTAAAATTGTATAACCCACCAGAAGAATTCATATATTATGTTTAATAATTAGTCACAAACCATATGTCTGGGACTATTTAATATTGACTTTAGCTCCATGTATATTATTTCCATCTACTTTTTTATTTTAGTAGGTTAATAGTATGAGTATGAATATATTAATTTCTAAATGGAAAGAGATGTACTTTATTAAGCTTTGGATTGTCAAGGAGAGCAATGGTTAAATATGACTAAGGTCCATTTATATTTAACTCTGCTATTTTTTTCTGGAATTGACAGTATAGGTGAATGCATGCTCGTATTGTACTTTCTCCTTTGAAATAATGAAGAAGCCAGACAAAAGGATTATTGCTCACAGAAGAGAATAGAAAAAAGGAAGAGAACCAGGGAAAGAAGGACCCAATCCACTTTCTCTAAAATTATTCATGTTTGAGACAATGACTGATTTCATGAGTATCTTCTTACCTCTCTATGTCTTTTTATGGCATATTTTAAGGTTGATTTTTGAACTGCCTTTATAAATGTTTTCTAAGGTTTCAATGAAGGTAAATATGCCTTTGCAAACTATTTCTCAGGCTATGAACCATGAGTGTGTGGGTCAGTGAGTGGCAATGATGACATGCCACACTTGTGGAGAAATAAATGATGAAAGGTTAAATGCTTTTTGCCTTAGATCAGGAAGAAGAGGTTGTTCACTTGTTTAGAATGAACTCTCTGAGTTTCTTTATCTGCTCAGCTTGTAGCCATTGTTTCTGCAGCCACCAGAGACCCAGACAGAAGCACAGCAGCAGGAGATCCACTTGCATGGGTCAGATTGCAGATGTGGCTTCAATGACATGACCACAGTGTGAAAGTTCCCTGGAGGGCACACAGCATGCTTAGAAAACACACACACACACACGGAGGTCATTGCCTTTATTGGGTCCAGGGCATTATATAAACAGGGAGCTTTAAATTGATGGGCTTAAAGCAAGCAGGCACTAGTACTAGGAAGTCACATTGTGACTGAAAAGTGTTTAAATGGTCGTTTAGAGGAAGCAGCAGGAAAGCTGGGAGCCCATCCTGCTAGGAGACAGAGATGCCTCCAGGTTTTTATTTCTGGTCACCACCTGGAGCCATTTGGGGGTATAGTGCAGGAAACTGCATCAAGGGTGACTGAACCCTGCTTCTGGTTTGAGAAAGTTAAACACATATTTAAAAATGGATGCTAAGGCAACATAAAACTTTAAGCGCTCACTGCAGCACATTTACCTCTTTTATTTACCATTGTATTGGAGGTTCTAGCCAAGATAAGATAATTAAACGAATAATAAAGTAAAGTCATTCAGATTGGAAAGGAAGAGGTAAAATTAGCTCTACTTGCAGATGACATTACCTTTATATAGAAAACCCCAACAATGCCACTAAAAAAAATTATTGGAACTAATAAACAAGTTCAGCCTGACGGCAAGGTACAAGATCAATATACAAAAATTGTAGGGGCCCGGCCCTGCACAGCGCCCTGGGGAAGCTGGTTTGAAAGCTCTGGAGCGACCCCAGTGCCGGGTAAAGGACAAGATTTGCCCAGACAGAAGGGAACTTGGGGAGAGGTGGCCGTAAGAGTGTGGGATGAAAATGTTTTGGGCAGAGCGGTCGAACTCACCTGAGGAAAGCATGGGGGGAGGAGTCATTAATATGAATGAGTGGCAGGGACAGGGCGTCCTTGCAGCGCCCTCGGTGTTGGAAGGGAAGACCGTGCAGCGCGATGGGGATCAGGGCGGCGGGCCGCAGCCGGGGTGGGGTTGGGCGCCGGTCAGGGTGCCTTGAAGCAGATTCTGTCCTCAGGAGCTGCAGTTCTTCCTCCTCCGCCCTCACCGGCGGGCGACCTTAGGCAGGGAGTGAAATGCAACGGGAGCCCTGGAGGGAGGGTGAAGCCGCGCGTGCAAGAGGAACCTCCTATTGGCGAGTTCAGGTCCCCCAGCTGCGGAGGTGGGGGACCCTGTGTGGCAGCCTGCTGAGCGGCTGCTTGCTCCGCGGTTGGAGGGGGGAAGCTCTAGCCCCCCTCCTCTTTTTCAGCCGAGAAACCGCTAGTTACCCCCTTATGCAACCAAGACTGTAATAACCCTGTCACCTTTCACGGCCCTCCGGGTCTGCGCCTATCCTCTGAAGATTCACTCATCCACCCCGAGGCCTGTTTTCCTCACCTGTTGTCCCTCTGGCAGAACCTAGGCCCCTCGGAGACCAGCCAGAATCTATCTGCCCGCTGTTCCCACCCACCACACTCCCTCCCCAGTTCTATCCCAGCTCCTTAAACTGTTGGAGTTCAAACCTCAGACCATGACAGCACACAGGCCTGGACTCCGGTATGGCCCTGGACAAGTTCCTTAATCTCTCTGAGCCTCAGCTTTCTTCCACGTGAAGCAGCGGTAACATTGTTATTAGGAGCCTCCCGGCCCCAGCACACCGACATACATACAACTGGATATCCATCCTGCCTGTGAGGAGTCGTCTTTACTTTGGGTTGTTTCTTGTCCACAGAGGTCCACACTTTATTTTCCTGGAGGCACCAGCGGAGTCACTGATGCACCCCTGCATCCAGCATGTTTAAGGGAGACAGCCTGGGGAGGGCAGGAAGAGCCTAGAGGGTCCCCTAGTGATTAGGGCTGTGATGGGGATGTTACTGGAAAAGGGTCCCTATCCAGACCCTAAGAGAGGGTTCTTGGACCTCCTGCAAGAAGGAATTTGGGGCAAGTCCATAAAGTGAAAGCAAGCTTATTAAGAAAATAAAGGAATGAAAGAATGGTTACTCCATAGGCAGAGCAGCGGCAGGAGCTGCTCGACTGACTATACTTACAGTTATTTCTTGATCATATGCTAAACAAAGCGTGGATTATTCATGAGTTTTCCGGGAAAGGGGTGGGCAATTCCTGCAACTGAGGGTTCCTACCCTTTTTAGACCCTATAGGGTAACTTCCTGATGTTGCCATGGCATTTGTAGACTGTCCTGGCACTGGCAGGAGTGTCATTTAGCATGGAAATACATTATAATTAGCATATAATGAGCAGTGAGGATGACCAGAGGTCACTTTCGTCACCATCTTGGTTTTGGCTGGCTCCTTTACTGCATCCTGTTTTATCAGCAAGGTCTTTGTGACCTGTATCTTGTGCGGACTTTCTATCTCATCCTGACTTAGAATGCCTAAGCTAGTGGGAATGCAGCCTCACAGGTCTCAGCCTTATTTTACCCAGCCCCTATTCAAGATGGAATCACTCTGGTTCGATCACCTCTGACAGGGGCAGTGTACATTCACATCTTGGCCTTTGCTGCCTCATCCTTCCAGATCTTTCAGATGCTTGCCCTCTGGCATTCTAGGATAGGAAGACTGCTTCCAAAGTGACGCAGGATTTTTCTCGGACACTTTTCCAACTGCAGACTTCTGGCTGACGATGCCCCTGCCCATGCCTAGCTCTGCCCCAGGCAGGAGGTGCCCTGCCCACTTGGGCTTGCACTCTGGTGGGGATCCTGCAGCCACCGAGACTGCATGCTCAGCCCCAGTAGGAGGGGGTGTGTGATCAAGTGAGTGCCTCATCTTGCCAGCAACTCCAAGTGCTGGCGCAGGAGCGGGCTCCCTTTGGGGCCTGCAGCTGGATCAGGCCTGTCGGAAGTGACTCCGGGGGTGAACTCTGGCATGCAGATGAAGGGAACTTGGTGGCACCCAAACAGGAAAGCACTCGACTCTGAAGCCCCAGAGGGGATGTTACAGCCATGCTAACAGCTCTTTTAGTCCCACCGTCAGCAGCCTGACAAACGGGCATGTTAACAATGAATGGGGGGTGTGTTAACAACTCTGTCAGTCCTGTTGCCTGCTCCTGCTGGAGGCTCCCTGGCTGGCCTGGCCCTGCACTGCCTCTCATGGCAAGGGGCTGCCACTGGGCACAGGTAGTGGGGGAGGGGTGGAGGGCTATGGTGTTACTGCCTTCTTCGTACCCTTTGCTGACAATGGAAGGGTGAAAAGGGCAGAGAAGAGTTTTATGAAGCAATGAAACAGCTCTCAGCGGAGAGGGGATGCGAGGGTGGTCCCTGACCTGAAGTCGGGTGGTCTCTCTCCCAGCGTGGCTGGGTCCGGGGCTTTTATGGGCTCAGAAGTGGGGACTGCATGCTGATTGGTTTACGAGTATACAAAAAAGGCTAAAACAAAGGAACCATTCAAAGGTGGCATGACAGTGTAGAAAACCACCTAGGGAAGGGTAGATATATGTAAAGTAAGTGAAGGGTGGGGATCAGTCAGAGGAAAGTGCACCAACAGGAAGAGATGTTCTCAGCTCAGTCCATGGATTTATCCAAGACTTGTAGCTTAGCTTTCGGGCTTTAAACTGCCTTCGGTTTGAAAGTTGGATTTCGTTGGGGACATGCCACTATCTGCCTAGGGGCTTGTCTGACTCCTGCCACTATTAAAAGTACTAAATCAGTGCATCTAGCCTGAGGGCTGCCCCTCGTCCACCCAGCAGAGGTTTTTGTTTTGTTTTGTTTTTCTTTTGTTTTAATTAAAATTTTAATTAAAAGGGACTAATATAGAGGGTTTTTAAAAAATTACCATATGTGTTGAGTATTTATGCTATGCCAAGCACTTTGCATATATTTTCTCATTTAATCCTCTAAATAGCGAGGTTGATTGCCTTATCTCCATCCTATAGATGAGAAAGCTGAGACTGAGAGAAATTAAGAAACCCACATGAGGTCATGTTGTATGTAAGTTAGTTTTTGCTGCATCATAAACCACCCGTTTATGATTTCAAACAGGTAATACTTGTTTCTCAATAACTGGATGGGGGCTGGATGGCTAAGGGGCCTCATATTTTAGGGACAGGAGGAGCTCATCGTCAGCTGGGTGATGGGAATGTGACCACAAGTCTCATTATCCAGGAGAGCTTGAACATAGGGGTTGAGTTTCAAAAGCAGCATAAGGGCAGCAACACAAGAACTTCCCATGTCTCACTTATGTCATATTTGCTATTCTCCCATTGGCCAAAGCAGGTCACAAGGGCATGGCCAGCCGGTATGGAAGGGGACAACCAAAGGGGTAGACACAGGGAGTGAGAATTGCTGCCATTTTCCCCAACAAAGAATCTACCATCCATAGCTTCTAAGTGTACAGCTGGAAATCAAAACTAAGTTTGTCTTACTTGAAAGTTCAAAACTGTCTTGGAGCTACTGCCCGGGGTCTAGGAATCCAGAACATTCCACACATTGCCTAAGTCAACAACCTGTTGCGCACACACACCAGCAACTGTTTTACAAAAGTATGTGGATCTGGTTGTCATTGATAAAATGCAAATTAATTTAGATGTATTATTCAATTCATAGTATAATTTTGTTGTATTTTCAAATCAACAGATATTTACATCATTTCAAAGCAGCTCTTCACAAATTATTCATTAGTTACAAAAGGAAGTCACTTCACAGTGGAAAAATCTGGCAGGCGCCACCTTAATCAAGTAACCAAAATGAACATCCTCAGTAATAGGACAAATTGCAATCGTGTGCCTCCTGATAGTCTAGCAAGAAGAACACAGCATCACTTCTATGATGCTCCTGCCAATAATACATAATTGGAATCTAATCCTAAAGCAACAAATTCAAATTAAGGAAAATTCTACAAAATAATTGGCCTGTAATAGAAGTGTAAAGTCATGAAAGTTAAGGAAAGACTGAAGAACTGTTCCAGACTGAAGATGAAAGAGACGTGAGAAATAAGTGCAGTGGTGATTCTGAACTGGATCCTGACTTGGCAAAACTTGAATAGATCTGTTGGTTGGATGGTAGAAATCTATTAATGTTGATTTCCTGATTTTGCTAGCTATATTACAATTTTATTGCATTCAGTCCTTGTTTATAGAAGACATACAGTATGTAGGGGTTATAGGGAGTCAGGTCAGGAACTTTCAAATCATTTAGCAAAACAAAAGTTCTTTGTACTTTAATTCCAAGACTTCTATAAATTTGAGATTATTTTAAAAATACTTAAAAAAAAACTCCTTTAAAGTCTCTCAACATGCTGTCCTATTAATAGATTTCTAAATTTGTTTTTATTTTTATCAAGGTTTTGTGTGCCCATAGTTTGAAGTATTAAATCTTTTTTTATTTATTAAAATATTTTTTAATGTCCATTCAGAGGTAATGAAGTGTTAGGTTTTTTTTTTTTGTTTTGTTTTGTTTTTTTTTTTTTTGAGACAGAGTCTCGCTCTGTCACCCAGGCTGGAATGCAATGGTGCAATCTCGGCTCACTGCATCCTCTGTCTCCCAGGTTCAAGCAATTCTCCTGCCTCAGCCACCCGAGTAGCTGTGATTACAGGCGCCCGCCATTGTGCCCAGCTAATTTTTGTATTTTTAGTAGAGACAGGGTTTCACCATGTTAGTCAGGCTGGTCTCGAACCCCTGACCTCAGGTGATCCACCCGCTTTGGCCTCCCAAAGTGCTGGGATTACAGGTGTGAGCCACTTTGCCTGGCTTGAAGTGTTAGTTTTATCTTTTTTTTTTAAAGAAAAGTAGTTCCCTTATCTCCACTTTCCCCCTTTCCTGCACCTCAGAGGCAACTGCTTTCAGCTGATTACTTTGACAGGTATGACCTTATTTCCACGTAATTGCTTATGTCATTATTTTTTTCTTTTTGAGGTAGGGTCTTGCTCTGTTGCCCAGGAGTGCAGTGGCGCACTTGTAGCTCACTACAACCTTGAACTCCTGGGCTCAAATGATCCTCTGGCCTCAGTCTCCTGATAAGCTGGGACTACAGGTACATGCTACCATGCCTGGCTAATTTATTTTCGCAGAGACAAGGTCTCACTATGTTGCTTGGGCTGACCTCTAACTTCTAGGCTCAAGTGATCCTCCCGCCTCGGCCTCCCAAAGTGTTGGAATACAGGTGTTGAAATCAAGTTTAGCCTAAAGCCGCCTCCTTATATATTTAAGTTTGGCCTAAAAGTTTGTCTGTATATTGTGACAAGTGGAGGTGTAAACAGACTACACTTGTGCCAATCACTGAGTTTTGGCCAATCAAATGTAGCCAACTGTTCAAACCATGTTCAGATAAGGCAAATGCCAAGCTGCAGCCAAACCCAGCTGTTTCTGTACCTCACTTCCATTTTCTGTCCATAAACCTTCCACCGCATGACTGTGCTGGAGTGTCCGAGCCTACTCTGCCTGGGAAGGCTGCCCGATTCTTGAACTGTTTGTTGCTCAATTAAACTCCTTTAAATTAAAAAAAAAATTGTATTTCTCTACTCTAGCAATGAACACTTCAAATTAAGACAATTCCATTGATAATTGCATCAAAAAAGAAAATGCTTAGAAATTAATTATTCAAAAAGAGCAAAAGTTATACCCTAAAACTACAAAACATACTTGAAAGAAGGTAAAAAAAAAAAGGAGTAAATAAATGACAAGACACCAATGTTCAGAGATTGGGAGACATTATTAAGATGGCTTTCCAAATTGATATACAGTCACCATGTCTCTATAGAAATCTCAACAGCCTTTTCTGTGGAAATTGACAAGCCCATCCAAAAATTCATGTGGAAATGCAAGGGACTCCTGATAGTCAAAGTAATCTCAAAAGTGAAGAGCAAATATGGAGTATGCACACTTCTCTATTTCAAAATTTACTACAAAGCTATAGTAATAATTACAGACTTGTACTGGCATAAGGATACACATATAGACCAATGGGATACAGCTAAGAGTCTAGAAATCAATGTTTACATTAATAGTTGATTTTCAACCAGAATGCCAAGGCTGTTCAATGGAAATAATAGTCTTTTCAACAAATGGTGTTGGGAAAACTGGATGTCACATGCTAACGACTGAAACTGGACCCTTTCTTCATATTTTATACAAAAAGTTACCTCAAAAATATATACTAAAATTTAATAGATAAAATTATAAAACTCTTAGAAGAGAGCATAGGGGAAAAAAATCTTCTTGACTTTAGCTTTCTTAGATATGACACCAAAAGCACAAGCAACAAAAGAAGAAAATAGATAAGTTGGACTTCCTATAATTTATACATATATGAATATATCACATTGTATCCCATAAATACACACAGTCATTATTTGTCAATTGAATTTTTTTTTAAAGAAAAAAAAAATTTTTTTTGAGGTGGAGTCTTACTCTGTCACCCGGGCTAGAGTGCAGTGGTGTGATCTTGGCTCTCTGCAATCTCTGCCTCCTGGGTTCAAGCAATTCTCGTGCCTCAGCCTCCCCAGTAGCTGGGATTACAGGTATGCGCCACCACACCAGGTTAATTTTTGTATTTTTAGTAGAGACGGGGTTTCGCCATGTTGGCCAGGCTTGTCTTGAACCCCTGACATCAGGTGATCTGCCCACCTCGGCCCCCCTAAATGCTAGGATTACAGGCCTCAGCCACTGTGCCTGGCCAGAATTTTTGTAGTTCCAAAGATGCTACCAAGAAACTGAAAAGACGACACACAGAATGAGAGAAAATATTTGCAAATCATATATCTGATAAGATATTATATCCAGAATGTATAAAGAACACTTACCACTCAATAATAAAAAGACAAATAACCTAGTTTAAAAATGAGCAATAAATGTGACTAAAGATTTTTCCAAAGATTGGCCTGTGTGCTCATAGGAAGATGATCAACATTATTTGTCATTAGAACAATATAAATCAAAACCACAAAAAAGGCTGGGCATGGTGGCTCACACCTGTAATCCCAGCACTTTGGGAGGCTGAGATGGGCAGATCACTTGAGGTCAGGAGTTCGAGACAAGTCTGGCCAACATGGCAAAACCCTGTCTCTACTAAAAATACTAGCTAAAAATTAGCTAGCTAAAAAATTAGCTAGCTAAAAATTAGCTAGGCATGGTGGTAGGTGCCTGTAATCCCAGGTACTTGGGAGGCTGAATTTTACTTTTAGATGGATAAAATGTACATTATATAAACTATATGTCAATACAGCTATGTATTTTTTTAAAGTACAAACTATTTTTTTAAATACAAAAACATTACATAGCGTGAACTCCATGGCACAGCTGCCATACTGAAGGAATTATACTGTGTTTAAAAACCTGATTAAAAATTAAGTTTTTAAAAAATGGGGTCATTAAATTTTATTTTAAGGTTTTAACAGTTCTTTACCCAAGCCAAACATTTTATCTACAGTTGCCCAAGGAAATGCAGTAAGCGGGTTACTTAATTTCCTCCCTGTGGCAATCCTTGGCTCTCGCCCTTCTTAACACTTTATTAATGCAAGTCAGCAACTGCTAGTTTTACATCTTATCTTTCATCAATGTTTAAGAGATAGCAAGTCTAGGGCTCATTATGATCTGCTAATATAGTTCTTAACAAGACACTTAGCTTCCATAGTTATTTGCCAATGAAGCAAGAAAGTGGTACCACTTCATCATTATTCTGATTTTATTGGAGAGAGTGAATGTGTGAGTTTACTGAGGGAAGCAGCCCAAGGAAGTGGGATGGGACAAATTCTACAACAGAGATCACCCATAGACAAGGAGTGGACCCATGAAACTTAAAGACGTAGCGATTTAGGGAGTGACTTTACATCCTAGGATTAATGTCTTTGGGGGTTTATGATTAATATTTAGTTCCTTGTTGCCATGTAACAGAAGATGTAAATGGGTTGCTGTGGTGAGTCATATTATAATTTTGGTTTTTTTTTTTTGAGACGGAGTCTTGCTCTGTCTCCTATGCTAAAGTGCAGCGGCGTGATTTTGGCTCACTGCAACCTCCGCCTCCCTGGTTCAAGTGATTCTCTTGCCTCAGCCTCCCGAGTAGCTGGGACTACAGGTGCCCACCACCACGCCCAGCTAATTTTTGTATTTTTGGTAGAGACAGGGTTTCACCATATTGGCCAGGCTGGTCTTGAACTCCTGACCTCGTGATCTGCCCGCCTCGGCCTCCCAAAGTGCCGGGATTACAGGCGTGAGTCACCGCGCCCAGCCAATTTTGGTTTTAATTAGAAACTAGATAGGATGCATACCAAATATATATTATGACGTGTCCCCACCCCCTGCCAAATAGACACATATACATTGTCTCCTTATCTTTTCTCCAATCACAGTATCTATTTCACTCACAACTTTTATGCAAAATCATGAAATAAAAATAATTTTAAAAATTATTAATCTTCAAAATCTTAAAAATTATTAATCAAATGGATAAATTTGATATATGTGATATTATTTGTCTTTGGTAATTTTGTAAAGACTTTTAAACTGTTTTTAACATTCAAAAGGAAAGACACATCTCTCTCTTTTAATGTAGAAAGTCAGTCTTGGTTATTTACAGCATACATGGGGGGCCTTATCTGATTCTCCAATCCCTGGAAAAATAGAGTTGAATGCTCATTTGATCCTATTCCACATGCTACTGGTTTCCCTCCTGTTCACCCTGCTCCAGCCTTGAGGATGTTCTTGTTGAAATATCACCATCCAAAGCTCTTCCTCTATCAGGCTTTTGCATTTGCTGTTCCCTTTTCCACATCTTCTCAAGGCTGGATCTTCTTTAGTTTTCAGCAAAATGTGAACTCTGTGAAGAGGCCTCCCTGACCACTCAATTAGCCACTGCCCCATGACTAGTTTTTTTTTTTTAACTTCCTTAAAGTGCTTTAACTTCCTCAAGCCCTTATTATTATTCTTTGAGTGCATTTTGATTATTTGTTTCTTGTTTATCATCTAGAAGTAGATGACAACTTCATGACAACAGGAACATAATCCTCATGAGGGCAGGCATTTTACTAGTATTGTTCACGATTACTCTCCCACTCCCATGTCAAATTCTGTGCTGTAATAGGCATTCAATAAATAATGGAATGAATGAACGACAGACAAATGTCACACATCATGCCACCTGATGTTATAACATCCAATGTTGATAACCGAACAGAAGCAAAATTAAAGGCCATGAGATATTGGAATGGTCACACTGATTAAAGGCTTTGTGGGCTACACCTCATTGCACACATTTATCAATGACTGAATTAAGGTGATATTTAGCAGTTTGATATTACCTATGAAAACAAACCAAATGGATGTAGCATGCTTTCTTTTTTTGAAACATATTTAATAATTGATTTCAATCATTTTCAATCTGAATTTTAATATACTTTTAACAACAGATTTCATAGTTTGGTCTTGTTTTTCTTGTTTGTTTAGTGACTCGTTTACTTGAGCATTAATATTAAGCCAGTTCTTTGTGTAGTTATATGTAGAAGTAGCCATCAACTCCCAAGCACCAACTCCAGGCCAGTTCAAATACGGAAGACTCACTTGAATTCCTGCATCTCAATGATGGTACAGCCTGGAGCCCTTCTGTCCTCCATACCAACAGGCATTTACAGCTGATTTGGTTGTTTGGCAGCGAATCTCTGTCCTGCTGCCTTCAAGCTGCCATTTCATTTCTTCAATATGGAGACAGGAAATGTGGCTTACCATCAGCAACAAGCTAGTAGTAATCATCCTCATGGAAGACACAAAAACGTTTGTCAAGAGGGTCCAAAGTTTGTAGCTGGTGAGAATGTACAGGAAAGAAGGAAGGAAGGAAGAGAGGGAGGGAGGGTGGAAGAGACAGAGGGAGGGTGGAAGAAAGGGAGGAAGGAAGGAAAGAGGGAGGGAGTAAGAGAGTAAGAGAGAGAGTCTGAGAAAGATAGAGGTGGACTCCACACATACCAGCAAAACAAACTCATGAGGTAGAACTTTTTAGCATTTAAGCTTTGACCAGCATCCAGATGATTTTCTTTTCTTTTCTTTTTTTTTTTTTGAGACACAGTCTTGGGCCATCTCCCAGGCTGGAGTGCAATGGCACGATCTTGGCTCACTGCAACCCCCTCCTCCTGGGTTCAAGCGATTCTCCTGCCTCAGCCTCCCAAGTAGCTGGGATTACAGGTGCCTGCCACCAAGCCTGGCCACCACGCCATCACTTCTCCATGTTGGCCAGCCTGGTCTCGAACTCCTGACCTCAGTTTATCCACCCTCCTCAGCCTTCCAAAGTGCTGGGATTACAGGCGTGAGCCACCGCACCCGGCCTCAAATGATTTTCAAATGTACTCAGCAATGCAAAACTATCATCCCGAATTCTTAATTTGGTGCATTTTGCTTAAAGGAATGTAAGTTGACAAATGGTATGTGTAATTTCCCCTGTGGTTTCCCTCTTCAGAGTCTGTGCTCCCTGCATTGAATAATGAGATGTAAGTTTAGGAAATGCCTCCATGGTGTTCATTATACTTTGTGTATTTTCCCTGAGACAGGAAACAGAGGACTGTCTGTCAAAGAAAGTAATTTTTATAAATTCACAGCCAACGGGGAATATTCCTTTCATTTTTTTTAGCTAAATCTGTGATTTAACAAATGTAGTGTTTGTCAGCAAGGAGATTGAAACCATTATGTCTTTCTCTACCTGTTGATAATGATATTGCAAGTGGGAAGTCGCAAATATATTGGCATCAATAGCAACACGGCAAGCAGATGAAGCTCCAAAACTCATCACCCACTTTGAAGCCAAATAAAAAGCCCATTTTTCTTTCTAGTTATTAATGATGTGAAACTACAGACTGTAACTGCAAATAATCATTGGCAAGGGCAACATAAAAGTTATAAATTTAGGCTTTGAAAACAAATCAAACTTGAAGGAATCCTCTGTAATTTATTCCTAAATTAAAGATTTCCTCTTTTTTTTTTTGAGTGAAAGAACTTATACGTAAGCATGGAAATGAGAACTAAATCATTTGCTGAAACAATTGTCTGAGAGTTACTTAATTCAAAACCACTCTTGTCTATGAAATAAAGCAGAACTTGATTAGCACGTAATAAAAGGCAATTAATTTAACAGACAGTAAATATATTGCTGATTCCTGAAGTCTCTGGCCCCATTTTCTCTTCAGAAAACTATTTCAACTGATAGCATTCTCTCCTTTCATTGAAGTCCTATAGTAATTAAAATCAGTTATTTAATTATATACTGCCTTGATATACAGAGTTCAGACTTTGTAGGACTATTGCTAATCATCTAAATCAGGAGTTTGGTAAACTATGGCCCAAAGAATTAAACTTGGCCATAACCATTTTTTTTTCTTTTTTTTTTTTTGAGATGGAGTCTTGCTCTGTTGCCCAGGCTGGAGTGCAGTGGCGCTATCTGGGCTCACTGCAAGCTCCGCCTCCCAGGTTCACACCATTCTCCTGCCTCAGCCTCCAGAGTAGCTGAGACTACAGGCGCCCGCCACCACGCCTGGCTAATTCTTTTGTATTTTTAGCAGAGACAGTGTTTCACCATGTTAGCCAGGATGGTCTCGATCTCCTGACCTCGTGATCCACCCACCCTGGCCTCCCAAAGTGCTGGGATTACAGGCGTGAGCCACTGCTCCCGGCCCTTGGCCATACCCATTTTTTTACATTTTATCTATGATTGCTTTCCTGTGATTGAGTTGAACAGCTGTACAGAGACATTACAGCCTCTAGAACAAAAGTAAATTTACTATCTGGCCCTTTGTTGAAATAGACCTTAAGATTGTCACGGGAAAAAATTGAATCTCCTACTCAGAGGATATTGTTTCACAAGTGCGGTCCCTAAAATGGAGCAGGGAACCCTCTTGGGGCCTGCACCCCCTCCATTCCACCACCCTGCACCCCCATGCATGGAAATAAAGGAAAATATTGAGTTCCTTCAAGGGAAATTCCAGGCACCTAGCTAACCCTGAGAAGCAAGCAACTTGATAAGCAAGAAAGTAATCACAGCTTAAAACAACAGCCAAGGAAGTTCTAGCCATAAGATATTTGAAACTAAAGGCAACATTTTAACATATGTCCCTGAGTTGTTTTTCAGAAACCCAGACTCCCTACCGAGCAGATCCGCTGGCGGGTAGAACACAGATAAGGGGGAGCTGAGGACTGAACCCCGAACTCCGTTTGTCCTTGGCTCTAAATTTATTCTTGAGGGACCTGGAGGAAGCCGTGCCCACGTGCCAGAGCTAATAATCTTTTCTGCTGACCCCAAATGTTTAAACAAACTCTTTTTTCATCAATTGCAAAACAGTCTTTGAATATACCAATGACCGGTAATCTTCTACTTCAAACTATCCCACCTTTTTAGGCCAAACCAATGTATCAGTTCACAATTTTGTTGTAACTTCTGTTTTCCTGAAATTTACCCCTGCCTTTAAAACCCTTACTTGTGGCCGGGCGCAGTGGCTGACGCCTGTAATCCCAGCACTTTGGGAGGCCGAGGTGGGCGGATCACGAGGTCAGAAGATCGAGACCATCCTGGCTAACACGGTGAAACCTCGTCTCTACTAAAAATACAAAAAATTAGCTGGGCGTGGTGGCGGGCGCCTGTAGTCCCAGCTACTCGGGAGGCTGAGGCAGGAGAATGGCGTGAACCCGGGAGGCGGAGCTTACAGTGAGCGGAGATCGCGCCACTGCACTCCAGTCTGGGTGGCAGAGCCAGACTCCATCTCAAACAAAACAAAACAAAACAAACTCTTACTCGCAAGCCATCAGGAGGTCAGGTGTAAAGCAGGAGCTGCTATATTCTCCTTGCTTGGCACCCTGCAAATAAACACCTCTTTTCTCCTGCTGCAAACCTTGGTGTGGGTGTTTGGCCTGACTGCGCTGGGCAGGCAGACCCAGCTTAGGAGTGAAAACATCCCAGACCAGCAGCATGAGCACCACCTAGCAAGTTGTCAGAAATATAAATTCCAGGCTGGGCAGAGTGGCTCACACCTGTAATCCTAGCACTTTGGGAGGCCGAAGCTGGTGGATCACCTGAGGTCAGGAAGTCAAGACCAGCCTGGCCAACATGATGAAACCCCGTCTCTGCTAAAAAAATACAAAAATTAGCCAGGGTGGTGGCGGGCTCCTGTAATCCCAGCTACAAGGGAGACTGAGGCAGGAGAATCGCTTCAACCCAGGAGGTGGAGGTTGCAGTGAGCCCCTGAGATCATGCCATTGTGCTGCAGCTTCAGCAACAAGAGCGAAATTTTGTCTCAAAAAAAAAAGAAAAAAAGAAAAAAAGAAGACTGACCATGTTGAGAGGTGAAGCCAGCTGGGCTTCTGGGGCAGGTGGGGACTTGGAGAACTTTTATGTCTAGCTAAAGGATTGCAAATGCACCAATCAGCACTCTGTAAAATGGACCAATCAGCAGGATGTGGGCAGGGCCAAATAAGGGACTAAAAGCTGGCCACCCAAGCTAGCGTCAGCAACTCGCTTGGGTTTCCATCCAGGCTGTGGAAGCTTTGTTCTTTTGCTCCCCACAGTAAATCTTGCTGCTGCTCACTCTTTGGGTCCGCCCCACCTTTAAGAGCTGTAGCACTCGCCACGAAAGTCTGTGGCTTCACTCCTGAAGTCCGTGAGATCACGAGCCCATGGGAAGGAGGAAACTCCTGACACACCATCTTTAAGGGCTGTAACACTCACGGCGAGGTTGGCTGCTTCATTCTTGAAGTCAGCAAGACGAAGAACCCACCACAAGGAATAAATTCCGGACACAATGTTACCTGTCATTTAAAATGTAGCCACTTCTCCTCCCTTTCCTGGTCTCTCCTTGTTCCTATTGGAAGTTACCTCTAACACTTCCATTTGTTTAATATCATAAAGTTGCAAGAAACGTACAGAGAGAGAAAAAGGTTCTAACTTTTCTTAAGATAATATGGGTGTATATATACGCAAATATATATATAATGCTTGTATAAATTAACATTTATTATCTTCTATGATATGATAAGGCATATCACCAAGTAATCTGGAATATCAAAATATCAGCATCAGCTCTCTCTGTTTCAATACGTATAAACTAGGTAGTTCACTAGGAACTTTGAATACATTAGCTCTGACCTTTACAACAGTTCTATGGAAAAAAAATAGTTATCTCCTTTTAACAGAGGAAGAAAATTGATTTTTCAGGGTATTTCCACTCTTACCTCAGTTTCCTCATATGTAATGTGGGATTGACTCAGTCATCTGCTTGAAAGAAGACGGGCAAATCTGGTCCTCTGAAGAGGGAAAGGGGAGATGAGTGAAAATGAACAGAGGAAGCCAAAAAAAAAAAAAAACACACACAAGCACACACCAAAAATAAAGAGGAGACCCATTTTAACAGGCATATAACAAGTCAGTTTTATCTCTTTATTTTTTTATTTTGTATTTTTTTTTGAGACTGAGTCTCACCCTGTCGCCCAGGCTGGAGTGCAGTGGCACAATCTTGGCTCACTGCAACCTCCACCTCCCGGGCTTAAAGGATTCCCTTGACTCAGCCTCCAGAGTAGCTGGGATTACAAGTGTGCACCACCATGCCTGGCTAAGTTTTTGTATTTTTAGTAGAAAGGGAGTTTCACTGTGTTAGCCAAGATGGTCTCGATCTCCTGACCTCGTGACCCACCCACCTCGGCCTCCCAAAGTGCTGGGATTACAGGCATGAGTCACCACCCCCGGCCGAAACCTTAATTTTATGAAATGTTTTTTATGTTCCAGACCTTAACTGATGAGCTTTTAAAACTAACTTCTAAATTTGAAATGTATATTTAATTATGGAATACGCTTTAATGTAATCTTTTGGGATAATCACCTAATATTTTGCCTTGGCATTAGGCATGGAGCATTTGTCTGGGTGATCACATGGAGGGCCCTGCCTCAGTTTACCTCCCTCATTGACCTGCTTGTTGACTAAATTATCATAACTTGATCACAATTCCTTTGAAGCTGCCTGAATCAAAGCCACTGATCTGCAGATAAAATCAAAATACACATTCAGTGTTACACACAAAGTAACATTGCCTTATATACTGTATCTACACTTTATTGAGAACTGGAAATTCCATAAAGATGGAGAGGCATTACTGAAGGCAAGCAAGCAAAACTCTAGCATGCAGTCAGACTCATGGCAGGAATTAGGCATGATCTACCTTGTCCTCACCCTTGGGGCACTGCCTGCATGTCTGTAGGCCTCGGCCATGCCCAGCTCCTGTGGCTGCCTGGAAAGTGTGGGTTTGGCCAGTTGCTGCCATCACTACTCCTCAATAGGTCCTGGATCTCAGAATTTGCCTGGTAGTCCTGGGCCCACCTGCTGATGTTCAGGATAAAGGGAGTGGGGAGAAGGGGTCATTCTGCTTCCTTCACGTGGAAGTGCAGGTGTTAGTTTTGGGGGACTGGACAGCAAAGAGCATGGTTCCTTGACTCCTGGGTCATGGGGTGTCTGGCCACTTCCACATCGTTGCCACTCACTCCTAGTGATACACCAGGCACCAGAGGCTCCACTCCTGAGGCACATGCCCCGGCTGCCTCAACACTGGCCCTTCCCCCCACCTTGGATGAGCTCCTGTTGCTTCAGCATGAGCAGGGCTCACTCTTTCACTCTGCAGCAGGCCTAGGCTGTGCTGGCTTCTGAGATGCCCCGGGGCACCTGCTGGGAAGTGGGGTGTATGTGCGTGAGGCGCCAGTGTTGGTCCATTCTCGCTGGGCAGCCTTATTTTCCCAGCTTTTTCCTTGTGCCGCCCTCAGCCTTTTGTCTCTCATGACTTCCCTTTCAGGTCACACCACTTTGCTGCTTGATCCTTGAGTGTTAGCAACCCTTCCCTGCTCTGGGACTCAGTTTACCTTTTGTTGGTCTAGAGGGGCAGGACAGGTGATTTCTTCCCAGCTTGACTCCAGATCAATAGCTTGCCCTCCCCTGGTGACAGCAGAGAGATCTGTGAATCACTGCCCACCCTCACCCCCACTCCTGCCCCTCGGCATACTCCCCGCCCCAGGTCTTCCCAGGTCACCTGCTCTTAGGCTCCACCACACCCCTGCAGGTCAGCCTCTCCCAGCAGCCTTCCCGTAGACTCCTTCTCCTCTCTCCCCCTCTCTTTCCTGTAGAGGCTTTGGAGCCCATCAGCCCGAGGACCAGGACTCCACCGCCCTGCACCCCTCTTGCGCCAGGATGGCCCCAAACTTCGGCAGATGCTCTGGCTCTAAAACTTGGACCAGCACCAGGTACCCCAGGCAGGGCCCTAGTTCTGCTGTCCTGCCCTGAAGGCCATGTTCGGTGGCTGGCCTAGCCTGATGGGAACATGTACAGTCAGGAAATCTCTCCACAGCTCCAGGCCCAGGTAAATGGTTCTCAATACTCTGGTCCAAGGGACTGGTCCTTTGAGGTCAGGAGCACATCTCAGCTTCAAGGAAAGCTGAAAAACATGCAAGACTCTATTGCCAGGAGAATTTATTTTTATTTTTTCTTTGTGTTATTATTATTTTTTCTTTATCTGCCTTTTTTTTCTTTTTTTTGTTTTGTGATGGAGCCCAGGCGGGAGTGCAGGGGCATGATCTTGGCTCACTGCAACCTCCGCCTCCTGGGTTCAAGTGATTCTCTTGCCTCAGCCTCCCCAGGTAGCTGAGACTACAGGCGTGTGCCACCAAGCCCAATTAATTTTTTTTTCTTTTTTTTTTTTTAGCAAAGATGGGGTTTCACCATGTTGGCCAGGCTGGTCTCAAACTCTTGACCTCAGGTGACCTGCCTGCCTTGGCCTCCCAAAGTGCTGGGATTACAGGTGTGAGCCACCTCACCTGGCCCTGGGCCAATAATTTTTTAATAACTCCTACCATAATATTTTTGTTTGTTATTTATTTGATAAATATGATAGACTAAAAATAAATTAGCAAGGCCGGGTGCGGTGGCTCACGCCTGTAATCCCAGCACTTTGGGAGGCCAAGGCAGGCAGATCACCTGAGGTCAGGAGTTTGAGACCAGCTTGGCCAACAGGGTACTAAAAATACAAAAATTAGCCAGGCGTGGTGGCAGGTGCCTGTAATCCCGGCTACTTGGGAAGCTGAGGCAGGGGAATCACTTGAACCCGGGAGGCGGTTCTGTTTGCAAGTATAGTTGTAACTGCAACCCAAAATGTCTTAGAAACTTGCTATTTGAAGTATTGTCATCACCTGGGATCTTGCTAGAATCTGCATTTAACAACATTCTCAGGCAATTTTAATGATCATTAGGTTTGAAAAACACTGCCTTAAAACAAAGGAAAGAATGGCAGGCAAGTTTCAATTCTAAGCATGCTATATTGTATGTTCTTGGGCAAATTCCACTAAGTCTGAATTTTAAAACAGTTAACTATGGGTAGTAATGAATGAAGTGTCACCTTGTAAAGCTACTTTGAGAAATCCAAGTGTTGGCAAACCCTTTGCAAAAATAAAGTTGCTGAACATATTCTAATACAGTTATGTTGGGCTCCTGTTCTTATGAGGCAGAGAAAATTATGCTTTAATCAGAGCTTCTAAGTCACAATCACTGGAATCTATTATTAGCCTTTAAGTCCTCATTCTTGAGACAGCACCATGTCTATTCTTGGTTGCTGGGAAACTGATTATGCTCTTCAAATAGAAACTGCAGCAGCAGATGAACTTTAAGAAAATATAATCATGTTTGTAAGAAGAAAAATTTAATAAAGGAAGAAATGAAGCAAAGGAAACTCATAAACTGATCTGTTTTGAAATTCCATTTCTGCCCTCATGATAGCATTATTGACTTAATAATGAAGCAATGTTACTCATTCACAATTGTACAGCAATGGCCAAAGACTGAATGACCTCTATTTTCTGAAATTGTTTCATTCACAGAGTTCACTCCTGATGGGAACATCCAGAGACATCTTCAGAGAGCTTTGCTTTGACCCCCACCCCCCAACATTTTAAGGCATGGATCTGGAAATAATGTAGTTGGTTTACAAAGGTAAGTCTTATTTTACAATTGCATATTCCACAAAGGCATTTCACTTTCAAAGCTCCTCCAAGACAATTACCTCCAGATTGAGACACACCCTGCTCCTGAATTCATGCCTGCATACCAGCCATTCTTAATCACCTTCCTTTTTAATCCAGTTGGAAAATAAAATGTTTCCTTGTTCTCTGAATGTACAGTACTCAGATGTACAGTGAAAATGATTGATGCTGAAACCGCCTATAAATTCTTTGATTCCATCAGCTTTTCTCTTTCTACTGGCCATTTCCCATTAGTGTTTAAACTTAAGACTCACACATCTCCCATCAAATAAACCCCCTTCACCCTACTTCACCGATTTCAGTATTTTAGCTTCTCCTCTCCTTATTGACTTCCCATTTATCTTTCAGTCCATCCTGCTCTATTTTCACTTCTACAATTGCACAGAAATGTCTCTGATAAAAGTTCCCAGCATACACTTTGGAACTGATATTACTTGATCTCACTTCAGTGGTAACAATATGCTGCTGATGGAAGTACCACAGAACTCACAAAAAGCTTTTACTTCTCCAGGAAATTTCATCATGTCTGTCTAGACCCAACAAAGCCAAACCCTGAACAATGGCCATTTCAGCCTCCATTTGACCCAAGCCAACTTATATTGAATAAACTAATGCTTTAAAAATTATAATGAGCCAGGCATGGTGGCTCATGCCTGTAATCCCAGCATTTTAGGAGGCCGAGGCGGGTGGATCTCTAGAGGTCAGGAGTTCAAGACCAGCCTGGCCAACATGGTGAAACTGTATCTCTACTAAAAATACAAAAATTAGCTAGGCGTGGTGGCACCCACCTGTAATCCCAGCTAGTAGAGAGGCTGAGGTGGGAAAATCGCTTGAACCCAGGAGGCAGAGGTTGCAGTGAGCTGAGATCACACCACTACACTCCAGTCTGAGTGACAGAGCAAGACTGTCTCCAAAAATAATAATAAATAAATAAATAAATAAATAATGAAATTCAATTGATAATGATGGAAATCAACCAATAAACCTACAATACTTTAAGATTCTTTTTAAAAGAAAACAATATATTTTTATTAGAAAAAGTAAAGGATTTATTCATAATAAGTAAATCTTGGTTTCAGAGCTCTTAATTTACTGATTGACTGTGATCAGATGCCAGTGGGAATGTGTCTGTAGCACCATTACTCACATGAGGGAGTATTTTAACCCTTTATATATACATCACTAATAGTGGAACCTTGAAGAAGTCCATTTCTCAATATTGATATAAATTATAATTTATATTGACACACTAGTTTTTTTTCCCATAAGTTTTATATTGAATCCAAGAAAGCTTTATCAGTGTCTGACACCAAGACATATGCTTTAACCGTAATGTGTTTGGAATGTCCACAGTATATTCCACGGTGTGTGAATCTTTAGCTTTAGAAATTAGCTTTGACAAGGGAGAGGTCCTGAATTATCCAACAACAAAATTGAATTATTGTATAAGATGTAGCGCCCATACCTGCAGGGCATGTGAAGCTCAGTGATTGGATAATAAGACTTTTACTAATGTTATGGAACCTGGGATAAGCATTGCGATAGAACCAGGAAGACTGTTGTAGTTCTTTTATGACTCAGAAACAGTATGATGACTTATAACTAAAACTTTGTTCATACAAGGCCAGCACTCTTCTAATGATGCAATATGCATTTGATTTATCCATTGTTACTATTGTCCACATGAAAAGCAAAAATTGACGTAATGTTTATGATTTAAATAATGTAATATATAATTATAATAGTAATAAAAGCATATATAATAATGTTTATATTATGAGTACGTTAGGTGGGGTTTCCTTCTTTTCCCTTCAAAGCTGGATAAAATTGAATTATATAGCCAATAACATGCCCTGTGCAAGTCTAATACTCTCTTGAAAAGTGAAATCTCTCAGGTAAGCCAAAGTTTCATTGTCACCTCTGGCTAAAAATTTCTACTTCTAGTACGTGTGAGATTTTTTTTTTTTTTTTTTTTTTGAGACTGAGTCTTGCTCTATCACCCAGGCTGGAGTGCAGTGGCATGATCTCGGCTCACTGCAACCTCCACCTCCCGGGTTCAAGCGATTTTTGTGCTTCAGCCTCCCAAGTAGCTGGGATTATGGGCGCCAGCTACCATGCCCAGCTAATTTTTGTATTTTTAGTAGAGATGGGGTTTCACCATGTTGGCCAGGCTGGTCTCAAACTCCTGACCTCAAGTGATCTGCCCCACTCCCCCACCGAAAATGCTGGGATTACAGGTGTGAGTCACCGTGCCTGGCTGAGGATTCCTTTTTTAAAAGTTTCTACAGTGTTGGAAAATAATCAGGAGAGTCAGGCAATGTGAAGGAACTACTCAGATGTCACTGGCCATCTGGTTAAGAAGCACAGTGATGCCATCTTGTTCTAGGATGGCGGCAGTAGGGATGGAGAGAACATTGAGGAGCCATTCTAATTCTTCCCATTACCGTGTTTTATTTTTGTAATAGCAATGATCACTTTCTGCAATTATATTATTTCTGTGTATGTTTGGGTATTTTTTATTTATCTACTTTATTTTCATCTTCCACCATGAAAATATAAGATCGAAATGGCAGAGTAAAGATGTGCTTTGTCTTGTACACTGTATCAACAGAACTTTGACATTGCTGACAGACAGTTGATGCACATTAAATATTTGATGAATAAGTGGATGAATTAATGAATGGAAATAGAGCAATAGGGTTCGCTCTAGGGTAGTGTGGTATCATGCAAGTGGGTGTGTAAATTGGGAGAGACCTGAGCATGTTTAAATATACTGGGGAATTATGTGGTTGGAACAATAAATTAAATATTGAGATACTCAAGCAAGATGTCATGGGACCTAATACAGGAGATAAGACTATGTGATTCGCATTAAACACTCATGTAGCATGTTTATACGAGATCTTCAGACTTGCTATATAATTATTCAGCACTCAAGGTGGTGCTTAGGAAAATTGAGGAACTAAAGACTCCTTTGTGTTACCTGATCTGTAGAAATAATTTAAAACCTTGTCTAGTTTTCTTTTTTTTTCTCCTGTCATAAGCTTGTTAAGAGATTCCTCCATAGAAACTTTTTTTGGTAAAATAATAACTGCTGTTCAGTGCATCATTTCTAACAATGTGATGTTAGCTACAAATATTTAGGTAGCACATCCCTTCAAAATAGGCGCTTGTGGTCTGGGCGCAGTGGCTCACGCCTGCAATCCCAGCACTTTGGGAGGCCGAGGCAGGCGGATCACAAGGTCAGGAGATGGAGACCATCCTGGCTAACACGGTGAAACCCCGTCTCTACTAAAAATACAAAAAATTTGCCGGGCGGGGTGTCGGGCGGGTGCCTGTAGTCCCAGCTACTCGGGAGGCTGAGGCAGGAGAATGGCGTGAACCCAGGAGGCGGAGCTTGCAGTGAACCGAGATTGCGCCACTGCACTCCAGCCTGGGGGACAGAGCGAGACTCCGACTCAACAACAACAACAACAAAAAATAGGTGCTTGCGATAACTTGGAGTGCTGTTCTTACTGATGCTTTCACTTTGGTAGCTCACCTCTCCTACGGGAACTGTGTTCTCAGACATGTCATGGGGAGTATGTCATCAGCACAGCTTCATTGGTAGAGTTTACTAAAAATACAAGTTATCTGTATTTTCCTTATAAAGGCCTTCGTATAGTGTCCAATATTTTCTAACCAGATGTACAGTGAAAATGATTGATGCTTAAATACATTTTCATGGTCAATGCAACAACCGTTGAGCAAAAAAATTAACATTTATTGCAGACACTAGGCAGTTGTCAAACAATATTAATGTCATTAAATCAATAAATGGGCACAGAATAATGGAAGCAAGGTCATGGATGAACAGATGGCAGTGTAATGGAGTCAATCTTTTACTGATTTAACCACTCTCCTCTTATTTCTAATGTCCCTTCCATCACGATGAGTTCTCTTTGGGATGATGTGTATCTAACTGAAGCTCCTCCTCAACAGCTGCTGAGAATTGAGTGTTGGTGGTAATTATCCATATGATTTTTAATCAGACACTTTTCACAGATTCAAGTGGAATGATAACTCTATGGGAAATTGATAGGACAGCCAGAGTTATGCAAATTTTGGAAAAAAAATTAATCAACAGCTAATACAAATATTATGTCTAAAGGCTAACAACTGGATGATCATAATAACTCAATGGCTAATAAATAAACTAGGGAAATCCAAGCCAGAATTAGAAGTAAAAATTGGCCATTATATAATTATGACCAAGAAGTTCTTTCTTAGTTAGCAAGGGGTACAGCTGTATGTTTATTTCAAAGTAATTTTTTTGTCTGCAGTTACAATGTTGAATGAAAGGCTAAAACAATTCCTTCCTTAGCCCTTTCCTTTTGATGTGAAAAATTAACTCTCAGTACCCTCAGTAACTTTGAATATGCTTTTTATACCCTTAAAGACAAAAATAAAGTCATCATTTTTTCATTGACTGTAACTATTAATACTATATTCATGTTACTGTAGCTTTAACTGATGACTCATTTTTAGAACATATTATCATTGATCTATGGCAAATGCTTTTAAAATTCCTCAGAAGCTAATCATTTATGTTGAAAACTCACAAAACTGCACATAATATAATAGATAAAGGGAGGGCATAATGAAGTTTTCATTTGACTTATCTGGGTTTTGGGATTTACCCCCTTACAGTATGTGAGCCTATGAATAAGTAGGTGAGCTTCCAGTGCTCAAAGGTTTAATGTACAGTGTATTTATTTTTAATCTTTGTGAATTTTCTATAGAGCAGAGCTGTTTCCAGTGAATTAAACCATATTTACTTCTACTACAATATTGTAGAATGTAATTGTTACCTTTACTATATATATATATTTTTTCTTTTTTATTTATTTATTTATTTATTTATTTATTTATTTTGAAAATGAATCTTGCTCGGTCACCCAGGCTAGAGTGCAGTGGTGTGATCTCGGCTCACTGCAAACTCCACCTCCCGGGTTCAAGCAATTCTCCTGCCTCAGCCTCCAAGTAGCTGAGATTACAGGCACATGCAACCATGCCAACTAATTTTGTATTTTTAGTAGAGATGGGGTTTCGTCATGTTGGCCAGGCTGGTATCAAACTCTTGACCTCAGGTGATCCACCTGCTTCGGCCTCCCAAAGTGCTGGGATTACAGACATGAGCCACCTCACCTGGCCCCCTTTACTATATTTAAAGATGACATTGTCATGTGATGTGTATGATGAAAAGTATATCATTGAACTCTATTCTCATATGAAAGAACATCTGATTTTCTAGAAGATTTATCTGCCCCAGGTATATTCCTGTGAGAATAATACAAACCAAATTAAAATGAAGTCTGCTTTTTTTTTTCTATTCCTTATTGAGATTGAATTCAGAATTCCAAACAGGTTTGCTATTCATTTTCATCTTGACAAAATCAAAACCTAAATATTCTATGTGTCACCTACTGTGATGGGAAAGATAAAACTAATTATTTAATTATCAAACATGAGTAGGTGAATTATTTTTATTAATCAACATTACATAAACGTGTTTTGAGAATAAAATTTTGTATCCTCATTTTTTAACCAAAGACATAAAATATAACTGACATTCTGTAGCCCAATCAATGATATATACACCCAGATTGACCTTTAAGAGATTAAAAATAAATGTACGCTGCATGGTCAAATGGATTTGGAGATACATAGGCTAGTAGATGAAGCACTAGGGCTTTATGAAACTTTTTTGAGGGCCGGTGCGGTGGCTCAAGCCTATAATCCCAGCAGTTTGGGAGGCCCAAGCGGGCAGACCACTTGAGGTGAGAAGTTTGAGACTAGCTTGGCCAACGTGGCAAAACATCTTTACTAAAAATACAAAATTAGCCAGGCATGGTGGTGCACACCTGTCATCCCAGCTATTTGGGAGGCTGAGGCATGAGAATCACTTGAACACGGGAAGTGGAGACTGCAGTCAGCTGAGATTGTGCCACTGCACTGCAGCCTGGGCAACAGAGTGATACTCCACCTCAAAAAAAAAAAAAAAAAAGGTTTTTTTTTTGAGTTAGTGATACACGTTAATAAATTAATCCAGAGATTTAAAAACCACTTTTACTTTCCATGTTAAAAAAAATCAGCATACTTTCCAACTATAACCTAAAAATCTACAAAAAACTTTCCAAATTCTCAGTAAAGGAAGTATTGCAATCCACAGGAGATTATTGCTTTGTTCTAAAGACAGTTGAAACATTTTCGAATCTCTGACATTTTTTAGATCACCCTTTGCAGGGTAGGGTTCACAGAACATTTTTTTTCCTGATCATATGACATTGCCTACATAATTTTGTGATTAAATGACTTTGGAAAATCAGGATTGAGACAAGTAAACAGTCCTATCAGAACTAAATATGTTAATGTATGGCGTCCCCAAGGGGTGTGATATGCAGCATTAACTCTTAAATGTAGATAATCATGGGACTTTAATAAGCAGATACACTTTGTGAATTACTACTTTAAATATTGGTAGTAATAGATTGCTTAATCGAACTTAAATTTAAAGAGATGATGTTGGACTTCTAGTGAATGGAAGCCAAGTATTTCTATTTACTAGAAAAATGTACATGATCTATTATCCACAGTGAACTAGCAAACCTTCCATCTTGATATTTAGTTTTCATATTAATTGTATTATATTTCATCAGCTTACATTTTTTACTCACTAGGGCATACTTTTATTTTTTTCATTGCAATAGCTTATTCAATATCTGCCTATTCATATATTAAGTAATAATTTTTTTTAACCTGCATCTCACACAGAGAAATCATGAGGAAATCTCCACTCATTCTGGTCAGCATCACAGTTGCAGTATGTTGCAGGATTCCTGGGAGTCGATATGATTTTTTCTAATACACACATATGTTTCTCAGCATTGGGCAAATAACCTCTCTGGTAACTGTGCGCTTTTCTGGTTCTTCCCACCTACCAGCTCAACAGGGTATCATCTGAAAAAAGAATATGAGAAAGGCGAGTCCTATTTAGCCCAACTACTCACCCCCTAATGCGGTTCTGCTTCCGCTCAGATAATGACGTAAAAACAGTTTTTTGGTGTGTGTGGGTTTTTTGTTTTTTTTGTTTGTTTGTTTGTTTGTTTGGGACAGAGTCTTGCTCTGTTGCCCAGGCTGGAGTGCAGTGGCGTGATCTCGGCTCACTGCAAGCTCCGCCTCCCGGGTTCACGCCATTCTCCTGCCTCAGCCTCCTCAAGTAGCTGGGACTACAGGCACCCGCCACCACGCCCGGCTAGCTTTTTGTATTTTTAGTAGAGACGGGGTTTCACCGTGTTCGCCAGGATGGTCTCGATCTCCTGACCTTGTGATCTGCCCGCCTCGGCCTCCCAAAGTGCTGGGATTACAGGTGCGAGCCACTGCACCTGGCCAAAAGAAACAGTTTTAAGAAAATAAGTCCAAACCCTGCAACAGAACATTTCTTTAAGAATACTAACCAGCTTTTTTTTTTTTAATTAAAAAATATTTACGGCTGGGCGCGGTGGCTCATGCCTGTAATACCAGCACTTTGGGAGGCTGAGGCGGGCAGATCACGAGGTCAGGAGATCAAGACCATCCTGGCCAACACGGTGAAACCCCGTCTTTACTAAAAATACAAAAAAATTAGCCGGGCGTGGTCGTGGGCTCATGTAGTCCCAGTTCACAGGAGGCTGAGGCAGGAGAATGGTGTGAACTCGGGAGGCGGAGCTTACAGTGAACCGAGATGGCGCCACTGCACTCCAGCCTGGGGGACAGAGCGAGACTCTGTCTCAAAAAAAGATAAAATAAAATAAAGAGACTTTAATATGTTCAGTAATTACACAAAATTAATTATCTTGAGCAGGCCAGTTACATAATTTCTTTTGTTTTTGTTTTCTCTTTCTTTCTTTCTTTCTTTTTTTTTTTTACACAGAGTCTTGCTTTGTCACCCAGGCTGGAGTGCGGTGGCGTGATCTTGGCTCACTGCAGCCTCTGCCACCTGAATTCAAGAGATTCTCCTGTCTCAGTCTCCCAAGTAGCTAGTACTACAGGTGCATTCCACCCCACCTGGCTAATTTTGTGTTTTTAGTAGAGACGGGATGTCACCATGTTGGCCAGGGTGATCTTGAACTCTTAACCTCTGGTGATCCTCCTGCCTTGGCCTCCCAAAATGCTGGGATTACAGGCATAAGCCACCACGCCCGGCCCTGTAATTTCTTGAAAACAATTTTCAAAGATTGTTTTCATAAAAATAAGTAGCAGCTATGTAGAGATTGAAGCTACAATCTGTTTGAGACCATGGAGTGCCTATCTAAAACCCTAATGTCATGAGGAGATATGATTTCTGTTATTGCATTTATTAGATAAAACTCCCAGCTGCATATTAAACATTTAGCGTGACATGGTTTTACTTCTTTGCATTATCGGAGCTCAGAGCACAGTACCCCAAAGTATGGTGCCTTGGCATGTGTGGATTGTTGCACTAAAGGAGACAGGAGGGGTTTAGAAGCAAGTAGTTCTCTTTGGCCTTCTCCCATCCTTCTGTCTCCTGAAACAAGCCATAAAATCTAGAAAGGTTATCTTTTGCCTACCTCCCCTGAGAGCTCATAAGACCCTCATTCCAGAGGAGTCCTGCCCCTTACCTGGAGAAAGGAATGCTACACATGAAACCGTCATTGTAAAATTATAACTGAGGCAGTGAAAGAGATCTGACCTAACCAACTCCATCTTGCTTCTAATTTCCAAGCTGTCCTTCGTCATTCCTTGGCGTAGGCTGAACTAACTTTGGAAGGAACTTAGTTTATAATTTATAGTTTAAAATGAACATAATGACAGCTCTTTCCCAAAACAAATCCCTTTCTTGCTTAGGGACTAGACTGCCTTTGTAGGACTAGTCATGCAGCTGGAGGCTACGAGGTTCTTTCCAGATTGCTCCAGGGGATAACATCACTACTGTAAAGCCTAAGACCAGCTCTTGAGATATTTTGCAGACACTGCACTTGATGGATCAGCAGCCATCACCCCGATCGATAAACTGGCTCATCTGATATTGTGGCCCCACTCAGGAACTGACTCAGCACAAGAGGACAGCTTTGACTCCCTATGACCTGACCAATCCGCACACCCAACTCACTGCCCCCCACCAGTTCACAAATTATCCTTAAAAACTCTGATCTCCAAATGCTCCAGGAGACTAATTTGAGCAATAATAAAACTTCAGTCTCCCACACAGCTGGTTCTGTGTGTATTACACTTTCTCTGTTGCAATTCCCCTGTCTTGATAAATCAGCTCTGTCTAGGCAGGGGGCAAGATGAACCCATTGGGCGGTTACACACAGAGAGACCAAGAAGAATCAGAACAAACAGGCCTTGCTGGGCTCTGCTCAGTTTATTACCATTAGATCATATCCATTTTGTCCAGTTACCCAGTTACGTTGCTCCACAACTATTCACTTCTTTCATCAGATTTAACATAAAAATACAGTTTCCCCCTGGGTGTTTGGGTCTTCATTTCTGAAGCCTCCTGTGTCAAGGAAAACTTTGATTAAATACCTTTGTTATGCTTTTCTCTTGTTAACCTGTCTTTTGTTTTGGGGGTTTTGGGCTGTAAACCTTGTGGCGGGTGAAGAAAAGATAGGACTTTTCTCCCCTAGAGTATTTTAAAAGTCTTGCGGAGGCATGTGCTTATGTCAAAGATGTCTGGAGGCATGGCTTGACTGTTCATTCAAAGACAAAGAAACAACACTCATGGACTTTCCTGCCTGGAGGAAATGTCACCCTTGGCCACACAGCTTCTCAGAGCTACGTTCACGTCCACCAGCGGCACTGATAACTGACTCCTCAGCACTGTCCAGCGAATGCTGCATGGAGGCTCGCAGGCACCCCAGCTTAGAAAGGAGGAGCAGAAGGTAAATACCTACCTAGTACACAGGAAATCAAAGAGCAAAGCTTAAGAAGTGGGCTTAGGCCGGGCGCGGTGGCTCACGCCTGTAATCCCAGCACTTTGGGAGGCCGAGGCGGGTGGATCATGAGGTCAGGAGATCGAGACCATCCTGGCTAACAAGGTGAAACCCCGTCTCTACTAAAAATACAAAAAATTAGCCGGGCGCGGTGGCGGGCACCTGTAGTCCCAGCTACTCGGGAGGCTGAGGCAGGAGAATGGCGTGAACCCGGGAAGCGGAGCTTGCAGTGAGCCGAGATTGCGCCACTGCAGTCCGCAGTCCGGCCTGGGCGACACAGCGAGACTCCGTCTCAAAAAAAAAAAAAAAAAAAAAAAAAAGTAGGCTTAGACTCATCAACCCCTCAAAAATACTCAGCCACTTTTATGTTTTCTTCCCCAACCCCAAGCTCTCATCCTGAGGTCCTGACTGAATCTGGAGCATGCTTCAGTATCTCCCTAACTTATAAGCGCCACTGCTCATTAAGGCTCCCTGTTAGATGAGACCTCTGCTGCAACAGTCTCTCTGCTTGTAAACATCACTGCATATATCACCACCCACCCCAGCCCAGCAGGGAAAGGAAAACAACAACAACAAATAAAATGCAATTCTAGGAATAGTGAGATATGCAAGAAGGCATCAGTATTAAACTTTCTGTTTTGTTTTGTTTGAGACTGAGTTTTGCTCTTGTTGCCCAGGCTGGAGTGCAATGGTAAGATCTCGGCTTACTGCAACCTCTGCCTCCCGGGTTCAAGCGATTCTCCTGCCTCAGCCTCCGAAGTAGCTGGGATTACAGGCGTGTGCCACCATGCCTGGCTAATTTTTTTTTTTTTTTTTTTTAGTAGAGATGGGTTTTCACCATGTTGGTCAGGCTGGTCTCCAACTCCTGACCTCAAATGATCCACTCACCTTGGCCTCCCAAAGTACTGAGGTTACAGGTGTGAGCCATCGCACCCGGCCAGTATTAAACATTTTTTTAAAAATCATGTTGAAACTTAAAACTAGGTAGTAGAAAGTACGTAAAACAATTAATAGATGGTTTTCAAATACCACTTTCAACTTAATTACTAGTCATTATATTTTCTCTTCAGAGATTGAAGAGCCAAGACATCATTACACCTAAATGCAAAATTGTGTGTTTACATCCAAATCTCTCATCTTTCTTATAAAATAGGAAATAAAATTTTAAAGATACCAAATGTGTTTAGAACCATTGAAGATAGTTTAAATATTGTTAAACATTTAGGGGACTATAACAAAAAGTTTTGTTTTGTTTTTTTTTTAAACGAGACGGAGTCTTGCTCTGTCACCCAGGCTGGAGTGCAGTGGCGCGATCTCTGCTCACTGCAAGCTCCGCCTCCTGGGTTCACGCCATTCTCCTGCCTCAGCCTCCCGAGTAGCTGGGACTACAGGCGCCCGCCACCATGCCCCGGTAATTTTTTGTATTTTTAGTAGAGACGGGGTTTCACCGTGTTAGCCAGGAGGGTCTCGATTTCCTGACCTCATGATCCGCCCGCCTCGGCCTCCCAAAGTGCTGGGATTAAGGCGTGAGCCACTGCGCCCGGCCAAGAAAAAGTTTTTTAAAAATTAGTGAAAATATTAGACTCTGAAGAATAGAAATAATAAATAAGAAAAATGTAAATGACTTTCTCAACAACTTTAGCCACTGACTCCCATCCTCCTCTATGCCCTCAAATTCAATTTTCAGTGAATTTCGCAGGCCAGGAGTCATCATTCCCGTTGCTGACAGCTCAGCTCCTCAGCCTGGGAGTATCCATTTTTGAACATGCATTTTTTATTGTACTTGCTTTTTTAACAACTCACATTCATGGTTTCATTTTAGAATATCCATGGTGTAAACAACACATTACTTCGTGCAATGGAGACAATATTGCTTGATTGATTTTGTATTACTCAAAAAAAAAAAAAGGCGAGAAAAGAACTTTTATCTGAGGAATGTGAGTCCTTTTAAATAATGAGGCCCAGAGAGACATTAAAATGAGGCAGCAGTCAAATCCTACTCCCCGCTTTGAGCTAGGTATTCATCTTCTGAAACTGCTTATTGCCACAAGTAGCTATAAATTAACTTAATAATGCCAGAGCAAACGCTATAACCCACACCCTGTAGCTTAATAATGTATAGCCAATCGCTAATCAATGTTATTTCTATAAATCAATAAGAATGCCTGACAAACAACTTTGTATCAGCCATGCCTTCTCCCCCTTTTTTGCCTTCAAAAATCTGTTTGTAACAAAGGCCAAACTCATATCCAAGGTTACATGGGTCCGAGTCCTCCTGACAGCTGTCTTCACTTTGGCTCAGTAAACTCTTTAAATTATAGAGTTTGTGTCTCAGCCTCTTCCTTTTAGGTCGACAAAATGATAGAGCTTTGGAGGTCAATATTTATCAAAACTGCCATCTTTGGGAAATCTTCTGCATAAAAGAGCTGGATGTAATTGAGCCAGATGCTGCTTTATTCCACAGCACTGCAAAATATTACCCTCCCTTTCAACTCTACCCCAATTGAAAGCTTCTGGAAATACTAAGTCTCTCGTGGATATTTGTGTACATTAACTTTTAAAAGAAATTCTCGAATGGCAGCTTTGCTGTGGCAGCTGTCAGGCATGCATATGAGGAAATGTGTTGTAAGTGCACAGATAAGGAATTACCTGATGTTTCTGTAGACAGATTTTCAAACTCATAATTCTTTTCATGTTCATCATCTTCTCCCCAAATTAAAAAAAAATTATCGTCTATATATTTATCTTTTCAGCTAGGGTTTTCCTCATCTCTATATGCATTTCTCTCATTTTCAAATATATTTTTAGGACGCGCATGTTCAGATCATGTGGACTATATGTTATCATAACTTTTGTTAAATAAAAATATATTATCCAGTATCAGCTCCTCAAACAAAATGACTTTGGGTCCATAATTGCTACTGAAATGTCAACTGACAAAAATTCAAATATATTTCTGGCACATCGATTATTTACTTCTTTTGTATTTAAAAATGAAATACAACCTGCCCAATTGTGTAACAGGCAAAAGCATTCTTAGATCTTTTACCCCTCTAAGACCAAATGCCCAACTGGAGCATTTATGCTGTTTGTGCAGCATTGCCCAGCTGCAGAGAAGCCCAAGGCTCAGAGGGTAAGAAGTGACTGGAAGTTGTCTTGCTACGTATGTGGTGCAGGTTCTTTAACTTACATAAAAATATATTTGATAAGATGGTCAATTTGCATGAGTATTTACCCAATCAGAGGGTGCAGGGAACAGTTATATGGAGATTTTTTTTAAGCTATTACATTTACATCATTTAGAAATCAAAACAAGATAAGTTACCTACCAAGGGTACCTTCCCCATTTCTACGCCCATCATAGGGAGCTGAGAATGGCCTGACTAATAAATTTGCATTAGAATTAACAACCACAGGGATGGCATACTTTACAACAGCAACCCAGGGACAAGGAAAGGGGAGAGGATGTTACCAAGCCTAGGGAAACAACTCAGGCTCATGGTGAACAGGGAGGGAAACTGATAGTGTCTAACTAACACAATTTTAAATTCAGTAAGAAAATGGTTTGTTAGATCATGTAGCTCACTTACTCGCCATTGAAAAATGCTGTGAGTGTTTCCATGGAAATCTGAATTCAAAAGATCTTTCCTTTAATCATATTCTGAGATTTACACGGAAAATATCTAAAATAGGCTTTCTTTTTCCTTGAACATTACCTACTCTATATTCACCCTCAGGGGTTTTTCTCTCAAATGAATCAAATATAAAGAGAACCTTGTAGAATACTGAGTTGGGTTGTGGAGTTGACTTATCAAGTGCTATTTTTCTCATTCTCATCACAGCTCATAGCGTGTTGGGAAAAAAAATGATGCCTGAATAGCTCATATGGGCAGGTGGTCAGTATAATTGATTTCCAGTTATGTATGGTTAAAATTTAATAATAGAAAAAACATCCTCCGTAAAGGGAAGTATTGAGAATACATCTATAAAATGTTTTCTTAAGAGTAGAATAAGTTAATCTGTGGATAATAGGTGTGTGTGTGTGTGTGTGTGTGTGTGAGAATAATCCCTCTAAGTCACAGATTTTTACAATACTAATATTTGAAACACCCAAGCACGGGCACAGACAATTATGTTATGTTTCCCTAATTGTCCATAGCTTATCTTCAAAGAATGAAAGAATGTTAGAGATGGAGGGAAGAAACAGCTTAAGGAATTATAAGTAACCTGCAAAACAGAAAAGTATATAGCTGATGTTCACCACCTTTGAATCATGAATAGACTTGGGAGACTAATTTTAAGAATGGCAAAATGTTGAGACAGTTTCTGTGATGTGGTGGAGTAAGACACTTCAGAACGTGTTTGCTCTGACTCACTGGAGCTTGTCTGGCATCAAAAAGGGTGGTTCTTAATTGACCCTTTGTCCACCCTGTCAAGAGCGGTCAAAAGAACACACAATTTAGCAGGTTAAACTATTTTAATTTCATCATTTAATGGGACTTCACAGTATAAATAATAAAATTTACTAGATGTCATATGAAACCCCATGTTTCAGTTCATTTGCCATATTACAGCAATTTTGCAATATTGCAACTTTTTCCTAGTTTTTATAATTTCCTATAAAATGTCTTCTATAATCCATCTATGTGATTTCTAAGGGAAAAAGTGATCTTATGTAAAAGGAAAATAACCTTGGATTTTCACATTAGATAGGAATGTACTCATTCCCATGTCTCCTGGAGGAAAAAAAATAAAGACCCTGTCAAGAAAACATTGACAGTACTATAATTAGTGAGTCCATCATTCATGATTTGGAAATTGACCTCCAAGAAAGTGGAGAAAAAACCCCCTGTCTCACAGAAGGCAAAAATCATTTCCATTTATGTCAAAATACCATCCTTTAAGAAGAAATGGAGGGCACTGATTCTGATGAGAAAGGGGAATGCAAGTCATGAAGGAATTGTGAAATAAACACACAGAGAGGATCTATCCTGTCATTTTATCTCTAAATAAAGAACTGATCGATGTCTTGGACTCATGTTGATGAGTAGTGAGGGATGGATGTAACACTAGCGTCTGTGCCCAGATACACGAGGATAAACGACGTGCTACTTCATGACTCTGAGGATTTGCTGCCAAGATGGATATTTAAAGTGCAGAAATTCTTCCACAATATTGCTGCCCTTACAGAGACAGGGCATTGGTTAGGCCCTGTATTTTATCCAGGCTAACCCCCTCATCATACAGATGAGGAAAATGAGTCCTGGAAAAATTATGATGACAGAACTGGTGAACTCTGACACTTCGGGTTTTGACCTTGGCTAAATTCTTAGATTTTGCCCAAGAACACACTCTAAGGTTTCTCGCTGTAGTTTGACTGTTTTGTTCTGAGGATTTTGGAAATAGTATCTCCTGACAGGATTTCTGTGTTTTTTGCTGCTCAACTGGCTCTGAAATTTCTGAACATGCCTTATGCAGTTTCAACATTCTTCTGTAATCTCTGCTGAAACATTTTTGTACCTATATTTTATATCGATACTTTCAGTGTGTGTGTGAGTGTGTGTATGTATGTTCTAGGACCCACTTGAGAAAGATTACCCAGTCAAAGTTCATATAAATGCTGCATATTGTTAGGTATTGAATAAGTATTTGGTATCTCTTTATGTTATGAAGAAGTAAACAGTGTATCTGCGTTTAAATATGAAGACAGGGTTACAGTGGAGGCATGATGCTATCATCTAGTGACACTCATCTTGCAGTATCATATTTTTACTAGTTAAGTGTTCTTTATTTTAAGTAGGAGGTACAGGATTCTGAAGCATAGTGTAAAAGATTGGAAAAGGTTTCACAGGGAAACCTGTGGGTATGAATCATACATGCTGTGGAAACCAAGGATCTTCTCAAAGTCATAGTTACTGGACTTCATATGAAGCCCTGTGATTAAAGAAGCAAGTCAGCTTAGTAATAGCCAATATTGACTGAAAATCTGAAGGGCATTTGTTTAACCTCCTTAAATAGTTGTTATCCAACAAATCTGCTAAAAAATAGTTTTCAATTATTTAGTACTTACTGCCTTTGTTCACTTAAACACAACTTGCAAATAAGAAGTAGTTATTGCAAAAGGTAGAAATGATCATCCAATGTGCAATTCCTTGTCATGAAAACCCTCCAAGGCTGGTTTAAAACAGAAACTTCCTTAAATGTTCTGCAAATAAAAATTCAAGATAATTAAAATCCAGAACAAAAGAGAAAATATTTACATAAAACACACTTCTACAGTATTTTAATTTATTCTGAATCATCATTGAATAGAATATTTTAATTTGTTCAAGTAAATATTTTACTGTGTTCATGATAGGGGCTTAGTATTTGCAAGTGATGGGCCTTGTTAATCTTCAGAATAAGTTTAAATGACAGCTCAGCAGGGCAGCGTCTCCCGTGCAGCAGCCCCTGTGGAGCAGCAGGAAGGAAGGCTCTGGAGGAAGCCGCAGGAAGCCGATGGCTCCTGTGAGAGACTGCCTGACTGATGCTGTCACGGTATTGACCCTCTCCCTAAGAGCCCTGAGATCACACTCGCCCTTTTTACATCACCCAACAGGGCTGACTTAACATCCAGGGAGGACAAATAAAGGGGAAGAATAAAATAGTCCAACAAAACCAGGACAGAATGCACTTATGTCATTAATGGAGCTACATTCTTACTTTGAATGAATTACCTACATTATGTTACCTTCCTAAAGACTTACTGAAAAAAAGGTGTTCAAGGAACTAAGGGAAACCCAGGGTGGCACTTGAGGTTGAGGGTCACAGACCACACTCTGAATAGCCCTGAGGCTGGGTGCAGGGCCAGGCTGCCTGTGTGCAGATCTCCTGGCCGTGTGTTAGAGGTTGAACCATGCATCTCTCAGAATTCAAATGTTGAATTTTTATTTTATTTTTATTTATTTAGTTTTTTTGAAACAGAGTCTCACTCTGTCACCCAGACTGGAGTGCAATGGCCCTATCTCAGCTCACTGCAACTTCCAACTGCTGGGTTGAAGTGATTCTCCTGCCTCAGCCTCCTGAGTAGCTGGGATTACAGGCACCTGCCACCATGCCCAGCTAATTTTTGTACCTTTAGTAGAGATGGGTTTTTGCCATGTTGGTCAGGCTTGTCTCAAACTCCTGACCTCAGGTGATCTGCCTGCCTCAGCCTCCCAAAGTGCTAGGATTACAGATGTGAGCCACCATGCCCAGCCCATATGTTGAATTTTTAAACACTGAGTACTGCAGAACCCAGGAATTATTTGGACATAGGGTCTTTACATGGGAGTTAAAATGAGGTTGTTGTGAAGGGACCCTAATCCAATTTGACTAATATCCTTGTAAAAAGGGAAATTTGGAGACAGACACACGTAGAGGGAAGATGATGTGAAGAGATCAAAGAAGAAGACAGGTGTCTACAAAACCAGGAAAGAGGCCTGGAATAGATGCTTCGTTCATAGCCTTCAGAAGGAGCCAACCCTGCTGGCACCTTAGTGTTAGACTTCTATCCTCCAGAACTGTCAGACAAAAAATGCCCATTGTTTAAGTCACCCAGTGTGTGGCACTTTGTTATGATGTCTCTAGCAAACTAATATACCTTGTGACCTTGGCAGTTGTGTCTTCCTGCCTCTGTAAAATGCAAATATTACTGATATATTACCTCCTAGGGCTTCTGTGAAGAGGAGATGAGTTAATACATGCAAAGTGCTACAATAGTGCAGACGTAATATTAATACTCAGTAAATGTTAAGATGATTATTAATATCAACATCATCATCACCATTGTATAAAAAAAAGAAAATTGGGGCTGATATCTGATCTCTGCAACTTTACCATGCAGCATCCCTGTCCATTGCTTTTTCTAAATTCTATTATTAACCTTGAGTGTCTTGTAATTGATCATGTTTCAACCTTTCTTTGACAGCAAGTACTCTCAGAAATAAAAGTATTACTCGGACCAAGCAATTGAACAACATATTCATGCATTTATGTTCATGTAGAAATACCAATTATACACGTTTTATTTTATTTTATTCATGACTCTATTTTGTATCTTATACTTTTTTCCCCATTGAAATGAGGTGAATTAAAAATAAAAACTTTATAAATTAATTAGCTGCAAAAATACTTATTTTTGTTTGTTTTTCCAAATGGTTGCAACTTACATAGTGTAAAATACAATTCATGAAAGTGGAAAGATGCAGAAATCAGAATGGAAATGAGAACCAGCAACCTGAGAGTCCCACAGAAATATTCAGTCACATCTGTGTAACCAGGGGCTGTACAGTCTTAGGTGGAGGTATTCCAGATTTTTGTTTCTTAGTTTCTGTCAGATGTAAAATGTGTATGTGGAACTATTGTACACTTTCTTTGTTTGGTAGAGACAGTCTCGCTGTGTTGCCCAGGCTAGTCTCAAATTCCTGGACTCAAGTGATCCTCCCACCTCAGCCTCTCAAAGTGCTGGTACTACAGGTGTGAGCCACCATCCCCAGCCTACTGTGCATTTTCTATTATTTGAAGCAAAATTGGGGCCACAAAGAAGGTCATCTGTAGTATGCCAATAACATAAACCTCTGACATTTCAGTAAAACATTGCCTTTGCCTCTGCATAGTATGCCAGCATGTTCTGCAGGGTGGGCAGCCGCAAGCAGTGGTTAGAACAGGGGCTCTAGAACCAGGGCCTGAACCTGAGGCTGTGCTCTGCTCTCCTTAATAGTGAAATCAGAGGCAAGTTGCTTGACCTTTCTGCTTTGTGTTTCTGCTTTTGCAAGATGCACAATATCTGGTTTGTGGAGTTTTTTGAGGACTAAGGGAGATAGTGATTCCTATCAAATGTTTACCAGAGCCTCTGATAATCTGGGTTTTCTCCCTCCACTTCCTTCCCCTCCTTACTTCTTCAAGATGATTCTATTTAATGGCATGTTGGAAATCATGTCAGCAGTCATAACATGCCAAGGTAAAATGAAACTTTTTTCCTTAAAAGTAGGAGAATGAGGTAAGAGATGATTTTAGAAGTTAAAGCCTACCCAAACATAAAAGGATATGATTTGTGTCACTGTCATCTAAAGTGTCTACTGCTACATTTTCCATGGGGCTGAAGTTTTGATTAAAAAGAATAATGTCATATCCCAGGTGTATCCCTAAATTGGTAACTACTTCCGAAAGTCTTTTTTAAGCTTGTACTTAAATGACATTTTTTTAAGGATAATAGTTTTGTATTATAAAAGATAAATGCACAAAGCAGCTACATGTAAAATGCCACTTTAGGACATGCTGTTCTAACACAAATACTGTCAACATCTCATTTGTGAGTGAACTGACAAGATGTCCAGGGAATGAGTTACAGTGGAGAAAATTCAACGTGCATCACAGAATAGTTACCAGCTCCTGGCCCTCCACAGATGTGGACCTAAAACCACCTGGAGGGCAGAGTCGGCTCCCTCCCGCTGTGAGTGCTTCCTAGTGAGCCAGCAGCTGAAGGCCTCCCTAGCTTCACTTCTCCAGAGTGGGCATGGAGATAACTAGTGAAAGTGGTCACAAAGTCGGGGCCAAGAAGTCTCTAACCCCTAAATCAAGATTGAGAGATACTGGACCGGGCACAGTGTCTCACACCTGTAATCCCAGCACTTTGGGAGGCCTAGGCAGGCTGATCACCTGAGGTCAGGAATTCAAGACCAGCCTGGCCAACATGGTGAAACCCAGTCTCTACTAGAAAATACAAACAAATTTAGCTGGGTGTGGTGGCAGGCTCCTGTAATCCCAGCTACTCTAGAGGCTGAAGCAGGAAGAATTGCTTGAGCCCCGGAGGCGGAGGTTACAGTGAACCCGGATCGTGCCACTGCACCCCAGACTGGGCAACAGAGCGAGACTCAGTCTCAAAAAAAAAAAAAAAGCAAAGAAAAGAAAAAGAAAAAAAGATGGAGAGATACTGGAGAAATTCTTCCTTTATGCATCCCTCATCCTTGCATCAATTTTTTCCTACAAATCAATGGAATGTGCACATATGGGGCATTATTTCACGTTAAAGGAACTAAGTCCATATAAATGATTTGTTTTTTGAGAGGTGAGGTCTCACTTTGTTGCCGAGGCTGGAGTGTAGTGGTGTGATCAGACCTCACTGCGGCCTCCACCTCCCAGGTTCAGATGATCCTCCCACCTCAGCCACCCTAGTAGTTGGGACCACAGGCGTGCCACTGTGCCTGGCAAATTTTTACATTTTTTTGTAGAAATGTTGTCCAGGTTGGTTTTGAACTCCCGGGCTCATGTGATCCTCTCCCCTTGAGCTCCCTATGTGCAAGGATTACAGCTGTGAGCCACTGGGCTTGGCCAAGTAGAAATTATATCCTGCTACTAGTTGACCAAACATGATTCATAAACTATAACTAGTATGGCCGCCATTAATCTAAAAATTAATTTTTAGATTAATGTTTATTGACAGTATCTACTCTATAAAATAAAAAAATAAAATATGCTTTTATGATGTGGACCATAGTATCCATAAGATTGCTTTTCTGTTTGAATTGGCTATAAAAATGGAAAAAGTATCATTTTGTAACTGTGTGGCATTTGCTCATTTATTCAACAATAATACCAGAGTGGAAAGCAACAAGTTAGGTGTGACATAATATAGAAATGGTTTTGTTTTGTTTGTTTGTTCTACATATATTATTAGTAAGGTTTCTCTAGAGTACTGTCTCTCTCTATCTCTTTCTATCTCTGTCTACACATAGACACACACACACACACACACACACACACAGATGTTCCTCAACTTACAATGGGGTTATGTCACAATAAACCCATCATAAGTTTGTTACAGGAAAGAGGTCCAGATCCAGACCCCAAGAGAGGGTTCTTGGATCTTGTGCAAGAAAGAATTCAGGGCGAGTTCACAGTGCAAAATGAAAGTAAGTTTATTAAGAAAGTAAAGGAATAAAAGAATGGTTATTCCATAGAAAGAGCAGCCCCAAGGGCTGCTGATTGCGCTTTTTCTTTTTTTTTTTTTTTGAGATGGAGTCTTGCTCTGTTGCCCAGCCTGAAGTGCAGTGGCACTATCTAGGCTCACTGCAACCTCCCCTTCCAGGGCTCAAGTGATTCTCCTGCCTCAGCCTCCTGAGCAGCTGGGATCTCAGGCGTGCACCACCAGGCCTGGCTAATTTTTGTATTTTTAGTAGAGACAGGGTTTCACCTTATTGGTCAGGCTGGTCTCAAACTCCCGACCTTGTGATCCACCCGCCTCGGCCTCCGAAAGTGCTGGGATTACAGGCGTGAGCCACCACACCTGGCCGGTTGCCCATTTTTATGGTTATTTCTTGAGATTTGCCAAACAACGGGTGGATTATTCATCCCTCCCCTTTTAGACCATATAGGGTAACTTTCTGACGTTGCCATGGCATCTGTAAACTGTCATGGTGCTGGTGGGAGAGTAGCAGTGAGGACGACCAGAGTCACTCTCATCGCAATTTTGGTTTGGGTGGGTTTTGGCTGGTTGCTTTACTGCAACCTGTTTTATCAGCAAGGTCTTTATGATCTGTATTTTGTGCTGACCTCCTATCTCATTCTATGACTTAGAATGCCTTAACCATCTGGGAATGCAGCCCAGGAGATTTCAGCCTCATTTTACCCAGCTCCTATTTAAGATGGAGTTGCTCTGGTTCACTTGTCTCTGACAAGTTGAAAATGCATTTAATACACCTAACCTACTGGACCTCATAGCTTAGCTTAGCCTACCTTAAATGTGCTCAGAACACTTACATTAGCATACATTTAGCCTATGTTTGGGCCAAATCATGTAACACAAAGCCTATTTTATAATGAAGTGTTGAATATTTAATGTAACTTATTAAATACTATGTTGAAAGTAAAAAACAAAATGCAATCTTTATTATTTTAGCTAAAATAATTGTCAATTTATTAAATAAAAACAAAACAGCCCACACCATCATTAGCTGCAAAATCATTTTGAACCATTGTAAGTTGGGGACTGTCTAAAGAATTGAGAATTGGCTCAAGTAATGACAGAAGCTGATTAGTATGGAAATTTGAAGTCAGCAAGTTGGAGACCCAGCAGAGGTAAGGTATAGTCCAAAAGCTTGCAGCCTTGAGGCTCAAGAAGAGCCAATGTTTTCGTTCATTTACGAATGTAGGAAAAGACCAATGTCCCAGTTCACACAGTCAGGCAAAAGGAGCTCCCCAGTACTCACGGGAGGGTCAGCTGTTTTGTTCTATTCAGGCCTCCCACCAAGAGGATAAGGACCATCCATATTGGGGAGTGCAGTGGGCTTCACTCAGCTAGAGATTCAAATGTTAATCTCATTCAGAAAACACCCTCACAGACACACAGAATAATGTTTGACCAAATATCTGAGCCACCCTGTGGCCCAGTCAAACTGATAGTTTTTCCTTAGGTTATCTCCAGTGTCATTTAAATATTAATATTTATAGTATATTATTGATGTAAATATTAACATTTATTACCCAGGGGTTGTGTTCTCTTGATAATGTTCTATTTTTTTAATCTCTGTGAAAAAATGTTTTATGAAGTGTGGAATTTATCTGCTACACTGACATATTCTGCATTAATCTTTCTCTATTTTGTGGTTGTCAATCACTGGTACAGTTTCAGAGAGCAGGAAATGAAGATTCAGCCTTTAACTCCTACACAATCCACAGTGTTTTTTTCCCCTCAGAACTGTCATAAAAACTGTTGTATTTTATTTAGATTTTTAAATTAACAACTAAAGCCATATTCTAGTAATACTTTAATAATCTAGATTTCATATTTTAGAGTAGAAGGCTGCATCATATTTAAAATCACTGCAGAGACTTTGAGGTTTTCAAATTAATATCATATTAAAAATTTTTGCACTCTGAAGGCTTTCATTTATTGCTTTAAAAAAATGTTGAAACTCAGAGTTCAAATGATTTAAAAAACTCTACATCTAGATACAGTTAAGGTAAACTTTGTATATCTCTGTAATGACTTTCACTGCCCCTCATTATCAATCAAGAGCATTGAGATAAGGACTGGAAAATATTAAAGATATATGTTAATATTTATATAAACATATTAAATGTGTGTGTGTCACACATACACACACACACAGAGCAAGAGAAAGGGCAAGAGAGGGACAGTAACTGTCTTCAGAATATCAAAAGTTCTGCTAATCGGCTCTTTTGCAGAAGCTTGTCCTCACTCTCCGCATAGGGGAAAGAGAATGAGCTTAAAGACAGAACTTCCTGCTGAATTAATTAAATATATCCATTACTACTGACAGAATCAGTGAGGTTAAGCCCCTCTGAAGATGACAAGATAAATTGTCACTATTATGGCACTAGAAATGAGATACTGGGATAAGATTTCATTACCGTATTATCACAGGTTTACTTAATTGGCAAAGTTTCACTTAAGAAGGATGCAGAAATTCTGAACACAAGTTAGCATTTCTAGCACGATGGTACAAGATGTGTTATTGAGTAAGTCAAAGATGCCATAAACGCAAATTTCAAGGAATGGTGTAAGGCTCGGGTGGTGGCTCACACCTGTAACCCTAGCACTTTGGGAGGCTGAGGCAGGTGGATCACCTAAGGTCAGAAGTTCGAGACCAGCCTGACCAACGTGGTGAAACCCCGTCTCTACTAAAAATACAAAATTAGCTGGGCTTGGTGGTGGGTGCCTGTAGTCCCAGCTACAAGGGAGGCTGAGGCAGGAGAATCGCTTGAACCCGGGAGGCAGAGGTTACAGTGAGCCAGGATCGCACCACTGCACTCCAGCTTGAGCAACAAGAGTGAGACTCTGTCTAAATAAATAAATAAGTATAAAAGGATGGCAGGAATGCAAAACTTGGTGCACAGTGCGCTGCAGTGGTGCCGCCTGCTGTCTGATGGAAACATCACAAAGACATAAGCACAGACTAAGAAAAAAAGTTTTAAAAGTCAAAGGGATAGGTAAGTAAAAAATTGAATGCAATATGTAGGAAATGCTGCTTTCTTATTTTTATTTTTATTATTTATTTATTTATTTATTTATTTATTTATTTATTTATTTATTTTTGAGACAGAGTCTCTCTCTGTCGCCCAGGCCGGAGTGCAGTGGTGCGATCTCGGCTCACTGCAAGCTCTGCCTCCCGGGTTCACACCATTCTCCTCCCTCAGCCTCCCAGAAATGCTGCTTTTTAAAAGTGGCCACTCTTATGCTAATAAAGCCATCCATGAGACAAGAACGTGGTTAAAATATAATAGCACATACAGAAAGCAATACTGCTTTGTCCAAGTCAGTCCCATTAGTCCTGGCATGATTTCTATAGCACTCCTTTCAAATAAAGAATGTCCCAATTTAAATGAAGAACACTATATAATCATCCTAATCATAATAGCAAGATTAAGTCATCATTTGTAGTAAAATCTTACAACAGATTGTGATTGGCTGTGTAGTGACAAAATAATTGGAAAGTGGCAAATAAAACTGGTCATAGAGGGTCTTAGACTATATTTGTTGCCTTGAAGACATGATGGGAGAATTAAACTTAATAAATGACCTCGGCCTAGATGAAATATCCTTCTTAAACCAAATATTTCTGCAAGGTATGGATTGAATCTTCATACCAAGTCCAACGAATTTTTGTCCTGCTGGAAACTAATTGAGAAGGAAATTAACAGGAATTAAGGTGAGATGAACAAGGTGAGTTGCAAAAGTGCAGGCTCAGATCCTGCTAAATTTTAATATTTGCTCATGGTGACTTTTTTGCATTAATTTTAATATTTTTAAATAATGTATTAAAACATTATTTATTTTGATTGCTAAGTTTTGTGCTTACCCATTTAATTGTGTTCCTAAGGGGAGTACCTCACTTACCTCACCTTGTAACAGATTCTATACAAGGTATACCTGGGATTAGATATAAAGAACAATGAAGTCAGAACTGTGTTATGGGGGTTTCCACTCCAGCTACCTGAAACTGAGGTTGCCCTATCTTAGTGAGTTCAAAGCTGGAGATTCTGTAAATAGACACGGGGACTGTGAGGTCCCTGCACAAACAGGTCATATCTGTAAATTAAACTTTGTGATTATAATAATTTTTTTTTTGAGATAGAGTCTTGCTCTGTCACCCAGGCTGGAGTACAGTGGTGCAATCTCAGCTCACAGCAACCTCCACCTGCTGGGTTCAAGCAATTCTCCTGCCTCAGCCTCCAGAGTAGCTGCGATTACAGGTGCACACCACCACACCCGGCTAATTTTTTGATTTTTACTAGAGATGGGGTTTTGCCATGTTGGCCAAGCTGGTCTTGAACTCCTGACCTCAGGTGATCTGCCCGCCTTGGCTTTGAGAACAAGAACACCATGTCTGCTGGTGTGTTAGTCGATTTTGTGTTGCTATAAAGAAATATGTGAGGCTGGATAATTTATAAAGAAAAGAGGTTTATTTGGTTCACAGTTCTGCAGGCTGTACAAAAAGTGTAATGACAGTATCAGCTTTTGCTGAGGCCACAGGAAGCTTACAATCATTGCAGAAGGCAAAGTGGGAGCTGGTGTATGACATGGTAAGAGAGGGAACAAGAGAGATGCCAGACTTTATTTATTTATTTATTTATTTATTTATTTATTTGAGACAGAGTCTCACTCTGTAGCCCCAGCTGGAGTGCAGTGATGCGATCTTGGCTCACTGCAACCTCTGCCTCCAAGGCTCAAGCAATTCTTGTGCCTCAGCCTCCCGTGTAGCTGGGACTACAGGTGCACTCCACCAGGCCTGGCTACTTTTTTGTATTTTAGTAGAGGCGAGCTTTCACCATGTTGCCCGGGGTGGTCTCGAACTCCTAAGCTCAATCAATCCGCCGGCCTCAGCCTCTCAAAGTGCTGGGATTACAGCCGTGAGCCACTGTACCCGGCCTAGACTCCTTTAAACAACCAGCTTTTGCATGAACTAATGCAGGGAGGACTTATTCGTTACTATGAGGAAGGCATCAAACCATTCATGAGGTCTCCACCCCCATGACCCAAACACCTCCCACCAGGGCCTACCTCCAACATGGGAATCACATCTTAACATGAGATTTGGAAAGAACAAACATCCAAACTATATATATATATATATATATATATATATTTTTTTTTTTTTTTTTTTTTTTTTTTTTTGAGATGGAGTCTTGCACTCTCGCCCAGGCTGGAGGGCAGTGGCACGATCTCGGCTCACTGCAAGCTCCGCCTCCCGGGTTTACGCCATTCTCCTGCCTCAGCCTCCCGAGTAGCTGGGACTACAGGCGCCGGCCACCATGCCCGGCTAATTTTTGTATTTTTAGTAGAGATGGGGTTTCACCATGTTAGCCAGGATGGTCTCGATCTTCTGACCTTGTGATCCGCCCGCCTCGGCCTCCCAAAGTGCTGGGATTACAGGCGTGAGCCACCGCACCTGGCCATCTAAACTATATCAGCTGGTGGTTTGCCCTAAGCTTTTCTCCCCCAAGTTTCTTTTTTCAGAAATAAAGTTTGTCTTTATCTGACGTCAGCAGATTGGTGTTTGCTTTTGCCTGCTGTATTCCTTTAGTTTCTAAAATAGTCCAAATTCCTCACCCTTCCCTGAAAATGTTGCTCTTACGTTGACATAATATGTCTAGTTTCATTCAGTGGTTAATATTATAATATAGTACTCAGATTAGAGTTTGCAGCTGTTGTCGTTAAATTTAGGTCATTCTAAATTTACAAGTTAGTTGGGAAGAAAACAACCGCAAATTCTCAACCCTCATCACCATTTCTGCCTCTCAGTGCTCATATAAAGTCACTACAGAAAAAGAAGGAATGCAGCAATTAAACAAGCTCATCTGTAACACGATTAATTTTTAACTCTTTAATTCACTTGTTTCTCATAGGAAACTACATTAACATGACAGGGTTTTTTTTTTGTTTTTTTTTTTGTTTTGTTTTGTTTTGTTTTGAGACGGAGTCTCTCTCTTCTCCCAGGCTGGAGTGCAGTGGCGCCATCTCGGCTCACTGCAAGCTCCGCCTCCCAGGTTCATGCCATTCTCTCGCCTCAGCCTCCTGAATAGCTGGAATTACAGGCTCCCGCCACCACGCCTGGCTAATTTTTTGTATTTTTAGTAGAGACGGGGTTTCACCATGTTAGCCAGGATGGTCTTGATCTCCTGACCTCGTCGTGATCCGCCCGCCTTGGCCTCCCAAAGTGCTGGGATTACAGGCGTGAGCCACCGCATCCAGCCATGACAGTAATTTTTGAAAATGAATTGGCACAGCAATTCAAGAAGAGGAAATCGGACCCATGGTCTCTAAAGGACTTCCCAGCAATAATGTGCTGGGCTGTTCAGAAGTATCACTGATAAAAGGCTATGCCCATGTGCACAACTGGCCTGACCTCATGTGCATATCAGTTCACCTCAACCACCATCCCGTCTGCTAAAATAAGTCACATTGGTTGCCTCCCAAAGTTCTCTATTCAAACCAGTAAACTCAGTTAAATAGGTTGTGAATAGGAAAATCCAAAAGTCACTGGGAAAAGATGTTATAAACTAAAATATTCATAGAAACATTTTTTATGAAAGCCAGAAAAGGAAAAATAAACAACTAAGATGCCTAAAAACCAAAAAATGGATGAATAAAATGTGGCAGATGCATTCAGTGGAATATCATATAGCAGTGAAAATTAAGGACATTAATTACATGTATCAGCATGCCTGAATCTCAAAAACTCAAGTTGAACAATAATAGCTTTTAAAAAAACACAGAGTTAATATGTATGTTCCAAGTCTACGAAGTCTTTAAAAAGAGGAAAAACAGGCCAGGCGCAGTGGCTCACGACTGTAATCCCAGCACTTTGGGAGGCCGAGATGGGCGGATCACGAGGTCATGAGATCAAGACCATCCTGGCTAACACGGTGAAACCCTGTTTCTACTAAAAAACCAAAAAAATTAGCCAGACGTAGTGGCGGGCGCCTGTAGTCCCAGCTACTCGGGAGGCTGAGGCAGGAGAATGGCATGAACTCGGGAGGTGGAGCTTGCAGTGAGCCGAGATTGTGCCACTGCACTCCCGCCTAGGCGACAAAGCAAGACTCCACCTCAAAAAAAAAAAAAAAAAAAAAAAAAATAGGGAAAAACAAAAGAGTATATTCAAAGAATCACAAACAAAAAGTAAAGGAATGATAAACAAAATTTAGGATAGCATTTACCTTGAGGACTAATAAATATTGGTAATGTTTAATTTATTAAGCTAGGAGATGGACACATATATTTTCATTCATAGAACTTTTTTTCCTAAATGTATGTGTATGCTATATGTCACATGCATGACATATATGTGCATGACATGTGATATATATGTGAACTACATATAGTTCACAAAAACTAAATGTAGATATGGTATACAATCACACAAAGGCACTTAATGTATCAATGTGTCTATATATACATTTATGCCTAACTTATGACAATAAATATACTCTCAAATACCTGGTCATCATTAAATCTAATACGTAGAATATTAAAATATGAAAGAGGATGCTGTATTTGTTATTAGTCATTTTTCTCCAGTCTATTTTCTTTTGCATCATTTAATAAATTAGTAGAGAACTTTCCTCCCATTCCTTTTAGTGTTTTAAAATCTTTTAATTTAAAAATTATAGCTCTTAGATAATTGCCTTATGTATTGTTTTTAAATTTTGTTTCCTATGGGTTGCTGTAAATCTATCCTAAGTGGCAAAGTTTTAAAAACAATATGGGTCAAAAGTGCACAAAGCTCTGAAAATGAGAAAAGAAAATGACCAAACCTTTAAGATTCCTAGCATTATTCTGCCTATCACCATAATGTTTGCTTGGAGGGAGGCAGGCTATGAACTGAACAACCTAATTTATGGCTGATGTGCTCTCTGGCCATTATGGGCAGAATGTGAGCTTCTTCACAGCAGTGGCTCTCAGCATTTCTCTTCACGTTCTATGGGCTACAGCAAGTCACATGACCAATCCCAACTCCATTGTGTCAGGGATGTATAATCCTCTTACTTGGAGGACAGCAAGTAATTGGGAACAGTAATACAATTTGGCACACAAAACAAATCTTCAGAGAGTGTCAGGGTCAAGAGAAGCATTTGTCCGAGAAAAAGTTACTCTAAACTTGCAAAAAGATAAAAATCATAATGCTTGATTAAAAAAATACTGAATTATTTTCTAATTATTTACTTGACCCTAACCTGACAACATTTATAGGAGTGATATAAAGTCAGACTATTTACAGACTGTGAGTCTAGAGGTCAGCAGCAAAATTTAGAAATTATCATGACTCTGTAGCCCAGTGGTTTACTGTCATAAAAGATATATTTTATAATGAAATAGACCACCAAGTAGAACAACAGACCACTGAAATAAACCATCAAATGACATCCTATAATTTAAAGGTATGATGAAAAATGGAAAGAGTTGTAAATGTTTCTTCTAGAGTTGTCATTTGGTGCTTCTGTTGGAAGGGCTATGGAGGAGGCCGGGCGCAGCGGCTGACGCCTGTAATCACAGCACTTTGGGAGGCTGAGGCTGGCGGATCACGAGGTCAGGAGATAGAGGCCATCCTGGCTAACACGGTGAAACCCTGCCACTACTAAAAATACAAAAAAATCAGCCGGGTGTGGTGGCAGGCGCCTGTAGTCCCAGCTACTCGGGAGGCTGAGGCAGGAGAACGACGTGAACCCGGGAGGCGGAGCTTGCAGTGAGCCAAGATCGCGCCACTGCACTCTAGCCTGGGCGACAGAGCGAGACTCCATCTCAAAAAAAAAAGAAAAAAAAAAGTTTGACACAGTTTGATCTTTTTCTAACACCTGGTGGCATTTTTACAGCATAACCTTTAAAAAGTCATTCTAGAATATCCTAATAGATGTATACATCCCTCTACCTAAATTTTTGTAGATGTTATTTGCCTACATAGTGAATGACATTGTATTTCAGCAGAATTTATTATTCAACTTTTAAAAACAAAGCTCCTGCATTTATATCCATTTTCCATATCTCTATGTCATAAAGATAATGAATTTAATTGGACAATTTTCTTTCAAATGTGTGCAGCCTCCTTCCACTTCCAGGTCTGAAAGAGGACAGTATATTTTATAGACCACACGATTGCCAGAGTGGAAACTGGAGTGAGTGGAAGATTCCACATAGTTTTACTTGTGATACTCTAGAGACTAGTGGTGAGGTGTCTTGGAGATGGCATAATAATACAAATAACTAAATATTACTGAGTTGTTACTGTATATGGCACTATGTTAAAGGTTTCATAGGCATCACTCCTCATCACAACCATTTTTTTTAAACAGCTTTATTGGGATAATTCATATATCATACAATTCACCCATTTAAAGTATACACTTCAGTGGTTTTTAGTATGTTCAGGGGTTGCACAGCCATCACCACGATTAATTTTAGGGCATTTTCATCACCCAAAAAAGAAACTCCATGACCATTAGTAGTCTTTCCTCATTTCTCTCCTCCCTCCATCTATCCTCTCCTCACCATCCCTCGGCCCCAAGTGATTGCTTATCTTCTTTCTGTCTTTATACATTTATTATTTCCTGGACATTTAACTATCTAAGTGTAATTATATATCTTTTGGCCAGTATCTTCCCATTGCCCCCAACATCCCAGTCTCTGGTAACAACCATTTTACTTTCTACTTCTATGACATAAACTTTTTTTTTTTTTTTTTGAGATGAAGTCTAGCTCCTGTCACACAGGCTGGAGTGCAGTGGTGCGATCTCGGCTCACTGCAACCTCCACCTCCCTGGGTTCAAATGATTGTCCTTCCTCAGCCTCCCAAGTAGCTGGGATTACAGGCGTGTGCCACCATGACCGGCTAACTTTCGCATTTTTAGTAGAGATGGGGTTTTGCCATGTTGGCCAGGCTGGTCTCAAATTCCGGACCTCAGGTGATCCACCCTCCTCGGCCTCCCAAAGCGCTAGGATTACAGGCATGAGCCACCACACCCAGCCCAACTTTTTAGATTCTACATGTGCGTGAGATCATGCAATATTTCTCTTTCTGTGCCTAACTTATTTCACTTAACCTAATGTCCTCTGGGTTCATCCATGTTGTTGAAAATAACAGGATTTCATTCTGTTTTTTGGTTCAATAGTATTCATATATATACCACATCTTAAAAATCCATGTATTCATTGATGAACACTTAGGTTGATTGCGTATCTTGGCTATTGTGAGTAACACTGCAGTAAATGTAGAAGTGAAGACATCTCTTTGACATACTGATTTCATTTTCTTTCCATATATGCCATAAGTGAGATTGCTGGGTCATATGCTCGTTCTAGTTTTAAGGTTTTGAGGAACCTCCATAATGTTTTTCATAATGGCTGTACTAATCTACAACACAACCCATTCTAAAATCTCATTTTAAAGATGAGAATTATGGTGGATCAGCCATTCATCCATGGTCACTCAGCCAGCAAAGTTCAGAGCCAGGTCAGGAACATCACCTGTCCTCTGCCTCACCTTGAACCATTTCTTGTGTTGCCTTGCAGGGAGGGTGTTGCCTGCCCCCTCATGTGTCAGTCTGTTAAGTCCAGTAGTGAAGGAAAGTGTTCACATGTCCATATGCACTGCAGATGAAGAGAGTATGGAAGCTTGGAGGGAGAAATTGCTCTCTTTCTTTCTGTCCTTTTTTTTTTTTTGAGACGGAGTCTTATTCTGTCACCAGGCTGGAGTGCAGTGGCACAATCTTACCTCACTGCAATCTCTAACTCCCTGGTTCAAGCGATTCTCCTGCCTCAGCCTCCCAAGTAGCTGGGATTACAGGCAGATGCCACCACGCCCAGCTAATCTTTGTATTTTTAGTAGAGACGGGGTTTCACCATGTTGGCCAAGATGGTTTCGATCTCCTGATCTCATGATCTGCCCACCTCGGCCTCCCAAAGTGTCTGTCCTTTCTTTATTCACCAGCCACAATGACACACAGAACATAGTAGGAAGAAAATAGTTTATATTTATTCCTAAGAATATAAACTTCTGTTACCATTCTAAATTTCCAGAAAAACTTATTGTGAGTGCTAAACTAATATCATCCTGACCTAAGACAAATTGTCAGTTCCTAAGGGTGAGATTTATAGGAGAAAACCATGTCTACGCTTGAGGCAGAGTTCTTAGTAGAGATACAATAGCCAGTTGCTATTATTTCAAAGTTTGTCTGTCCCTAAATATTGCCTGCTTAGGTCTGACTATGCTAGGATTAGTGATCATCTGCTCTGAATTAAAGGTTTAGATGCACTCTTCCCAGGATAAAATTAAGTTTGGGGACTTTCTCTTTTCCTGGGAGCAAAAACCTCAGGAACTAAGTGTGCCATATGCTGGAAGATGGAAACATTCCAACAGCCAGAAGTAGAGGGAAGATAAAAATGGCTTCCCTAAAGCAAGGCAAATCAGCGACAGCCAGTCCTGTGGCCACCACTAATCACTTGTAAATGAATGCTGCGATGTGTTTCAAAAGCCCTCATTCTGACTCTGCCTGATCTGCTACTGAAATGTTAATTATATGCCTAATCTTCTCTTGCAAGCAAAGGCAGCAGAGTTGCTAAAGATCATAGCAGGTAAAAACCTTCAAGGAGAGGTAAGGAGTAAATGGAGCTGGGAGGGAATGCTGTCTCTCAGGACAGAGCCTGGCTCATTGAAAGGGCATAGTCCTACCCTATAAGGGATGCCTCCCAGTGTGACCAGGTCTTCTATGATTTCTTTTTATGAGAAACCAGAAATCTGATTATGTTCATGAGAAATTGGAGTTTTACAAATTAGCAAAACTGTGCTGTGCTGAGAAAATAGAATAAACCTGAAGGCCAGAGGTGTGCTGGGAGAGTCACTTACAGAACCAGAGCAAATACTTACATAGAGCAATGATGTGTTTTAATAAAAACAGGGACTACTGTGCTTTGTAAATGTCTTTATGCCTTCTAAACGTCCTTTCTCCTGAAGTCTATAACGTGACATGGGATAGCAAAGTATTTTTTGGCATGAACCATTGCATTGAATATCTTAACCCATTTGTGTTGCTATTAAAAAAAACTCCTGAGACTAAAAAATGTATTTAAAAAAGAGGTTTATTTGGCTCATGATTCTGCAGCCCATACAGGAAGAATGGCACCAGCATCTGCTCAGCTTCTGGTGAATTTCTGAGGTTGCTTCCACACATGGCGGAAGGCAAAGGGAAGCCAGCATGTAGTGAGATCACATAGTGAGAAAAGAGGAAAGAGGGGGGAGGGGGTGCTAGGCTCTTTGTAACAACTAGCTTTCTTGGGAACTAACAAAGAGCTCATTCATCCCCTCTCCCCGGGGAGGGCAACAATCTTTTCATGAGGGATCTGCTCCCAAGACCCTAACACCTCCCATTAGGCCCCACCTCCAACACAGGGGTTCAAATTTCAACATGAGGTTTAGGAGACAAACATCCAGGCTATGTCATTGGATCCCTAATAGGCTGAAGTAATGTGTTAAAAATAAGTTGTAAATAATTATATGCAAAAACACATAGCATTTTGGAAACTTTGCAAGATAATGAAAATATTTATCTGGATTTTAACTTAATTCACTCCATATTCTACACAAACATATTTTTAAAAGATAATACAATATTTGAGACATTAATATATGTTAGATAACCAATTTACATCCTCAAGAGCTAAGAAAGTGTTAAGTTGCCCTTTCTTAATAAAAACAAAATTTATGATGTTAACTGTTTTTTGTTTGTTTGTTTGTTTTATTGAGACAGAGTCTTGCCCTGTTGCCCAGGCTGTAGTGATCATGGCTCACTGCAGCCTTGACCTCCTGGGTTCAAGTGATTCTTCCACCTCAGTCTTTGGAGTAGCTGGGATTACAGGCGCATGCCAACATATCTGGTTATTTTTTATAGAAGCTGTGCTTCACCATGTTGCCCAGGCTGGTCTCAAACTCCTGGGTTAAAGCAATCTGCCTGTCTTGACCTTCCAAAATGCTGGGATTTTAGGTGTGAGCCACTGTGCCTGGCCTATGACGATAACTTTTTTAAAAGACAAAATTAGAACAAATTTAGTTATGGATGTAATTGGCTTCTATTTGTAAGTCATGAATCAGGGCAGCCGGCATTCTACAAAATAGGATGAGAGCTTCCACAGACAATGGAAGAACAGTAGCTTCTGTAAAATGAGAACAATTAAACAAAACAATAGACAAAAAGCTGATTGGTTAAGATCAGGGTTAATCCAGGTTAATTTGTTGTAAGGGTTAAAGCAGAGAAAAGTTCCTTTTTGCACTGACTCAGGTAGACCAGAATTTCCTGTCTTGAGGAAAAACTGCTCTGTTCTGGGACCTGTGTACTTTCTTAAAGTTTCAGTTTGATTATGTGGTTTAACATAGCACATGAATAACAATGCGATTATTTTAAGAGTTATTATAATAAATTTTGATAAATTTGCTCAAAGTCATTATCTCTAATAATCAAATTATCTCAAATTTAATTAATTGCAGTATGTGTCATTTATTTCAAAAGTGAAATAAAAACCTTTTCCACAAATCACAGTTTAGTTTATTTTCAAATTCAAACTTTACTTGCTTCATTGAATCTAGCAAAAGTAAATGTTTCAAAATAATGCAAAAAAAAGAGGTTTGTAAAGTTGGTAAGAAAATATTTGCTGAGCAAGTAATCAGATGTTTATTGTCTTACCTAGGTCATTTCTTATATATTTACATTCACATTGATTTGTATTAGCTATCAAGTTAATCATGTTAAAAAAAGTGGTACCATAATGAATTGTGTTTGATGTTGAAATTAATATTTAAAGATTTAAAAATTATGAGAGAGTATTCTGTGTTATCTCAGAATACTGGTAATGTCTTAAAGATTTCTGGCTACAAAGTAGTTTTACAAGACATTAGTTTTATGGGCACTGCATGCATTGCATTGATCAAAGCAGCATTGCATTGGTATTTAACACTAGGCCATGACTGAAAGGTCTTCAGAAGACATCATGATGAACTACATACAGAGTAATGGCAAGTTTACTGTAAAATTAACATTCTCAGTTGTCACAAGAAATCTGACAATCACTAAAATGGCAAGCACTGTGTTCTATTTGTGTCCTTTTCAGACATGATTGATAAGAATTTGTTACCTTATTAGCATGTCATAAGTAGACAGCAAAGTATGTTTTAAATTCAAAAATTATTATTTTCTGCTCATGTTCTACTTTCAGCAATGTACACAGTGATAGTAATGAAAGCAGCCATCAGAATACTCTATTTTCTTCATAGTTAGCTGCCAAATACTTCTTTTTTTCTATCCAGATCATACTTGTATTGCTTTTGTGCCTTTGAGCATAGTCATAAATTAGTACACAGAGGAAGCAGGGCAGTGACAGCTATACATTTTTCTACAGAAGATCAGCTATTAAATCAAGAACCAAGAGAACCATCTCAGCCTGGACACTGAGAACCGAAGCCACACCTTCCCACTGATATTAACATGACTTTGTTATTCTATTGTTCCATTAGTATTACTTTTCGAGGACTGTCCTAGCTAAAGAATGGTTTGATTTTTCATTATAGGAACTTCCCAAATGCTTTATCAACTCTTCAGGGGAAGTCATAGACCGAGTTTACAGCTTGAGTCTTTGAATCCTTCCCCACAAATCCTCACCTCACTATTTTCTCTAAGCCCAGACTGTTGTATCATGATTCTCACACAATTCTAATCAAATCCTCTCCTTCAGAGACCCATCTTAAAACAAACTTGCAGTTCTCAATAAATTCTGATCTCCCCTTCTCTCCTCTGAGATGCTGATAGAAATTTACAAAGGCTGTACTCTCTCCCTTGCCAGTGTATTAGTTTTCTATTGCTGCTGTAACAAATTACCACAAACAGTGTTGTAAACAATCCAGACTTGTTATCCTACAGTCCTCTTGGTCAGACATTCCATGTGGGTCTCACTGACCTAAAATTCAGGCATCAGCAGGGTAGAGGTTCCTCCTGCAGGCTCTGGGCTCCTGTGTCTGACTTTTCCAGCATCTAGAGGCTGCCTGCTGTCCTCAGCCCCTGGCCCCTTCCTCCATCTTCACAGTCAGCAGTGATAGGCTGGGAGGCCTTCTCACGCTGCCATCTCTTTGGTTCTTTCTCTTCTGCCCCCCTCTTCCACTTTTAAGATCTTGTGATTAGCCCCATCTGGATAATCCAGGATAATCTCCCTATTTCAAAGTGAGTTAACAACTTTAATTCCAAATGTGGTCTTAATTTCCATTTTTCATGTAAGTTCACATGTTCACATATTCCAGAGATGAGTGTGTGGACATCTTTGGGAGGTCAATTATTTTCCTGCCACATAGGTAAGCAATAAACTTCGCAATAAGCTGGGTGCTGTGGCTCATGCCTATAATCCCAGCACTTTGGGAGGCTGAGGTGGGTGGATCACCTGAGGTCAGGAGTTCAAGACTAGCCTGGCCAACATGGTGAAACCCCACCTCTACTAAAAATACAAAAATTAGCTGGGCGTGGTGGCAGGCATCTGTAATTCCAGCTACTCGGGAGGCTGAGGCAGGAGAATCGCTTGAACCTGGGAGGCAGAGGTTGCAGTGAGCCGAGACTGCGCCATTGCACTCCAGCCTAGGCGACAAGAGCGAAACTTCATCTCAAAAAAACAAAAAAACTTTGCAATAAATAAGCAATCAACTTTGTCTCATCAACATGTTATGTTGGTGATAATTGGGGATACAGCTTTGACAAGCAATTAGCACAAACATGACCTACTTGCAGAAGCTTGTCATAGCTATTATTCTAAATATGGTAATAGATGACTGTAATAATCCAAGCCAAGAATTATGACATTTTAAAGGCACACACACTCTTACTCCTGAAATATCCTCAAATGGACATTAACATACAAATATTTTAATTAGATTCTTTTAAATTCTTAAGATTATGTGATATAACCCAAAAATGGGGCTGAAATGTCAGGTGACAATAACACCCAAATGGAGGTTCCACTCAGCACTTCCAGGGACACCCCCCCCCAACATATATACACTCTTTACAGAAACATATTTGGAAATGAATTCATTATTCATAAGTAGTTGTGAATAGTTAGAAAATAGATTTTACATTTCACATTCAATAAAACTCCCACAGAATGTCAATTCTCATTATTCGTGGATTTTGTATTTTCAAATCCACCTTCTTGCTAAAATGTATTTGTATTTGCAAATTCACCCACCTGCTAAAATTTATTACTAACCCCAAAATTCACACTCACAGCACCTTTTTTGTCATACACAGACTGGCCAAAAATTTCATTCTCCCAGCTTGCACATTCCCAGCTGATGTTGAACAAAACCGTGTTCTGCCTTCTTGTTTCAACTCTCATACTAAAATCAAGTGTCCTTTTCACAATCTGTTTAGTGTCGCGGTTTTCATATTTTTGTGCTTTTTTGGTGATTTTGATGTTTACAATGGCCCCCAAACATAGTGCTAAAGTGCTCTCAAAGCACAAAAAGACCGTGATGTGCATTATGGAGGCACATGTGACATAAACTTTGTTCAGATATGACCTACAGTGCCATTGGCTATAATCTCAATGCTGATGAATAAATTTTATATGTTAAATAAGGTGTCTTTAAACAGAAACACATATAAAACAAGATTATGTCTTGATCATTTGATGAAAATGTTGCAGCCAGAGGCTCACAGAAACTTCCCCTTACATTTTCCCAAGAAGCAACAATTTAGTACTTGCTAATGTTGGAGCTCTGAAAACCATATCCTCAAAAATGGCACTTTGACATGTTGAGTGCTTTGAATTAAATAAAATTGAAAGGCCTCAGAAATAAGCCTCAGGACCAACACTCTGTCTAACACCATCAGCCCCCCCAACCCCACCCTACTGTATTAGTCTGTTCTCATGCTGCTGATAAAGACATACCCAAGACTGAGTAATTGATAAAGAAAAAGAGGTTTAATGGACTCACAGTTCCACATGGCCGGCGAGGCCTCACAATCACAGTGGAAGGCAAAAGGCACACCTTACATGGCAGCAACCAAGAAAGAATGAGAACCAAGTGAAAGAGGTTTCCCCTTATAAAAACATCAGCTCTCATGAGACTTATTCTGTTGCAGGAGAACAATATGGGGATATGGGGGGAACAGCCTCCATGATTCAATTATTTCCTACTGGGTCCTTCCCACAACATGTGGGAATTATGGGAGCTACAATTCAAGATGAAATTTGTGTGGGGACGTAGCCAAACCATATCACCTACCATCCTCTTTCTTTCCTGAAGCAAGGAAGCAAGAAAGGAGAGGCTTTTGCTGAAGTTTCCTTATCTGATTAAGTCTGACCAAGGGAGGTTTCTCCAGAAGAAATGCAGTGTTTTTGTTTGTTTGTTTGTTTTAATTTAGCCCAGTCAAATTGACATATACAAATGCAGGGTTTTTTTGTTTGTTTGTTTTTGTTTTTTGAGACGGAATCTTGCTCTGTCACCCAGGCTGGAGTGCAGTGGCGTGATCTTGGCTCACTGCAACCTTTGCCTCCTGGATTCAAGCAATTCTCCTGCCTCAGCCTCCCAAGTAGCTGGGATTACAGGCATGTGCCACCATGCCCGGCTAATTTTTTTGTATTTTTAGTAGAGACAAGGTTTCACCATATTGGCCAGGCTGGCCTCGAACTCCTGACCTTGTGATCCACCGACCTCGACCTCCCAAAGTGCTGGGATTACAGGCATGAGCCACTGTGCCTGGCCTGTTTTTTTGTTTTTTGTTTTTTTTTTTGAGACGGAGTCTCGCTCTGTCACCCAGGCTGGAGTGCAGTGGCGCAATCTCAGCTCACTGCAAGCTCCACCTCCCAGGTTCACGCCATTCTCCTGCCTCAGCCTCCTGAGTAGCTAGGATTACAGGTGCCCACCACCACGCCCGGCTAATTTTTTGGTATTTTTTAGTGGAGACGGTGTTTTACCATGTTAGCCAGGATGGTCTCGATCTCCTGACCTCGTGATCCACCCTCCTCGGCCTTCCCAGAGTGCTGGGATTACAGGCGTGAGCCACTGCACCGGGCCAGAAATGCAGATGTTTTAAAACTCCCTCTCTACAGATCTTATCATATAACCAGGAAAGAGTAACCACCAGAGAGGAGAAAATAAGTCATTACCATGTCCAGACAGACTTTTCATCTATCCTTCTGAGGGCAGCTCAGAGAGATTATGGGAAAGATTTTATCTGCATAATGACAACCTTTGTTTACAATGAAGTTCTGGTCTCACCTTTCCATAATTTGCTTGTACCTCCCCCAGAGCTCAGACGAACTTTGTACCAGGCCAATTGTCTTTTCTTTGAGCTCATTCATTTTCCCTAAAATAATTTACTTTCCCTCTAGATGTGCCCACAGTCCCCCTTTTCCCTGTCCCCTGTGAATAGGATATTTAAGAATTAACCAACTAGAGGGCATTTAAGCCTTAACCAAAGCCCTTCTTTGAGTCTCATATTTTTAGGACTTCCTTCTCCATGTGCATATTAATAAATTGCATGCATTTTTCCCTTGTTAATCTGTCTATTGTCAGCTCATTTCAGCAGTGAACTATCAGAGGGCAGAGGGGAAGATTTCTCTCTGCCCCTACAGTAATTTGATATTTACAGAAACTTTATAGAACATAACTACTGTGAATAATGAGAATCAACTGTATATGTCACCTTTGAATACCTCTCTTCTCTCTTCACTGCATTCCTTTGGCACAGAGATGGAGCCAAACTCTAGTGGCTAGGGAAGTAAATGAAAGACTGGGTCTGAGTCACCTGTTTCCCTAAAGGTAGCATCACCCTCTGAAGGTGCCCCTTACAGGCCTCTCTGGGAAGGGTTTCACAATCTCCTCCCACACTTTACAGTTGGCAAATTATGGAGCCAAGGGCCAAATCCAGTGCCCATTTGGGCAACAAGCTAAGAATGTTTTTTACATTAATGACAGGCTGGGGAAAAAAAAAAACAGCAAAGAAAATAATATGACCTAAAACTGTATGTGACACATAAAGCCTAAATATTTACTATCTGGGCCTTTACAGAAAAAGCTTGCTGACCCCTTCTTTGCAGCCTCAAGTATAGCAAATATCTAGTGTTTGGGAAATAATTTAAAACAAAACCTGTTCAGGAAACCTCTCCACAAAAGTAGAATAGATGTTGTTGAATAAGCACTAAAGCTCACTTCAATGTGCATCACAAGAAATCTGCCAAAGAGATTGAAAAACAGACAGAAATCTCACCCTTTCATGTGGCCAAGTAGGTAGAACCCTCACATACACGTTCTCAAGATTGATGATAAGTTGTTTGCAAGTAAGTAAAAGGACTTGACAGCACCACTTGCCACATAGAATTCATCCCAGATTCACTGGGTAATTGAAATTGGCCATGGGTGCTTGCTAATTACCTTTATCCAAAGGAAAAACAAATTCTCATATCTTTATACCAGGAGGTAGTTTTGCAATGTGGAGCCCGACGCCTAGGTAACATTAGGTTCCTACCCTCCCATGAAAATGTCAATAAAAAGAGTCCAACTTTGTAACACATTTGTAGAAATTTATTCTGAGCCAAATATGAGTGACCATGGCCCATGACACAGCCCTCAGGAGATCCCGAGAACATGTGTCCAAGGTGGTTGCAGCACAGCCTAGTTTTATACATTTTAGGGAGACATGAGACATCAATCAAATACATTTAAGATATAAGTTGGTTCAGTCCAGAAAAGTGGGACAACTCAAAGCAAGGGGGTGTCCAGGTTATAGGTAGAATGAAAAATTTCGGATTGGCAATTGCTTGAAAGAGTTTTATCATAGAAAACAATGTCTGGGTTATGATAAGAGGTTGCAGAGACCAAAGTTTTATCATGAAGATGAAGCCTCCATGTCGCAGGCTTCAGAGAAAATAGATTGTACAGGTTTCTTCTCAGACCTAAGGCTTGTGTTGATGTTAAATGGTGATTGGCTTTTCCTGAATTCCAAGAGGAAAGAGGGCATAATGAGGCATATCTGACCCTCCCTCCCCATTGTTGTGGGACTTTTCCTTAGTTCAGCTAAAGATGCAGTCTTTGTCCCATGGCCACGAAAATTTAGGCTTGCAGACGAGTTGAAGGGTGAGTAAAGCAGGGTTTTATTGGGTGAAAAGGAAAAAAAAGGGGGAACAGGGACCCTCTGCAAAGTCAGAGTCTCTGCTGGTGTGCTTCCTGCCTTGCAGATTGAATCCCAGTTTCCACACAGGAAGAGGTGGGGCCAGGCTCCTCCCTCTGCAAACAGTGCAAACTTCTGTGGCTCCACCCCAAGGTGCATTCCTTCCAGTGTGGGCTGGTTGCAGTTTCACTGGGGACCCTCTCCCACCTGGCTGTCTCACCATCATGGCCTAAACCAGTCTTTCAGGTTAAATTTAGGGTGCCCTGGCAGAGGAGGGGTCCATTCAGATGTTTGTGAGGGGTGTAGGGGGTGGCTATGAGTTTTATTTTTGGTTTATAAAGATGAGGGGATGAGGTACAATCCTCCTTGGTGATTCTATCTCAGAGATAGTTCCAGACCCTTGAGAAACACATTCCTACATTGTAAAACCTGCAAGAGACTTATCTTTTTTCTTTAAAAAATTGCTATATCCCTAAGAAGCAGAGAAAGAATTTATGTTTCTAAAAGAAAATATTCTGAGGAAATGGTGGTGGTGGTGGTGGAGATCTCTTTCCCTTTTTCCATCAGGGAGAATTATTACTTTTTTCTTATGTTCCATTTGTATTTACTGTTACACTAGTTAACTAAGTATCTAGCCAAAAGGAACTATAATTTGAGAAGGTGGTTCCCATGACTTCTCCTCTTTCTTTTCTTTCAGACTTCTGCTTCCTCAGAAATGCCCTCATTTTGTCCCAAGGTACTCAGATCTGTCACTCTACTTGAATCCAATCAGCAAAACAACAGCTCTGCAGTTAGCTGACTTGCTTCTAACCTCCATCATCTAAAGTAGAATATTAACCTCTTATATCATTATTCAAAATTGTCACCTGGGATTTCAGCTCCTATTCTAACAGGTCAATAGAATCATTTCCTGAAGAGAAACAGGAGTGTGTGTGTTTTGGGAGTACGGAAGATATTTCTACTAAGAAAAGGAGTTTTTCTCCACAGTGTTAACATTAGAAATCTAGCACTTACCATTTCACAAATTGAATACCTGAGGCTTAGGGAGGTGAAGTGACTTCCTTGAAGGAGACAAGTAGCAAATGTGGAGGTTCATGTCTGCAGCCTATAGAACCCAGGAATCCTCTTTCCACTATGCCAGACTAACCTGGGAACCCAATTAGCTGCCATCAAAAGTATAAGAATTCTTTTTATTTGCCTATTATCTCTCATGATAAGTGAATCAATCACTTACTGAGCACAATTCCTACAAAGTGCAAAATGACCAAAGTCCCCAGAGTAGCTTCCTCTACATCATGAGCTACAACTCCAGTAAAAGAGCCTGGCAACTGTCAAAGACAAAATGCACCAGACTGTGGAGCATATGATTTCATTAGGACTATTTTTAATAGAGAGAACATGGCCTGATCTCAGCAGGTTGTGACTGTGTAACTGGTGGTATAATTTACTATCAAAATTATTCTGCAATCAGGGGGGTCTTAGTCAACTCAACAGGAAATGTTTATCTTTGGATTTTGTTAGTTCGGAGGGACAAACAGTTCTAATCTTAGCTAATTAATAATGAGACAAAGAATGGGTGGTTGGAGGATCTGTGTTTTGCCTTGTCAGCAGACTTAGGCCAAAGGGGAAAGGTCTGTGTTTGACCTTGTCATTAGCAATGTGCTAATTGTGACTCCTAATGGGGATGGAGCTGGGTGTGTGCTTGGACATGGCATTCCATATGTGCCCAGGACATGCTGTCTTTTTAAGAGAATATAAGAATCTGACCGGGCACGGTGGCTCATGCCTGTAATCCCAGCACTTTGGGAGGCCGAGGTGGGCAGATCACGAAGTCAGGAGATTGAGACCATCCTGGCTAATGTGGTGAAACCCTGTCTCTACTAAAAATACAAAAAAATTAGCCAGGCGTGGTGGCGGGTGCCTGTAGTCCCAGCTACTCAGGAGGCTGAGGCAGGAGAATGGCATGAACCCAGGAGGCAGAGCTTGCAGTGAGCCAAGATCGTGCCACTGCACTCCAGCCTGGGCAACAGAGTGAGACTCCATCTCAAAAAAAAAAAAAAAAAGAGAAAATAAGAATTTAATTTCTTCAGGGATCCTGAGTATCTCTCATTACCTAAAGTGTTCATTTATTGCCAAATGATTAACTTTCTATTTATGTGTGAGGTTTGTGGGAGACCATAGAGAAGTTTTGTTTAAAACATCTGTGTATTTCTTTACATAATTCATTTATTATATCCCTTGCTGAATGTTCTGGCTGAGAAAGATTTAATTTAAACTTTCCATCAATGAGAACAAAGATGAGGCTTGCTGAAATATGTTGATGTTCACTGGACAGCAAATATCCTGCTCTGTTCTATATTCAAAGTTGAAAAGTGATGGAAACCTCATCCTCATCCTCAGGGCTCAGAAAAGTCACAAGGTCTTTGACTTTGAAGAGTGGAACAAGAGGGCAACATGTTTTCTAGTAAGTAAAGTAAGTGAGGCTATGGAGTAGGTTTCAGAGTGGCACCTTCAATCTTACTCAGAAATGTCAAAGTCTTTACAAAGGCTTCTTCTAGACCTGTAAGCCTAGAATTAATATAAATGCTCACCTAGGTCAAATTCAATGATATTTATCTTAAAGGGCTTTCAAATCTAAGTGAGTTTCAATAAGGCAAACCCTTCTGAGTCTTTTATTTCCCTAAGCATAAAATTCTATCTTCTCTACCTTCTGTACTTCTCAGCATTAGCAAAGGAATCTCATGATAATTGAATTCAATAGTAGTTTATCTGATGCCAACTATTTTCCCATCTCTATGCTGGGCCCTGGGTACACAACAATGAAAACAATGTCCTCCTCTCCACTACCCAGGCTGCCTTCTCCTCTAAATTGAACAATTGTCTGTGATTCACCAACAACAAGAACTTTTCTTTACCTACCTACCTAAAATATATAAACACAATTGACAACTTCAGACATGTTCTTTCAATTGGAGGACAATTACAAATAGTTGTCCTTTGTATTGATGAAAAGGCTAGTGGCAAGGTTGGTTGTGGCCTGGGCAGCAGGCTAGATGGGCCTCTCAGGAGGACTTGCTAGGTTGCAGTGCCCCAGAGCAATTTATGACATAAAATCTGTAATATTTGAGAGATAATTGTCACATCTGATAATCAAGATCAAATAACTGGGTTCTCCTTTTGTCTGCAAATGATGATTATGCTTGCCCACGGTGAAGCTGACCTTCGTGTCAAGGAGCTCGATGAGGATGGAATCCCAGTGCTGGCTGCCAGGGTGAGGGTCATTTTGGTTGCAGGCGAGAGTGATAGAATGTTACCAAAAAGAGAGGAAAAACAAACTTTCAATTATGACAAGTGCAAAAAAACACATTTTTTATTTTGAGGTTTAGCATTTCTCAAAATAATTACAGTTACATGCTTCCATACTACGTACTTCTCTCTCAAAGATTAGTTGTTTGGATTTATCTAGGGCTTGAACACAATATCCTATCAACCTTGTAATCCTTTACATATCATTTGTATTGTTTTTAGTCATTTAGCTCAGTTTCCATTGAAATGTTACCTTTGTTCATTATTGCTACCTCTAAATGTCCTGTCCTTGTTTTTATGAGAACGGTGTGTAGCTATGTTGTTACATTAGAACTATATAAAGAGCATTAAAAGATGTACTTATTTCACAAATTGTCAAAATATAAACAAAATATAAAGCAAAAGACAATAGAGATATATAAACATAGCCCTTAAGAGCTGTAGATACACTCTTTTTTGCCAAAGATTTCTATTTTTATTGTAGATTTGGAGCGGGGGTACATGTGCAGGTTTGCTACAAGGATGTATTGCGTGATGCTGAGGTTTGGTCTTCAACTGAACCCATCACCCAAATAGTGAACATAGTACCTGATAGGTAGTTTTTCACCCTTTGCCCCTTCCCTCTTTTCTGTCCTTCAGATTCTCTAGAATCTATTGTTCTCATCTTTGTGTACATATGTACCTAATGTTTAGCTTCCACTTGTAGGTAAGAACATGTGATATAAATATACTCTTAAATTGTTCAAAGACAATGAATGCATCAAAAATATTTCCAAATGCCTTGCCTGAGAGTTTTATCTGAGTGAAAAGAGTTTTCCTTTTATTAATCCCAGGTTGATATGAGCTCCACTTTGTTCTCTGTGGAGTAAAATCCTATCTCTCTGAGGTTTTTGTTTTTAACAATTCTCATTGATTTTTATTGTACATATAAAAATGAAATCATTTAAGAAGATTCATAATGACAAGATATCTGTAGGGTAAACCCAGAAAGGGTTCAAGCTTTATGACAGCAAAGGAAACAGTTAACAGATTGAAAAGGCAACCTATAAAATAGGAGAAAATACTTGCAAACTATTTATCTAATAAGGTGTTAATATCCAACATATATAAGGAAACCCTACAACTGAATCGCCTGAAACAAATACCCAGATTTTTAAAAGGTGTACAGTACTTGGATTGACATTTCTCTAAAAGAATATCTGAGTAGCCAACACACATATGAAAAAATGCTCAATGTCACTAATCGGAGAAATGCCAATCAAAACCATAATGAGATATCACTCCCCACTGGTTGTCAAAACAACAACAAAAAGATAACAAGTGTTAGCAAAGATGTGGAGAAATTGGAATCCTTGTACTCTATTGGGAGTGTAAAATGGTGCAGCCACTATAGAAAACGGTATGGAGGCTCCTCAAAAACATTAAAAATAGAACTATCGTATGATCCAGCAATCCCACACTTGGTATTTATTCAAAAAATTAAGATCTTGAAGACATATTCGAACTCTCATGTTCATTGCAGCAGTACTCACAATAGCCAGGATGTAGAAGCCGCATAAAGACCCACCGACATATGAATAGATAAGGAAAATGTGGCATCTACTTACAACAAAATATTATTGTCTGACATGAAATCCTTCCATATGTGGCAACATGGATGAACCCTGATGACGTTATGCTAAGCGAAATAAGCCAAAAGGAAAATACAGTGTGAGTCCGTTATTATATGTCCAATATAAAATAACCCCATTCACAGAAGCACAAAGTGCAGTGGGTTACCAGGGGCTGGGAGAAGTGGAAAATAGGGAGTTACTGTTTAACAGGTATAAAGCTTCAGGTATGCAAGATGAATAAGTCCTAGAGATCTGCTATGTACAACATTGTGCCTGTAGTTAAGAACACTGTGTTGTATTCCTAAAAATTTAAGAGGGTAGCTCTCATGCTGTTTTTATCCCAATTTTTAAAAATTAGATTGCATGGAAAAGAAGATCCTTGCACATGGACTTTTCCTCTTTCCATAATTTCAAATTGCAAGCAAATTAATCTGGGATGATGACTTATATTTCTCCTCCACTATAATTTTACTTCTGCCTCAGGAGGATCTCCTATGAATTTCTGATAACCTAGTTTTCCTGTGCTTCTCCGCTCACAGGTTGTCCTAAAATCCTAGTTAATTTACATGCTTGAAATTGCTTGCATGGTTTTTAAATTTCAAATAAATAATACCTTTGATTGGACTCATGGGCTTCTGATCAAACCCACAGACTTTCTTTCATCAAAACTAAACACTTCAGTAGATCCTAGAAAAACAGTGAAAACTCTCCAAGTATAAATATGATGCTGAATAAGGTGTTTAAAATATATGAAGCTTTACACATACACATACATTTTTAGTATGAGGGTATCTCTGGCCTATTCACTTAAGGAAAAACATACCACCAGAAATGGAATTCCCTTTCAGTATCAGAGGTTAATATGTTAAATCCCATTGTTAGCTAACATTTTTCTAAAATATACCAACTAGAAGTTTGTCTCATACCCTACTCTTTACTGCTCCTATCTTACACGTATCATTATGAAAACAAATAAATGTCCATTTTGTTTCCTTTTGTAAAAACATATGATAATCAAAACATTTGGTCAACGTCTACTCCATCTTTTTGTTTATTTAAAGACAACTTTTATGAAATGATAATATTGGAAAGTTATGATATCCTTCAGCTAGTTGCAAAGACTAAAGAAAATATGCTACTCAAGGTAAATGATTTGTAACCCCTGAGCAGAGTCACAGTCTCCCTCTCTCTCTCTGTCTCTCTCTGTCTCTCTCTCTCACACACACACACACACCACACACACACACACATTTTAGAATCTTCAAAAACCACTTCCAATACAAACTAGGTACCTGAAGTAAAGAGATACTCATTTTGGCTGAATAAAAGGCAAATTCATTTTGTGTTTTTCAACTTATTTTTAGAGAAAGCTTTGAAATGACATTACAAGTCATGTCTTTTGCAGCCCTGTCATAACCATGTCACTGTACTTTCAGCTTCTCAATTCCTTGGCAAGTCACATGCATTGTCATGTTGAATATCAGTATTTTAAAAGAACAGCTGTCAACATCAGTGGCATCCTGAAAAAGATGTACAGAGAAGCTCATATTACCCAGAAAAATCTCACACTGTCTTTCATACTTCAGAAATAAAAAGGGAAAAGGAAAGGTAATTGCCCTTTAAACATACATTTATATAGATGCCAGAGAAACCAAATAAAATAGGAAGCTATTTTTCAACTGACATGTTCTAAGTCAATATAATGGCATTACATATTTTCTCAATTTGTTTAATTTGATTTTAAAAGTCACAAACATTTGAATCTACGGGTATGAATTTCATTCACATTATATATAATGTAAAATATTTACTTTCATGATTTTAAAAATCTTGTCTATTTTGTGTAGTTTTCTTTTGAAAATGTAATGTGTTTTCTCACATCTTGTTAATGTACTTCTAAAAATTCATTTACCGAGTACACAATGCGTAAGCATCAAATTACATCTAAATAATCTGTTGATTGGACAGTTTCTCCTCATACACTACAGAACAATTAGGCACAATAGAAAAAATCTCTATGTCAAATATAAGTGATTTTAAAAGTGATTATTAATCATAATAACATAAGAACAATTGGAGCAGGGCCTTCAATATTGTCACATTTATGACAGTACAGTTATCTTTGTGTTACGAGTATCTTAAATAAGAACAGTAAGGTTTTATTTTATATGAGAACTATTTTTACAATTTAGCTAATTATAAAAAGTTTGCTTTGAGATATAGTCTAGATTATTTTGGTATGTTCTTTTCTCTTTTTCATTTTGGCTAGTATTACTGTTAGATTGTAACAGCAATATTTATCCTCCATGGCATATAACATCTGCCATTTCAGTCTTCCGAAGTGATGTTGTTGGGGTTCAGAACACAATACTCCAACAGATGGCACCTCGGCCTGCTGAATACTTTGAACTAAAGGAGATTGGAGGCTTCAGAATCAAGGGCAAGGTCGCTGACCTTCTCCTACCCTCCTGTCTCCCTCCCCTCTCATTACTCTGAAGCTGAAACCAGAATTCCTTTTCCCCAAGGCAACTCACAGAAACTAGAGCCCCTCTTCCCCAAAGCAAGTCATAAAACCTAGAAAAGTCATTCTTTTCCTTCTCCCTTGAAGACTGTGTGTCCCACAGCAGGAGAAATAAATGCAGCTTAGAGGCCAGGAAGACAGGTCTTGCTGGGTTCTTTCTCAGCCTATTACCATGAGATCATTCCTTTTTGTCCAATCACATTTCCACATGGCTGTCCCTTCTTCATGAAGCCTACCTATAAAAATAGATGATTTCCCTGGGTCTTTGGTTCTTCATTTTTGAAAGCTCTTCTGATATGTAAAACTTTGATTAAATTGATTTGCTATACTTTTCTTTAAACTGCCTTTTGTTATAGGAGTACTGGTTGTGACCTTTCTGATGGGGAACTTTGGAAAGGTATCACCCCTTTCTGCCCTTACTGTATAAAGAGTAAACAGGTAGTTGAGACACAGAACAATATCATAAAATTTCTTTTGTCCTTTAGACAAGGCCTTGGCTTTTTCTCCATTGCGATTTTGATGGACTGCAAATAAAAATGGAACCTTATTTCATATATTTTAACATAAGACTGGCCGGGCGCGGTGGCTCACGCCTGTAATCCCAGCACTTTGGGAGGCCGAGGTGGGCGGATCACGAGGTCAGGAGATCGAGACCATCCTGGCTAACATGGTGAAACCCTGTCTCTACTAAAAATACAAAAAATTAGCCGGGCGTGATGGCGGGCTCCTGTAGTCCCAGCTACTCGGGAGGCTGAGGCAGGAGAATGGCGTGAACCCGGGAGGTGGAGCTTGCAGTGAGCGGAGATCGCGCCACTGCACTCCAGCTTGGGCGACAGAGCGAGACTCTGTCTCAAAAACAAAAACAAAACAAAACAAAACAAAACAAAAAAACAAAAAAAACACATAAGACTATCCAACCATTTCTAGACTAAAAGCAGTGATCATGAAGCAGATTCTGCTAATCGGCTGTTTCTATTTCATTAGAATTTTTTGCATGGTTAACTGAGATTGTAACTGTAATTTTATTTTTTGTATTTAATCTTTTAAAAGTAATTTAGCTTTAATGTTGTACTCATTTCATAAAATGAATTAGAAAGCTTTTATCAGTTTTCAATTCTTCGGAACAGTATAGACTGCACTGGAATTAACTTCTCTTTAAAGGAGCGATACAATTCTCTTAGAAAGTAGTGGCCACCTAATATTCTGAAGGACTGACATTTTTCTTTGTCTTTTGCATGGAAGTCAGTCAATTTAGACTTTTCTAATTTTTATAGGATTCATTTTGTTAAATTATATTTTCTTGGAAAATCATATACTTTATTAAGATTATCAAACTAATTTGAATAACTAAGCTAAATAGATTCTTACAATTCTTTTAATTTCCTCATTAGCTCTTCTTTTTTCTGTTTTTGTTTTGTTTTGTTTTGTTTTGTTTGTTTGTTTGTTTTGAGATGGAGTCTCCCTCTTGTCACCCAGGCTGGAGTACCGTGGCCCGATCTTGGCTCACTGCGACCTCCACCTCCTGGGTTCAAGCGACTCTCCTGCCTCAGCCTCCCGAGTAGCTGGAATTACAGGCACCCGCCACCACGCCCAGCTAATTTTTGTATTTTTAGTAGAGATGGGGTTTCATCATGTTGGCCAAGCTGGTCTCGAACTCCTGACCTCAGGTGATCCGCCCTCCTCAGCCTCCCAAAGTGCTGGGATTACAGTCATGAGCCACTGCGCCCGGCCCGGCCTGGAAATCTTATCTAAAAAGTAGCAACTGCTGGAAAAAGGGCCTGGGGCCTGGGGGGCGGGGGTGGTTCTTGTCACAGCCCCCAGGCTCCTGTCTCAGGGATGAATGTGGCCTTCTCACTGGGATTCTTCTCTTGTCCAAAAGGGCTGCTTTTGGGGACTAACAATACTGGGGAGTGGGGGTGAAGCCAGACCTAGCTCAGGGTGAGGATTTCGGGGCCCTGGCGTACTGAACACACCCCACACCCCAACATTCTCCTCCTTCTATCTCTTCCTCTTCTCCCGACCGCTTTTGTGCCGGGGCTGCGAGCTCCCTGTGTTGTGCGGTGACTAAATCGAGGCCGAGAAGGGAGGCTGCCCCCCAACCCTGTGGGTCAGTGCCCCTCTGCCAGGCTAGGAGAAAGTGGGTTTACAGCAGCCGAGCTGGGGGTTATTTTGGCTGGAGCTGCTGGAGCAGAAAGGCAGGAGTCTGAAATGCTCGGCAGGGTCTGGGGACCTTGTTGGACCCGCCTGGTGACCGGCTGGGCTGTCGCGTCCTACACGGGAGCTCCGGGCTTTCATTTCTCTTGTGGTGGGGTGGGGATTAACTCAGCTATTCCCATGGTAAGCCTGGGTCTCTAATTGGGCCCTGGGAGCCCTGTTAGGCCACCGGCATTGGGGGTCGGTGAGGAAGGGGACTCCCCAACTCCCCCGACTCCCAACCGCCCCACCTCCGCATAGCCTTGGAGACCCCTGGGGGAGGGGGCTGGGGGGCTTCTGAGCCCCTGAGTCTAGGTTCACTCTCCCGTCGGGCTGTGGGAGGGGACTTTCACTTGCCTTTGTCTTTGGGGACGGGACCCCACTTTCTTCTGATCTCAGGGCCATTGACACACACCCCCTTTCCAGGAGGGGTTGGTGGGCAGCTAGGTTCTCCCTGCCCCTTCCCGGGGCCGGCACCGTAGCAGCACAATCACCCCGGGAAGGGGGTGTCTTTTCGCTCCAAGACGCAATCGGGCCCCACTCGCAGAACCGCCTGGACCCTGTCCGTGTCTGCCCTCCGGCCCCCAGGGCTCCTCTCCCCAGAGCCGCCGTCCCGCGCCTGGGTCCCGCGCTGGGGGAAGCGCCTGCTGCTTATCTCTGTCTACCTCAGGTCTGACTTTTGATGCCAAAATCTAAGCCCCTGGGGTGCCTCTCCCCCGCCTCCCGTGCACCAGGGTCTGCAGCAGCCACTGGGGCCAGGCTGCCTGCTGCATCTGGCGGCCCTGGAGGCGGCCATGGGCCCCTTTGCACCCGCCCGCCTTGGTGTCTGGGGAGGGGCTGCGCAGGGCCGTGGGCTGGGTCGTCTCTCTCGGGCTGCGTGTGTTGCGCTCCCGTGTGCACGTGTGTGTGTCGGGAATCCTGCGTGTCGTGCCTGTGTGGGCGATCCGGCCCCCTGGCTGTGGGTGGGACTGGATTCTAACTCAGGGGACTTGGGCCTGCTGTTAACTTCGATGATTGTAGGGACAGGTGGGGCGGGCGGTGGGTGGGCACGGGGCTGGGTCCTGGGCGGCCTGGCGACTCCAGGAGAAGGAAATCACTGAAGGCAGTGGTCGTGGAAATGGGAGGGGGTCGCAGGGGGTCTGTGGGGCCCGGTCCTGGATACTGGGCAGGAAGCCGTGGTCTCCAGAGGGTACTCCCTGCCTCAGGTGGCCCCATTCAACCCCAGCCGTACGCACCTCCCGCCACTGCCTGTCGGTGGGGGTTTAAAGTTGGGGTGGCTTTCTGGGGTGCAGCTCAGCATCCCCTCTTATGCAGACTGGGATGGGGTCGGGCACCTCCCTCAGCCACGAGGACCCTGGACGGGTTCGAGTTCTCTTGGGGCCGTGGGGCTAGCTGTGTACTGGGCGGGGACCCCACACTCGAGGCCAAGGGGGGGCTCTCCCTGCTGTGAGATGTTGGGGGACAGGCAGCTTCTGGAACCTTCAGTGGGACCCTTAAGTGGCCGTCAGGACAGGCGGGAGGATGGGCATGGGGCACTGGGGAGAGCCGGGGTCGTTAAGGGTCACGCATCTGTACAGTCTGAATTTCCTTTATCTTTTTTTTTTTTTACCCACTTTGTCCCTCTTTTCCCCTAATTGTGCTCTTGCATTTTTTTTTTCTTGGCAAACGTAAACTCAGCCTTTCATTCATGACGTGTGACATTTCAGTTTCTCTGGGGTTTGTCAGAGGACGCGGGGACCACGCCTGAAAGTTAGGTAATGGGAGAAAAAAAATAATAGACTTTAAAAAAATAAAAAATAAAAGAATCATAAAACTACTCTCTACCTCTGGCTGGGCCCAGCCTTTCTTGCCCTGGCCGCAGCAGGGTGGCCTGTAACAATTTCAGTTTTGCAGAACATCCAGGTATTGAAAGGAAAAAAAATAAAAAAAGACAAAAAGACCAGAAAAAAGGTGTGATTTTGAAATTTAAAAGAACACTGAAAGTTTACATTTTATAATAGCATTATTATGCAGATTGTATTTTAACTTCAGAAATATTTAAGACGATTGTAACCCTGTAAAGCTGATAAGATATTAAAACGAGACAAAACACTTCTTTTAACAGGAAAAAAAAAAAGAAATTTCTTCTGTCAGATAACCTAAATCATCTCTCTCAAGTTCAAAGTTCCACAAATCTCTAGGGCAGGGGCAAAATGCTGCCAGTCTCTTTGCTAAAACATAACAAGAGTCACTTTTGCTCCAGTTCCCAACAAGTTGCTCATCTCCATCTGAGACCACCTCAGCCTGGCCCTTATTGTTCATATCACTATCAGCTTTTTTTGTCAAAGCCATTCAACAAATCTCTGGGAAGTTTCAAACTTTCCCACATTTTCCTGTCTTCTTCTGAGCCCTCTAAACTGTTCCAACCTCTGCCTTTTACCCAGTTCCAAAATTGCTTCTGCATTTTTGGGTGTCTTTTCAGCAGCACTCCACTCTACTGGTACCAATTTACTGTATTAGTCTGTTTTCACGCTGCTTATAAAGACATACCCAAGACTGGGCAATTTACAAAAGAAAGGTTTATTGGACTTAACAGTTTCATGTGGCTGGGAAAGCCTTGCAACCCTGGCAGAAGGCAAGGAGGAGCAAGTCACGTCTTACGTGGATGGCAGCAGGCAAAAAGACAGAGAGCTTGTGCTTTATTTTAATTTTTGTTGTGCATATATGTGTATGTATGTATTTATTTTTTTTTATTTTAAGTTCTGGGATACATGTGCAGAACATGGAGTTTCGTTACATAGGTATACATGTCTCATGATGTTTTGCTTCACCTATCAACCTGTCATCTAGGTTTTTAAGCCCTGCATGCATTAGGTATTTATTCTAATGCTCTCCCTCCCCTTTCCCCCAACCACGACAGGCCCTGGTGTGTGATGTTCCCCTCCCTGTGTCCATGAGGAACTCCTCTTTTTAAAACCATCAGATAGTGTAAGACTTATTCACTATCACGATAACAGCCTGGGAAAGATTTGCCCCCATGATTCAATTACCTCCCACCAGGTCTCTCCCACAAAATATGGGAATTCAAGATGAGATTTCGGTGGGGACACAGCCAAACCATATCAAGTCCCTAGAGTGAGTAGGTGGGTGGAGCTTATAATTACTGGATTGGAAGCTCATCAATATCTTTTAAGATTTATATGCCATAATTTGTCCAGCATCTGAGTACTTTGTAGCATGAAATGCTTCATGTTACAATGAAGTATTAGTCTCACATATTATAGGCGCTGTCTTCATTTTCTGTTGCTGCATAATGAATTACCACAAATTCTGCTGCTTAAAATAATACGAATCTATTATCTCACAGTTTTAGTTGCCTGGGCACAACAATTTAGGTGTTGTCTGAGGTAACTTAGGGTTTCTGAGTCATATTCCTCATTTTCTTCTGTCTTTCTTCCACTGCCTAATTATGAAGCCACTCCTAGTCTCAATTATAAAATCTGTCTTTGTTTTCTGTTGCTGTACTGCCAATTACTACAAATTTAGCAGGTTCCAACTAAGCCATTTATAAATTCATAGTTTTGTAGGATAGAAATCTGGTGTGGTGAGGCCAGTTGCAGTGGCTCACACCTGTAATCCTAGCAATTTGGGAGGCCAAGGCGGGTGGATCTCCTGAGGTCAGGAGTTCAAGACCAGCCTGGCCAAAGTGGTGAAACCCTATCTCTACTAAAAATACAAAAATCAGCTGGGCGTGGTGGCGGGTGCCTGTAATCCCAGGTACTTGGGAGGCTGAGGTAGGAGAATTGCATGAACCCAGGAGGCGGAGGTTGCAGTGAGCTGAGATCGTGCCATTGCACTCCAGCCTGGGCAACAAGAGTGAAACTCTGTCTCAAAAAAAAAAAAAAAGAAAGAAAGAAAAAAAAAAGAAATCTGGTGTCGCTTGCTTGGGTTCTCTGCTCATCATCTCACAAATCTGAAATCAAACTGCTGTGGGCTGTTTTCATCTGGAGGACTGAGCAAGGAAGAATCTGCTTCCAGCTTATCAGCACAATTGAGAGAATCCAATTCCTTGTGGTTGTAGGACTGGGATCCTGTTTGCTCACTGGCTGTCCACTGAGGCCACTGTCACATCCTAGAGGATACTGTATTCCTTCAAAACTGCAATAGCATGTCAAATTCTTCTTGTGTTTTGAATCTCTGACTTCCTTTTTTGACATCAGCTGGAGAAAATTTTCTGCTTTGTAAGGACTCATATGATTAGAAAAATCTCCCCATGTTAGGGTCCATCCAGATAATCTCCTTATCAATGAATCAGGACCTTAATTACATCTGCAAAATCTCTCCACAGCAGTATCTATATCAGTGTTTGAAAAACTGGGAGTAGGTGTGTATACAATAGGGTAAAAAATATTGGCCATGGGCAGTGGGAGGAGGTATCTTATAATTCTGTCTACTATAAACAAGTTGTTTCCTAAAATTTTCTCTTGAGTTGATTTAATACTATATTATTTTATTTTGAGGGGGGCAAAAGATATATAAAGTATTACAAATATTAATTTACTCAATGTAAATTTGGAGTGCCATTAATTGTTCCTCATGGCCTAAAAGGCTTAAAGCCCTGATAATAATCTCATTATAATAAACAACTTTGCAATACACTGAATTGGTCCACTGACCTTTGTTTCAATTCATATGTCTTCAAAAATTCATCCCTCAATGTAAACAATCATAATAGTCTCGACAGTCCAGAAAAATGGTGTAAATGGTGTACAAACTTCAAGAAGAGCTGTGTGTGTCTTTGTGTGTGTTTGTGTGTGATCACAAAACCTAGATATATGTTAACATGAAATATTATGGAAGAAAATTAATTTAAGGAAGTGAGGTGGAAATGCAAACACAGAAACCAAAAGATGGAACTGTCCCCACAAATTTTAGAAATAGATTGTGTTCTAAACATCAAATAAAATCAAGCCATAGAAAGGAAGAAAATCTTAAATACACAAGTAAAATTTGCTGTTTTTCTCTCAGTCTCTATTTATTTTGTTTTCCACATGCTTTAAGTTGATCATTGTTTCCTTTACTCAGCAATGCAGAAGAGATGAGTGATAGGAAGAAATTACCATGGCAAATCATGAATAGACTGATAACAGCTAGTGACTACTTTGCAAGTAGTTATTTGAAACTACTTGCAAAGTAGACCGGGTAAAAATTTATATAACAAAATGCAAAAATTGAGTAATTAACCGCTGAGTTATAAGAATTTGACTTAACCCTGATAATTCCTGTTGAACAAGGACATTGCGTGTTCTTCTATTAATTCCTTAATCATGACTTGTAGGTTGAAAATGAGAAATGCTTCTTCTTGATAGATAAAGCACAGATCTTATAGCAACAAGAGGAAAGAACTATGGGCCAAATTTTCTTAGCTATGCTTGAAGTAAACTTTGACAACTAATCACTTTTTATTTTATTTAAGAATTCCCAACCAGGAGTAAAAGTCCAAACCTGACTTATAAGGCATATAATTTAAAAAATAATACTGTGAAATAACTTAATACAAATAACAAAATGTTGAAGGTAGGCATGTTAAATCCACACTATCAGATTGGGTTTTAAAGAGAAGGAGAGGAGACATCAAGCATTTAGAAATCAATAGGAAAAAGATTGTTCTATTTTTATACCATAATGCAAAGGAGGCAGAGTGATTTTAAGAACACTGAAGTTAAAAGCAATTAACTTGGTAAAATAAAATATAGGTAGGTAGATAATCAGATATATGTAAAAACAAACTTCAAAAATTATTTTAACATCATAATTTTAGATAAATTGAATCAGTGGCTTATTCTTGAAGGTATAGTAGCAAATGAGATGACTGTTAAGTAACTATCAAACAACTTTTTGTTTGACATAGTTGAAGTCAGTACCATCTGTGTGCAAGAGACACCGTTCCTATCACACAGATAGCATGGGAAACACCTGCCTGCATGATTCAATTACCTCACACCAGGTCCCTCCCACAACAAGTAGAAATTCAAGATGAGATTTGGGTGGGTGTGAGAAATCTACTCATCCATCCAAACCCAAAGAATGGACTTAGAGGCATGAAGAACAGCGAAAGTGAGACTTAATAATGGTCTTGCAAGATTGGGTGTCTGGTAGGTAGGTACATCTGGGGCAGTCACAACAAGTAATTTATCTTCCAGTACGCAAGTCCCTCCCCAAGTTCCTCATTGGTTGAGTGCTATGGGGTTACAATTTTCCTGGATGTCACCTAAGTTTCATTATCCCCCTTATAAGGTTATATCCCGGTCCTCTTTCTTGCTTGTTTCAATTTCCCAATAATGAAACTTTTTTCCCTTTTATGGGCTAACCCCTCCTTTTCATTGTTTGCTTACTGTGACCTTCTAGGTGCATGAGCAGTGCGGTTTGTTAAATTTGCAGGCTGGCTTCCAGTACTTTTGATTTATCATGCCTTGAAAATGGACCATTTAAAATGGTTTCTCATAAATTCCCTCCTCTTTTCTATTTACTTCCTTCGGTCTTCTTTTTATTTAAGCCCTTTTGGTCTTTGAATCACTGGGGACACAGCCAAACCATATCAGCATTTAAACACTGTTTCCTTATTATGTAATCTGGATAATAAAACTCGCTCTTTCTATATTATGCCACATAAAATGGAAGTATAGATGTGACACTGTCATTAAATCTGTGAATTATATGTCATTATGTTTCTAAAACACATAAATCGTAGTGAAGTTATTCCATCTCAGAGACGGCCCATTTAACTATAATAAACTTCTAGGTATTCATTATATAGTGTATTTTTTATCATCAAATCACTGATCAGATATTTTCCTTAATGATTTATTCTTCCATTTGACAAATAGATTTTGGGGCAAGTTCTTTGTTAGGTGTTGGCGTGATAGCAGTGAAGAAAATTCAGCACTCGGGGACCCTGCTGTCTAATTGGGAAGAGCACATCGGGGGACACACAGACATGGGAACGTGCAGGGTTTTTAGAACTGAGAGACCCAATTGAGGCTCTCAGCAAAGTCATTTTTCAGGAAGTGGCATTTAAGCTGAGACCTAAATGATGATTTGTAGTTTGCCAGGAAAGAAATCCAGAGAGGGGGAGGGGAGACCACATAAGCAAAGACCTTGTGTCAGGAAAGAACTTTATACCAGAGACGAATGGAGGATGAGAGTGGAAGTCAGAAAGGCAGGGGCTAGGCCCGGTGCGGTGGCTCACGCCTGTAATCCTAGCACTTTGGGAGGCCGAGGCGGGCAGATCACAAGGTCATGAGATCGAGACCATCCTGGCTAACGTGGTGAAACCCCGTCTCTACTAAAAATACAAAAAAATTAGCCGGGCGTAGTGGTGGGCGCCTGTAGTCCCAGCTACTCGGGAGACTGAGGGAGGAGAATGGCGTGAACCCGGGAGGCGGAGCTTGCAGTGAGCCGAGATGGCGCCACTGCACTCCAGCTTGGGTGACAGAGCGAGACTCCATCTCACAAAAAAAAAAAAAAAAAAAAAAAAAGGCGGGGGCTAAGTCACTGAGGCCTGAGGCTGCACAGGGAGCTGGATGGTGTCTTTGGAGGAAACGAAGACAAAGAGGTTCAAAGCTGCTTAAAGGTCTTGCAGGAAAGTGATAAAGTCAGATTTGCATCTTTTGAAAGGTCATGTTAGCATCTTTTAAAAGGTCATTTATAGGAGTCTGCCCCAGTACTGCACTGCATATGCCACATTGATTAATGGCAAACACCACTTGGGCCCTATTTCTTGCACATCGAACTTGTAATACAGCATGCTCTGTCATGATGGGGACAGTACGAGATAGTTCATTATGGGAAGACATGAGAACCTCCTTTATCTTGAACATGAGATGGAGATGTGGAGATGTCAGGAAAATTAACAGAAAGCAAGCGACTTCTTTACTGAGATCTGGAGAATGAAAAGAATCAGGTAGTAAGGAAATGATAGGTGGGTGTAAAGGGAATGTGGCAGGTGTCTGAGGTGGTGTGGGCAGAGCCCATGAAGCTAGAAAAATCATTCTTGTTCAGAGCGAAAATTGATTCAGTGTTTCTGAATAGTTGAATATTCTGCTCCATGAACTGCTTCCGAGTCTGGAAGGGGCATGGAATATGAGATGACATTGAAGATCAACTCGGGCATAAAGAATTTGGGATTTAATCCACAGGCAAGGAGGAGCTCTTACAGTATCTGAGGGGCACATTTAAGAGCAAGACAGATTATTTTTCAGAGAATCTGCTGTACATTTTGGAAGGATACCCCTGACTGCAGTGTGATTCCAACATGAAGGGACTTGAGGCAGGTGGCGTACATAGGATGCAGAAACTTATGCCAAGGATGATGGCACCCTAAGCAAGATGCCAGCCATCCAGACAGAGAAAAGTGGGCACACTCAAAATGTATTAAGAATGTGGCATCCACAGGGCTTAGAGTGCCACTGAGCGTCAACAGTCTGGAATATGTGTTTTAGCAACTGATAGGATGTTGCTGTCAAGATAGGGGGCGCTAGAGAATAAGACAGCTTTGGACGAGAACAAAGGAGGTAATACTGGTTTCAAATAGACTGAGTATTGCACGCCTGTAATCCGGGCACTTTGGGAGGCCGAGGGTGGGGGTAGATCACCTGACGTCAGGAGTTCGAGACCAGCCTGGCCAATATGGTGAAACCCCGTCTCTACTAAAAATACAAAAATTAGCCAAGCACGGAGGCAGCTCACCTGTAATCCCAGCTACTCTGAGGCTGAGGCAGGAGAATCGCTAGAACCCAGGAGACAGAAGTTGCAAAGGTTGCAGTGAGCCAAGATTGTGTCACTGCACTCCAGCCTGGGTGATTCCGTCTCAAACAAACAAACAAATAGACTGAGTATTAATGGTCCGTGGCTCATGCAAGTGGAGGTGTCTGGTTAGCAGTTTGATATGAAAGACTGAGCTCCAGAGAGATCTCATAACTTGGGAATATGTTTTACTCCATACATATTCAGGTAAGACTAAAGATCCTGGGATTTTGGAGTCATGGGGGAAAGTGATATTATTCCTGAGCACTTGCTAGGAACTATCCCCAGGTTGCCTCAGGACCAGCCCCTCTCGCTACAGTAACCCCATAAAGCAGTGCCTACACTTTACATTTTACGGGTTCGAAACCAGCTCAGTGGGACTTAGTTAACCGCCCACAGTCAAGTGTCAGCATCAAAACTGGAGTCTCACCCAAAGCCAGCTGACCCCAAAGCTCACACTCCTGTAAGATGTAATTGCTCAAGAGATCTTAGACCTCACCTGATCCAATCTCTTTTCTTTCCCCGCTGAGACGGAGTCTTGCTCTGTCACCCAGGCTGGAGTGCAGTGGCGTGATCTTGGCTCACTGCAACCTCCACCTCCCGGGTTCAAGCGATTCTCCTGCCTTGGCCTCCCGAGTAGCTGGGGCTACAGGTGTGTGCCACCACACCTGGCTAATTTTTTTTTTTTTGTATTTTTAGTACAGACGGGGTTTCACCGTGTTAGCCAGGATGGTCTCAGTCTCCCGACCTTGTGATCTGTCCGCCTCGGCCTCCCAAAGCGTTGGGATTACTGGTGTGAGCCACCGTGCCCGGCCTCCTCGTTTTCTTTAACAGATGTTTTTGGTTAAAACTCCTGAGTTGATTTGTTTTCATTACTCAAAGCATAATACAGCAACGATAATTAAGAACAAAGGCTCCAGAGCCTTACAAAGCTCCCTGCTCACTGAACGTGGGCTCTGGGTGAAACCCCTTAACCTCATTGTGCCTGAGTTTCCTCATCTGGAAAATTATGAGTTCTCACTTCAGAGAGATGCACTGAGTGTGCATGCACAATAAGTGCTGTTTTATTTTTATTAATGTACATATTTGTAGACCACAAATGCATTTTTATAAAAGTTTCAAACAATGTCTAAGTTTAGCTAATAAATTTCTCTAAACACACCTGTGTTGTCTGGCTGCATTCTAGCATCAATGGAATATTACTTTATGCATTATTATCTGACTTCCTTTCTTCTCTCATGTCATTTCTGTCTTGGTGATCTCTCCGTGTCACGCCGTAGCTAGGTTTCTCTCCTACTTTCTCACAGCTGCACCCTGCTAGATAGCAAGGATTCAGAATGATTTTTCTATCCCTCACTGATAACATTCTAGAGAGTTGTCAGGTTTTTAGAAATTATTATTACAAACAGTGCCGCAGTAAACATTCTACTACATATTAGGGGGATGTTTTGTCCTTATTTGAGAATTTCTGTAAGAAAAATGCCTATGTTCTAACACCGGATGTAAAACATATACATAGATTACGCTAGAGCAAGAGGTTCATATACTGAGTGTTTCTAAAATATTTTTTGATTTAATAGTTTATTACTTTCATTGTATAACTGTACATGCTCCAAGTACATTCTACAGGAAAATCTCAAACACTTCAGGAAAGCAGTAAACATTACCATAATGTGATAAAATTGGTATTTTATTAATTTTAAATTATATTTCTAACACATAAGCCATATTACCCTTGACAAGGTACTCTCGTTAGGAGTCAGACAAATTTATGAATGTGTGCAATCTCTATTCTATTTCTGTCTAGGACTATATTTCTTTAAAAACTAGTAGCTCACATTCTTAGGAAACTAAGATAGAGAAAAGAATAGAGGTTTTCAAGTTGGAAGATCTTAATCAGTGTGGTTTTTAAAGTTTCACCTTATTAAGTTGAATGAACAATGGGAGATCACAGTATCAATTATTCAAAAGTGATTAATGCAGGTTAAATGCCAACAGGCTGGAAGAGCACGTAAATGCATCGCTAACCTCTTAGCAACTATAAAGATTTGTTTGTTTACATATTTCACCATATGGATATCATTGAACTCTTCAGCCTTATAATGGATATTTTGTGAATAAAATATTATTTTGCAAGAAATAAAAAATAGTGTTTGTCTTTTAGCATTGCACGGTTGAGGCTACATTTACTCAATAGTTCAAAACAGGTAATTTAGTGCTAGGAATATCATCTCCCCTGAGCATAGCTGCAATATGCTCTATACACAGGGAACTATCTGTTTTAAGATTTGGTATAATGGGGCCCGGCTCAGTGGCTCACGCCTGTGATCCCAGCACTTTGGGAGGCTGAGGTGGGCGGATCACCTGAGGTCAGGATTTTGAGACCATCCTGGCCAACATTGTAACACCCCATCTCTACTAAAAATACAAAAAATTAGCCGGGCATAGTGGGGCACGCCTGTAGTCTCAGCTACTTGGGAGACCAAAGCAGGTGAATCGCTTGAACCTGGGAGGCGGAAGTTGCAGTGAGCCGAGAATGTGCCACTGCACTCCAGCCTGGGCAACACAGTGAGACTCTGTCTCAATAAACAAACAAACAAACAAACAAAGAATAAATTAAAAAGATTTCATATAATGGGGCAGCTGCTTTTAACTGGAATGCAATAAATCCTCACATACTTTCGAAAGACTGACTTTGGTGAGATAGCATGCTAGGCATAGAGAGACAGGGACCTCACTTTCAGGACTGTCACAACTCAGTGCCTGACACAGGCATGTAGGCAAACCTCATGCTGGGAAGTTCAGAAAAGGGAGGAAAGAACGTGTGGCGAAGGAGGCCAGGAAACACTCCATCTTACAGCTCTGTAAATCAGAGGTCTGCCACAGTCTTTCTGGGCTAACGTCTGTGCGTCAGTCGGACTATCATAGACTCAACATTCTTTAAAGACCTGAAATTGCAAATTATTTTATTTCCTGGAGCAAAACCAGGTGCCCATCACCCATCCATCACCCAACACACATACACTTCTTTTGCAAATTGCTACAGTTACAACAAAGTTGTGGTCAATTTGCAGTAACAATTAAAGATGTCCATAGGTGTGAAGAGCTGAGGTAAGGAAAGTCACATTCTCCTTATATGAGCCTGACTCACAAAGGACTTACTGTGAAGGAAGGTGAGAGAGTCCTGGAGAGGCTACATGAGATTGCTGAGCCCTTTCAGAACCCACTTCTCAGGCATTGCTGGTTGCATGAGGTTACAGTTTATTGGACCTGCCCCATTACCTGGTGGAGCGACCTGTGCATCTCTTCGAATCTCCCAGAAAGAGATTTGGGCTCATGGGGCCTGAGGGCCTGAGAGGCTGCTCCATAAGAGCTCAGTCTTCGCAACTCACTTCAGGCGCTACTATGGACACTATGGAGCACTTCTTTTTTTGTTGCTGTTGAGTTTTGCTCTGTCACCCAGGCTGCAGTGCAGTGGTGCAACCTCAGCTCACTGCAACCTCCACCTCCTGGGTTCAAGCGATTCTCGTGCCTCAGCCTCCTGAGTAGCTGGGATTACAGGCATATGCCACCACACCCAGCTAATTTTCATTTGTTTTTTTTTTTATTTGTTTGTTTTTTTGAGACGGAGTCTTGCTCTGTCGCCCAGGCTGGAGTGCAGTGGCGTGATCTCGGGTCTCTGCAAGCTCTGCCTCTCCGGTTCACACCATTCTCCTGCCTCAGCCTCCCGAGTAGCTGGGACTACAGATGCCTGTCACCAAGCCCGGCTAATTCTTTTTTGTATTTTTAGTAGAGACGGGGTTTCACCATGTTAGCCAGGATGGTCTCAATCTCCTGACCTCACGATCCACCTGCCTCGGCCTCCCATAGTGCTGGGATTACAGGCGTGAGCCATCGCGCCTGGCCAATTTTCATACTTTTAGCAGAGATGGGGTTTCACTGTGTTGGCCAGGCTGGTCTTGAACTCCTGACCTCAGGTGATCTGCCCACCTCGGCCTCCCAAAGTGCTGCAATTACAGGCATGAGCCACCATGCCCAGGCACTATGGAGCACTTCTAAGGACTTTTGGGCTTTGGAGAATACCAACCTAGCAGAAATGGTTCCTTTTGGAAAGGACATTGGATGACATCAAATGCTCAGCATAAAGTATATGCTTTGGGTACCTGTCACTCTTCTAGGTGACCCTCATGAAAATTGTATGAGGAAGTTATTGTGGAGAAGCGATGAGGCAGGGTCATAGAGAGAACAGGGACTAAGAGGGTGCAAGAAGTTGGGGAAGTTGCAGAGCTAGGTGACAGAGGAGCAGAGCAGAAGAAAAAGCCTCGGTGTTGGGAGAAAACATGAAGAAAAAATAAGTTTTGTGCTTGGTCCTATGATATGAACTGCCTGATGCTGGTGGCATGAGGGAAGGTTGCTTTAGCTATAAAGGTACAACATCCATCAATATTCCACAGTACTCCACATTGCCTTTCTCCAAGCACTCTCCAGAGAAACAGACACCACTCATCAGTGGGAGAAAACTGAACCATTTTGTAGAAGAATCTCCAATTATAAAGAGTAAATGAATGGATCCTTTTTATACCTCAGACTCCTGACCACATTGCATCTCGACAATGATGCACCTTGTCATCATTGTCATGTGACAGTTTTTGAATCTGGTGTTTTTCTTTCTGCAATAGTAAGGCCAATCCTGCAGGGACCGAAGTCTGTGCAATCACTGTGAAACACAGCTGGAAATAAGGCAGGAAGAACTTACAGAGCTCAAACGTGCCCATCAGAATATTTTGAAACATAAGTTACAGTATAGGAATTCTCCCCTAAAGTCTCCAAACTGGAGTGAGAACAGCTGAATTACTTTCATAATACAAAAACATTCACAGAATCTCTATGAAATTATGAAAATTAAATTCTAAGGTGCATTTTCATAAATGAGGTGGTTGCTGTGTTTATTTTCTGTTGCTGCAAATTTTGCCACAGACTCACTGGCTTAAAATGATGTGCATTTATTATGTCATATGTCTCCCGATCCGTGGGAGTCTGCCTGGGGTCTCGTGAGGTTGGATTCAAGATGTTGCCTGGATACATTCTCATCTTGGAGGCTCGGCCAGGGAAAGAGCTGCTTCCAAGACCCCTCAGGTTATCAGCAGAATTTGTTTCCTTGTGATTGTATAACTCAGTACGCACCATCTTCCTAGCTGCCAGCTGCGGACCCCTCTCAGCTTCCAGAGATTCCTCTCAAGGCCTCCCCACGCGGCCTGTCATCTCAGCAGCAGAGAAACTCTCGCATCTTCAACTCTCTCAGGCTTCTCACCTCTCTGACTTCTTCAAAGCTCTGATTAAGTCAGGTGCACCTCTGATTAAGTCAATGCATTCAAATAATATCCCTATCTTAGGGACAATTGTGCCATACAAATGACCTAATTACAGGAGTCAAACACATTATATTCATGGTTCCCGGGGTTAGGCAGTGTTTGTATGCCAGGTGGATGGGATATCGCCTTGGGAGCGCCATCTTTAGAATCCTGCCTACCACAAATCCCAATTCTATAACACAAAAGGCCTGAGGGCTTCAGCACTATCACAGCAGGAGGTATAAGTTTCCCAGATACCCAAAGGTATCCGCTGTCTGTCTCCACCTAACATCCCATGTTCATACCAGGTGGTGAAAAATCCACTCGTCATCCATACCATTCAGAAGCATACAGCCTGGATTTTGTCATTCTAGTTCTTGTCACTGTGTGTTTGAGCACATACTAGCTAGAGAAGCTCTTTCATCATCAGCTCTACACAGTGCAATCCTCAAAATGCCCACCGTTATCCAGAGGTTACCAATCTCTCTCTTTTAATTACACTTAAACTAGCAGAAATCTTCTTCATATCATTAACCCAAATGGAGAAAAGAAAGCTAGAAAATTATACATCTATTTTTCCACCAAAAGAAAAGAAAAAGAACATTTTCCTCCCACATTTATTGTGCCTTCAAGTGGTTATAGCAACCTGTTAAGATCAGCCAGTGTCGTTAAACTGCTTCCCAGCGAATACAGCCAGTGAAGCTGAAAGAGATAATAAAGTTTCTTAGGAGACCGACTACTACACTGGCTTGACACTTGCTCCATACAGAAGAAAAAATAAATCAGTAGTTACACCTCCAGCAGCTACTGACTAGACATCCTTGCGTTAAGGGTGGAAATTCAATATACAAAGAAGCAAAGTGTTGACAATAAAAAGAAAGTAAAAACTGAAAGAAAATTGTAATTGGATTGAATGTGGCTAAAATCAAGATATGAAAAAGCAGAAAACAAAGCCAATTCAAACTCTGAAGAAAGAATAAATGAGAAAATAAATGAAAAAAATTAATTGGCTCAGCAAGTCATGACTAGAAAAAATTAACATTATTAAATTATTCTACCTTCGGGCATGGAATAAAATGAAGATGTAAGTATTCATGTTAATTTCAGTCTATTTCTGAATGGTAAATTGCTTTCTCCTTCTTCCTCTTTGTATGTTTAGGTCTGGGAAATTTGTTTGGAATTAGCAACCTGGGATGAGGTTTATTAAGACAGAATGACTATGAGCTTGCCTGCAAAGTGGCCGCTCCTTTCTTCCCTTCTTTTCCATCAGGTCATTCGCCCACTGAGAGGTGGTATCTATTTCTGTACCCCCATGAATCTGCATTTGCAGATTCCAAGATTAGGACATAAGAAGCTTTTTAGCTTTTGCCTGGGTCTCGTGGAATGCAGGGGAATCTGGGGAAAGCCAAGCTCTCTACAAAAACTCTGACTAGCCCAAGACTGTCATACTGTGAGGAACCTCAAGCTTGTCACATGGAGAGGCTGTGTGGAGACCAAGTTACCTGACCAGCTCCTAGCTCTTCAATCCATAGCATTCCAGGTGCCAGGTATAGAGGTGCAGAAGCTTTCTGACAGCTTCAGCCTTGTCTGCCATCTGAGGTGCCACAAGTGAGAACTAATCTGGAGTAATCAACATCACCATCCCCTGCCATGAAATCAATGCAGTGTGTTCATTCACTAAATTAGGAGGCAGCTTGTTCTATGCAGTGGTACAGAACAGGAACAATGATGCTTAGGGCTGGGGTATGGGTTGTGAGGGAAGAAATTCCATGTCAGCAAAACTTCAGAGCATACTACATCTTCTGTTTGTTTGTTTGTTTGTTTGTTTTTGAGACAGAGTCTTGCTCTGTCACCCAGGCTGGAGTGCAGTGGCACAATCCTGACTCACTGCAAGCTCTGCCTCCTGGGTTCATGCCATTCTCCTGCCTCCTGAGTAGCTGGGACTACAGGTGCCAGCCACCACGCCCAGCTAATTTTTTGTATTTTTAGTAGAGACGGGGTTTCACCATGTTAGCCAGGATGGTCTCGATCTCCTGACCTCGTGATCCGCCCACCTCGGCCTCCCAAAGTGCTGGGATTACAGGCATGAGCCACTGTGCCTGGCGAGCATATGAAATCTTAAAGGTCACGCAGCTGAATTTCTGAGCTTACGAAAAGGAAACCAGGTACTCAAAGAAGCTGTGACCTGCCAAAAGTCACCCAGCAAATTAATAGTGGAACCAAAGTAAAAATCAAATTTTCAGCATGTAATGTCCTTACACCACGTAAAAAAGGTTTGGGTTCCTTAGTTTGAGAAACGTCAATACCCCTTCATAAATCAAGGGTATAAACTTTGCAGAAAAATTAAACTTCTTACCACCTGGCATCCAAACTGGAGTGAGAACAGCTTTGCCACATCTACATTCCCACTCCTACTCAGAAGACAGACTCCAAGAAGCATAAAACTTCTGGAGTCCTGGGGTAACCTGAGCAAAACCCGTGATAGGTTTCCAGGAAGCAAGGGCGTGAGCAGGGGTGGAGACTGAAGCCCCATCCCTGCAAGGGTCCACTCTGAACCTCAAGGCCCATAATCCTCCCCCATATTTCTCTGCTCTGCCATTTTTGGGTGCTCTGTCAAGTCCCAAACCCCTCAGTAAGTCTGTCTTTTCTTCTACTCTAAGCACCTCTATTCTTCTAGCTCACCCTTTCACTGTGGTCCTGCCTTCCAGCTCTTTCCTTCTGTGCCCTCTGGGAACTCATTACATTTTCAAAAAGGACTATCTCAACATCATCACAGAATGCCCTTGTATAGCATAGCGTTTGAGAGTATGGCTTGGAAGCAACAGTCTGGATTTCTAATGCAGACTCCACCATTTACCAGTCACAAACCTTAACAAGTCACTTAATGTCTCTGAACTTCAGTATCTTCCACTGTAAAATGAAGGTATCCATTGTGAAGATTAAATAAGATGATGCCCATAAAATGCACAGGCTAATGCCTGGCACACACAAAAAATAATAAAACAACAAAAAAAGGGTTGACTATACATCCTCAACTCCACTGAAGCCTAGACCACCATTTTCAATGCCCTTGTAGAACTCATTACTTCCATAGTTTGTCTACCATAGCATCAGGAAACATTTCTGGTAAATTTCCATCAATTCCTGGTCACTGGTGTTCATAAAAAGCAGCAAGTAGGCTAGGCGCCGTGGCTCAAGCCTGCAATCCCAGCACTTTGGGAGGCCGAGGCGGGCGGATCATGAGGTCAGGAGATTGAGACCATCCTGGCTAACACGGTGAAACCCCGTCTCTACTAAAAATACAAAAAAAAAAATTAGCCAGGCTTGGTGGCGGGCGCCTGTAGTCCCAGCTACTCAGGAGGCTGATGCAGGAGAATGGCGTGAACCTGGGAGGCGGAGCTTGCAGTGAGCCGAGATCGGGCCACTGCACTCCAGCCTGGGCGATGCAGCAAGACTCAGTCTCAAAAAAAAAAAAAAAAAAAAAAGCAAGCAAGCAAACAAAATGACAATCTCACTTATCCTTTTAGACAAATATCAGCTGATTACAGCAACCTCTACCATTTCTAGCAAGTGTCATCTTCCAAATGGGTCATTTTCTTACATCCATCACCATCTTCTCAATTCCTCAATCTTCAATTTCCTTGTAGATGACACTTAAGTGCTAGGAACTTGCAATTCCTTCATGTGTAAATGATCTTCACTGTTGCTCCTTTTCAGCACCCATGCCATGGACGTACTTGGAACTTCTCATGACCTAGGATGGTACCATCTTTTTTTTTTTGAGACGGAGTCTCACTCTGTCACCCAGGCTGGAGTGCAGTGGCGCAATCTAGGCTCACTGCAAGCTCCGCCTCCCGGGTTCTCGCCATTCTCCTGCCTCAGCCTCCTGAGTAGCTGGGACTACAGACGCCCACCACCACGCCCGGCTAATTTTTTTTTTTGTATTTTTAGTAGAGACGGGGTTTCACCGCGTTATCCAGGATGGTCTCGATCTCTTGACCTCGTGATCAGCCTGCCTTGACCTCACAAAGTGCTGGAATTACTGGCGTGAGCCACCGTGCCCAGCCAGGATGGTACTATCTTTAAGGATTTTTTTTTTTTTTTTAGACGGAGTCTAGCTCTGTTGCCAGGCTGGAGTGCAGTGGTGTGATCTCGGCTCACTGCAACCTCCGCCTACTGGGTTCACGCCATTCTCCTGCCTCAGCCTACCAAGTAGCTGGGACTACAGACGCCCGCCACCACGCCCGGCTAATTTTTTGTATTTTTAGTAGAGACGGGGTTTCACTGTGTTAGCCAGGATGGTCTCGATCTCCTGACCTTGTGATCCGCCCACCTCGGCCTCCCAAAGTGCTGGGATTACAGGCTTGAGCCACTGCACCTGGCCGCATACTTTTTAAAATAATAAATTATCCAATACTATCTAACTATGGAGACTATCATTGGGTTCATTCATAAGATATAGTGACCTTAACCCCATTCATTCAAACCATATCAGATTCTCTTTTTTTAGTGCATTGAAACATTATTCTTTGCCAACCTTCTGTATTGATAAACATCAGGATGGCACCAAAAATCTAAAATATGCAATTCTATAAAATGTGGCAGTTGTAAATGTGAATTTGGTGGGAACTTAATACCTGAACCATTATTTCCTCAGTTGGCAAAGTGAAGTTGTTTCCTCTTCTTTATGAGATTGCAGCAGAAACATGCAATTTAAAAAGCAAGAGAGAATTAGGGATCACTCAGGCCCAACTCGATTCCACCATAACCCTCATTTTTCAACCAAAGTAAAAGAATCTCATGCATGTTGCGTGACTAGCTGTTGGAGATGTTCTTGTTAGGACCCCTTCATGAGTAGTACCATGTCTTCTGGCTCTCGGCCTGCTGCTCTGTCCACATGACATAGAAGAGTCACAACAAGGTGACAGACAGTCACAAGTGCTGCAAAATCATTGAACAAATGAACAACTGTGGGTTCCTTTTCAGTTACTAGCAAAACATAGGTGCAAAACTAAAATTGTTATATTTATATTTATACCATTAATAAATGTTATAAGGTTATAAACATCATACAATGTATGAGGGATTCCTGTCATCTTTCTTATAAACCCACTGTATAGATGCTTTCCCGCACATGCTGTTCTATCAGAGACCCTTTTCCTGTTTCTGCCTGCCTTCTTGATCTCATCCAAAAGGTCAGAAGAGTCTGGCTCTCACCTGCAGGTTCAGGGAAGCCCCAGTAGCACACTCATGGCTTTCTACTCTCTCCTATTCTCCACTGCAACTTAAAGATCCTTCACATCTTACCTCAAGACAACAACTCCATGGTCACGGCAAAGCATTAAGTATAACTACTATATATTTTTTACAAATATACTTTAAATTATCTCATATCAATGAAAAGAAACACATATATGGAGTAAAAAAAAAAAAAGTCATTCACTTCACACCACTGGCTCTCTCACTTGGGGATCAGGGAACACTAATTTCTTGAAGATCCTTCCAGAAATAATCCTGTACCTTTATATGCATGTATATGTATAAATCTTATTTGGAAATTTCAACTGAGAACATATTTTGGGGTTCCCACGACTACATCATGGTCATGATTTGCTCAGTGATTCACCGGAAGGACTCATGTAAGTCAAAAAGTTATGCTTACAGCTAAGATATATTACTGCAAAGGATACTGTGCAGGAACTGTGAGACACATATTTTGCATGCATAAGCAAAGACTAGAGAGGTCAGGCCCAGGTTTCCACGTTCCTTCTCTCGCGAGAATTGTGCAGACACGCCCTTTCTGGCTGCAAACTGTGGAGATGTGTGGCAGGCATCTCCACCTCAGAAAGTCCGCTCATTAGTGACCAGCCTGCCCAACATGGTGAAATCCCGTCTCTTCTAAACATACAAAAAATTAGCCGGGCGTGATGACGGGCACCTGTAATCCCAGCTACTAGGGAGGCTGAGGCAGGAGAATTGCTTGAATCCGGGAGGCTGAGCTTGCAGTGAGCCGAGATTGCGCCATTGCACTCCAGCCTGGGCGACCAGAGCGAAACTCTGTCTCAAACAAACAACAAAAAAAGTCCACTCAAATCTCAGAATCCAGAGTTCTTAAAGGCTGCTGATCACACAGCTACCCAACCAGCCAAGTTGCAGATGCCAAACAGGCACCAGGTACACATCATTAATTTTCATGTTTAAACAATGCTGTCAGCCCAGTACATCCTGACCCACTGCCTGGGCCATAGAGAATACAATCTTAATCACTGACCAAGCGAACATTCCTGTCGTTAGTTCTCTTCCTGTGGCTCCAAGCTTTCCCAGAGATTAAAAAGAGCTGAGTAAAACAAACCTACTGTAGTCACTTTTTATGCACGGAGCACAATATGCACACTATTCTGTATTTTGCCTTTTTAAAAAGCAATATATATTAACGTTATCAGTAAATATGACCTTATTTTTTCATGGCTGCTTGTTATTCTGGGGCATGGAGGCACTATTATTTGCTTAGTCAGCCACCTATTGCTGGAGAACTGGACCTGTACTATTTCACTGTTATAAAAATTGATACAATTAACATCTCCATTTAGCGGGGGATATGAGTATTTCTCATAAGAATCACCATTTAGAAAAGAATGAATATGGCCGGTCTTGGTGGCTCATGCCTGTAATCCTAGCACTTTGGGAGGCCAAAGCAGGCGGATCACAAGGTCAGGAGTTCAAGACCAGCCTGGCCAATATGGTGAAACTAAAAAAAAAAAATAAAAAAAAAAAATAGCCGGGCATGGTGGCAGGCGCCTGTAGTCCCAGCTACTCAGGAGGCTGAAGCAAGAGAATCGCTTGAACCAGGGAAGTGGAGGTTGCAGTGAGCCAAGATTGCACCACTGTACTCCAGCCTGGGTGACAAGCAAGACTCCATCTCAAAAAAAAAAAAAAAAAAAAAGAAGAAAAGAAAAGAATGAATATGAAAGTGGACTTATAGTAACCCACCAGCCTCCTTGTGGATTGCCTTCTTCCACTCAGAAAAGTTGCCATTTATTTATTTGTATGACATTGCCAATTATCCCTCTTGTGTTATTTTTAAAATTTTCCCACCAGCCGTCTAAATGACTGTCACCTACTCCCCACACCCTAAGGCAGCAATTTCTGATTTGGAACCATGGGAATTTCACTTTCACAATTTCATCTGCCAACATGCAATAACATCTGTCTCTATGCTGATGTGGTTGTTCATCTGGGCCTGGGTTTAAATCTCTGTACCACCTTAACTAGCAAAGTGACATTATGCAACTGACAATCTCTTGTGATTTTTCTGTGAATTAATTGAATATTTACGTGTAACACACCAAGTGTTCTGCAAATGCTAGCTTTACTGGTTTATTTAGTATTCTAATTTAAATTGATAAAATTCTTTTTATGATTGTCTTCTGCTAAGCAGTAATATTTAAGGCTGATGTGTGATTTATATATTATTCCAAGACATATAACTACAAGAAATATGCTTTTCCTATCCATAATTTTAAAAGCACTGTGTTAATCAACAGAATATTATTAAATATTTGGACAGTATCAGTTTGAAAAGTTAAGTGAAGTTATATCTCATTGCTGTGACCCTTTTTTTGTGGTACGTTCTTCAAGGTAAAAACAAAATATGTATCAATCAAATGAAACACTGTTTTGTTCTGAATGTTAAATTTGCTTTGAGTAATTGCTTATTGTTTTTCTTCTAAAATACCATATTCCCAGGATGTTCTAGGAACTTCTGTTTGGCAAAAGTAAAATCCTTATCACATGAAGAACCTGCACGGTAGGAAAGAAAATTATCTTACAGTTTAAGTTGTCAGTGAATTTGAATAGTAATGCCCAACTTGAACTCATGAGAAGTAGTTAACCTTTTCAATTAGAGTTCTGATGAGTTTTTAATATAAGCAATAAATCCCTAATTATTATTATAGAAAGCACAAATTAGGGAAAAATTACAGTCCTCAAAGACATGGCTAAATCTAAACTCTTAGGTGCCTGGAAATTATTTACTAATAGAAGTAATTAGAGAAGAAACCTGGTGCTTTGTTCCACTACAGCGATAGCTGCTGGGAAGAGGGCACCTCTTGGATGCATAGACATCAGGGAGCAGTGTCTGGAGCTGGGTTCTTTTTTTCTGAGATGGAGTCTTGCTCTGTTGCCCAGGCTGGAGTGCAGTGGTATGATCTCCGCTCACTGCAACCTCTGCCTCCAGGGTTGAAGCGATTCTCCTGCCTCAGCCTCCTGACTAGCTGGGATTACAGGTGCCTGCCTGCCAGCACACTCAGCTAGTTTTTGTATTTTTAGTAGAGAGGGGGTTTCACTGTGTTGGCCAGGCTGGTCTGGAACTCCTGACTGCAGGTGATTCACCTGTCTCTGCCTCCCAAAGTGCTGGGATTACAGGTGTGAGCCACCGCGCCTGGCCTGGAGCTGGGTTCTTAAGGCCCATCCAATTGCAGGGATAGGCAGTAGGTCAGGGTGGCACATGAACACAGTTTGGAAAAGTCTACACAATTTCAGATGGCTGAAAGTTGAAGTAAAAGGCCGAAATTAAACCAGTCTATTCCACAGAATAAATGTTCTTGTTGATATTTGAAGTGCACCCAAGAAGTACAGAGTTGCAAATGATTCACTAAATTTACTTCATTCTGCTCCAAGTACCTAAGGGTACAAGGAATTGGAATCTTCTGCCTTCCTTTTTAGGGGGCAGATGAGAAATAAGAGAAAGGGAAGCCTCTGAGAACAGGGAGGTAGAAGGGAGAGCAAAGGGTCTGTTGTAAGGGGTGTGGGAGAGACAGCAGATTTGGAAGCAGGGTACATCCAGCCCTCTCTGGCCTTCTTGGATGAGCCTCTCTCCTCCCATCTTTGGGACTACAATGGGGATTACCTCGTTTTTGTTTTTTTGAAGAAAGCATGGTTACATTTGTCTTATATATTTTTTAATTTGTATGAATTTATGGGTAACAAGTGCAATTTTGTTACATGCATAGTGGTCAAGGCAGAACTTTTAGGGTATCTATCACCCAAATGCTGTAGATTGTACCCATTAGTAATTTCTCATCATCCCCCCACAATTCTGAGTCCCCACTGCCTATCATTCCACTGTCTACATCCATGCAGACACTTTTTTTAGCACTCACTTATGAGCGACATCTTTCTATATCTGGCTTATTTCGCTTAAGATAATGACCTCCAGTTCCAACCATGTTGCTGCAAAATACATGATTTCATTCTTTTTGTGGCTGAATAGAATTCTATCAGGTATATATACCACATGTTCTTTATCCAGTCATCCACTGGTGGACCCTTAGGTTGATTCCATATCTTTTCTATTGTGAATAGTGCTGCAAGAAACATGAGTGTAGGTACCTCTTTGATATATTGATTTATTTTCCTTTGAGTAGATACCCAGTAGTAAGGTTGTGGGATCGAACAGTCGTTCTAGTTTTAGTTCTTTGGGAAATCTCTATTTTCAATAAAGGTTGTACTAATTTACATTCCCATCAACAGCATACAAACATTCCTTTTTCTCCATATCCTCACCAACATAGCAGATGAGACATTTTATCTTTTTAATAATAGCCATTTTAATGAAGATGATATCTTATTATGGTTTTAATTTACATTTCTCTGATGATTAGTGTTGAGCATTTTTTTTATATGCCCATGCTGGCCATTTGTGTGTCTTCTTTTGAAAAATGTCTATTTATATCCTTTGACCACTTTTAAAGAACATTATTTGTTCTTTTTCTTTTTTTTTTTTAATTTTTTTTTTTAGACAGAGTTTCCCTCTGTCGCCAAGGCTGGAGTGCAATGTGGAGTGCAGTGGTGCAACTTTGGCTCACTGCAACCTCCACCTCCCAGATTCAAGGGATTCTTGCCTCTCAGCCTCCCGAATAGCTGGGATTACATGTGCCCACCACCATGCCCGGCTAATTTTTGTAGTTTTAGTAGAAACGGGCTATCGCTATGTTGGCCAGGCGGGTCTCAAACTCTTTAAGTGGTCCAGTCCTCCTGGCCTCTGAAAGTGCTGGGATTATAAACGTGAGCCACCATGCCTGGCCTTGTTTGCGCTTTTTGTTGTTGTTGAGGGAGTTGTTTGAGCTTCTTCTATATTATGGATATTAGTCCCCTATGGGATAAATAGTTTTCAAATATTTTCTCCTGTGCATTGTCTGTTTACACACCTGGTTATTTCTTTTGCTGTGCAGAAGCTTTTTAGTTTAATTGTCCCATTTGTCTAATTTTGGTTTTGTTCCCTGTCCTTTTAGGTCTTAAGTCATAAATTCTTTGCCTAGACCAATGTCCAGAAGAATTTTCTCAAGGTTTTTAGTATTTTGATAGTTTTGGGTCTTATATTTAAGTCTTTAATACATCTTAAGTTGATTTTTGCATATGGTGAGAGATAAAGGTCTGTGTCCAGATTTGGTTCCTGCCAGTGGGTTGGTGGTCTCGCTGACTTCAAGAATGAAGTCACAGACCTTCACGGTGAGTGTTACAGCTTTTAAAGGTGGCACGGACCCAAAGAGTGAGCAGCAGCAAGATTCACTGTGAAAAGCGAAAGAACACAGCTTCCACACATGGAAGGTAACCCAAGCAGATTGCCACTGCCAGCTGAGGTGGCCAGCTTTTATTCCCTTATTTGTCCCTGCCCATGTTTGGTTTTTGTCCTATCAGAGTGCCCTTTTTTCAATCCTCCCTGTGATTGGCTACTTTTAGCTACTGCTGATTGGTGCATTTTACAGAGCACTGATTGGTGCATTTTACAGAGCGTTGATTGGTGCATTTTATAATCCTCTTGCTAGCTACAGAGCACTGATTGGTGCATTTTACGATCCTCTTTTAAGACAGAAAAGTTCTCCAAATCCCCACTCGACCCAGGAAGTCCAGCTGGCTTCACCTCTCAGGTTCTGTTTTATTTTCCTGCATATGGCTATCTAATTTCCCAGCACCGTTTATTGAAAAGGATGTCCTTTCTTCAGTGTCTCTTCCTGTTAGTTTTGTCAAAGACCAGTTGGCTGTAACTATGTCGTGTTATTTCTGGGTTCTGTATTTTGTTTTATTGATCTATGTGTCTGTTTTTACAGAAGTATTACACTGTTTTGGTTACCATAGCCTTGTAACATAATTTCATATCAGGTAACGTGATGCCTCCAGTTTTGTTCTTTTTGCTTAGAATTGATTTTGCTATTTGGGCTCTTTTTTCTGGTTCCATAAGGATTTAACATTGTTTTTTCTAATTCTGTGAAAAATGACATTGGTATTTTGATAGGGATTGCATTTCATCTATAGATTGCTTTGGGCATTATGGTCTTTTTTTTTTTTTTTTGAGATGGAGTCTTGCTCTGTTGCCCAGGCGTGATCTCAGCTCACTGCAAGCTCCGTCTCTCAGGTTCATGCCATTCTCCTGCCTCAGCCTCCCAAGTAGCTGGGACTACAGGTGCCCGCCACCACACCTGGCTAATTTTTTTTTTTTTTTGTATTTTTAGAGACGGGGTTTCACTGTGTTAGCCAGGATGGTCTTGATCTCCTGACCTCATGATCTGCCTGCCTCAGCCTCCCAAAGTGGGTCATTTTAACAATATTAATTTTTCTGATCCATAAGCATGGAATATTTTTCCATTCGTTTGTCTCACTGACAGTTTCTTTCATCAGTGTTTTATAGTTTTCCTTGTAGAGATGTTTCACCTCCTTGCTTAAATGTATTCCTAGGTAGTTTATTTTTTGTAGCTCTTGTAAATAAGATTTCCTTCTCAGCTAGTTTGTTATTGGTGTATAGAAATGCTACTGATTTTTGTATATTACTTTTGTATCAATTTTACTAAATAAACTTACTAAATTCATTTATCAAATCCAAGAGTGTTTTGGTGGAGTCTCTAGGTTTTTCTAGACAGGTAATCCTATCATCAGCAAATGGAAATAATTTGATTTTCTCTTTTCCTATTTGAATGTCTTTTAATTCTTTCTCTTACCTGATTGCTGTGGCTAGGACTTCTAATACTATATCAAATAGGAGTGGTGAAAGTGGGAATACTTGTTTTGTTCCAGTTCTTGAGAAAATGCTTTCAACCTTTCCCCCATTCAGTATGATGTTGGTTGTGGGTTTGTCATATAAGCCTTTTATTATTTGAGGTATGTTACTTCCATGTCAAGTTATTTGAGGGTTTTTTTTTTATCATGAAGGGATGCTGAATTTTATCAAATGATTTTTCTGCATCTATTGAGGTTTTTAATCCTTCATTCTATTTTCGTGATGTATCACATTTATTAATTTGCATATGTTGAACTATCCTTCCATTCCTTATGTACAACCCACTTGATCATTGTGTATTACCTTTTTGATGTGCTCTTGAATTCCATTTGCTAGTATTTTGTTGAGGATTTTTGTGTCTATGTTTATCAGAGATATTGGCATGTAGTTTTCTTTTTTTGTTTTGTTTTGTCTTTGTCTGGTTTTAGTATCAGAGTGATACTGGCCTTGTTACATGAGGAATGAAGAAGTCCCTCCTCCCAGATTATTTGGAACAGTTTCAGGAAGATTGGTATTAGTTCTTTGTACATTTTATGGAATTCAGCTATGAATCCATCAGGTCCTGGACTTTTTTTTTCCATGGGAAATTTATTTATTACTGATTCAATCCTGCTACTCATTATTGGTCTATTCTGGTTTTCAGTTTCTTCCTTCTTCAATCTTAGGAGGTTGTATGTTTCCAGGAATTTAGCCATTTCCTGGGGATTTTTTTGGTTTGTGAGCATGTAGTTGTTCATAATAGTCACAGATGAAATTTTGTTTTTCTGTGGTATCACTTGTAAGTCTTCTTTTCATTTCTGATTTTGTCTCTTCTCTTTTCTTGGTTGCTAGCAGTTTATCAATTTTGTTTCTCTTTTCAAAGAACCAACTTTTTGTTTCATTGCTCCTTTGAATGGTATTCTTACATAGATGCAATGATAATATGTCCTATAGGCTTTAGAAGAATCTTAGTGCATTGTCAAAGAAACATTTTTAGTTGAGCACATACATTATGAGCAAAGGAGTGGCATTAGATCTTCATAGTAGAAACAGTTATAGTGTTTCTAATACATGTGTTTCTTAGAGAGAATCTAACAACATTGAAAGGGCCTACTCACAAAGGCCACTGTGCAAAGATAACAGGAAACTCCCCAAAAGCTTATCTTCAAGTTAGCTGCATCAAGTCCTGTGGTGCTTGAAAATCTCTCCATTAATGCTGAATTGAAGACTACAGGGAGATGAAAAGACTGTAGGATTAATATGCTTCATCACGATAATCTATAATATTAAGAAATAATTTAAAATTGTTGAACAAATATGTCATGGTGTATGTCCCAAAGGTTCATTATGGGCTATTGAATTAATAACTTTATAAATCTATTCACATATCACCTAAGACATAAAATTATTTTGAAAAGAAACAGTGGAATTTGATATACAAACATTTTAGAACTCGAATTGCCTTGTAAAGATGTCCACATATGATTGGGAAAGAAGGCAGACCTTCCCAGAGGGAGTGAGTAAAGCATCATCAGCAAATAATAAGTTAAACAAAGTGAATAAAAGCTTATTGTTAGGTATGTAATGTTTGTGACAATATTGTAGGAAATATTGTACATAAAATGCTGTATGGAGTATAAACTCAGATGTAACAGGATCATATTTGAAAATAGTAAATATGTTTAATATTCTTCTTCTTAGTAAATCATGTTCCCTAGCCATCATTTTACCTTATTGCAATACCAATCCAAAAAGAGGAGAATAAGAGGCCATGTAGTTCCACATCAGCCCAGAAAAGGCGTCCCCTCTTTCTGGTCATGACAGATTATGAGAATGAAAAGGGGATGAAGGCAGAAAGTTCAGGAGGTGAGACACGTATCTAAACTCCTCTATCAGAGCTAAAGTCCCAGAAGTCAAGTCTTCTTAGCTACACTGAGGAACAAGTGAAGAAGAGATGATGACTTTAATTTAGCTTCCTACTTGAGTTTTTGAAGGGAGATCACTTAGCAGGGTACTTGTGGTAGCCTGTTCAACAAATGTTTCCGGTTCTTTTCCCTTTCAGGTACACAGCATAATTGTAATTCCTGTCCACTTGAGGTAGGGTGGAACTATGTAACTAATTCTGCCCAATGACTTGTGAGTGGAAGTGGAAGCATTTGATTACCAGAGTGAGACCATTCAGAGCTCTTCTTTTCCCTCTGGCACAGAGTTTTTCACATGTCTTTCAAGACAACACATATATTAGCTGAGAATATGGGTACAAATTAACAGAGGAAATGATCAGGAAGTCAATTGAGTCTGTAGTCAAGGGCAGAAATGCTACTCAATGCCAGCAATCAGGTAGGCCTTACAATCAGAGTTTGGAGTGCCTATAGCATCAGCAGAAATGATGTGGCACTCATCAGCAAAGGGCGATGTACTTGTTTCTGGGAGTATGGCCTATACCAACTGAATGGCCAGTGGGACGTAGCAACCACAGACTTTGGAAGTGGTGTTAAAGAAAACACCTGTGATTAAGTATAGATTAACTATACCTTAGTGATGTCATCTAAGGACTGAAGGACCTGACCAGTGGAGACCAACACAGATACTCATATGTCCCAAGAAACTCTCTCCACCCACCCAATGCCATGAATTTACATGAGCCCTCATATGCCCAAATTCCACCTTGGAAAACATTAGCGAGAGGACATGAAAATCTGGAAGACAACACTTACTGGAAAAGATCTCATCTAAAATAGGCTATTCAACCCGTTAGAGATTAGGCCACTGACTTACATTTGGGTTTTTCCAAATCTAGGCAAATACTTCTGTATTAGTTTTGACTAAAAATGGAATTACAAGCAGGTAGTCATTTCCTATAACATCTCCAATACTAGAGGTTGTTGACGATACTGAAAAGAAAAATGATTAATTCATTTTCATGACATTTTCTAGGCTCTAAAGCAGGGATCTTAAAAATCAGAGCAGCCAAATGCTTCTACTCTGTAGGATTAATCTATGGCAACATCTTAATGAGTCTTTTGCTTATCTGGTGCCTATCTTCACACATGTTGACACCTATACATATTGGGTAAATTATGATATGATAAAGCTAAAAGTGCTGATCATAGGTAATGATAAATATCATTTGCACAAACAGCTTAATTCACTCAGAATTGACATACCTGACTCCTTAGCCATATTTACCATTGATGCTGTTATGTTTGACTGCAGATATCAGATTCATTTGACATTCAAAATGTCATTTAATACAACTCAGAGGAAAGGGTGAAATAAAAATAAAGGGTCTATTGGCTCTCATATTTCTAGTAACTATTAGAAGAAGTAGTAAACAGAAGTTCATATCTCATGGCTACAAGCAGAATGTTTCCCTGTACAGTCATACAACTTTATCAATGCTGTATTCCAAATGCTTTTTTATTAGATTTGAGTCACTGCACTTAAGATCTGGGAACACTGACCAGCTCCATCTGGCTGGCCTTTGTATCTGTGAACAAAGTAGAGAAATACAGAAGGGTTATAGTTTCTTTGGGGGGGGAAGCTGAGAAAAAAGGGTCACTATTATGAAGCTTGAGCCTAAACTTTTTGGATATATTAACATTAAATACAACATGTATCAGTAAACATTTAGATTTTATAAATTATATATTTTAATAATTTTTATTATGTATTTATTTGAAAAAATCAGTTTTATACCATATTCTATTTTGAGATATTGCATTCTAATAAATAGTGGTGAGTTCATATGGCTAAAAGTGTCATAAAGAAATGCTTAGGGGTGAACTTTCCTATTGTAAGTATTTTCCTTGTATTTTGTAATCTGATTTTAAGCTATGGTTATCGGTTGTGCACTAATAATGGTATTTCTCAAAGGAAGAAATAGTATAATATAAAAAGTATTTCATAAAGTGCTCAATTAATTTTTTTTTTTTGTTGTTGTTGTTGTTTGTTTGTTTGTTTGTTTTTTGAGACGGAGTGTCTCTCTGTCGCCCAGGCTGGAGTGTAGTGGCGCGATCTCGGCTCACTGCAAGCTCTGCCTCCAGGGTTCACGCCATTCTCCTGCCTCAGCCTCTGGAGTAGCTGGGACTACAGGCACCCGCCAGCACACCCGGCTAATTTTTTGTATTTTTGGTAGAGACGGGGTTTTACCATGTTAACCAGGATAGTCTCGATCTTCTGACCTCGTGATCCGCCCGCCTCGGCCTCCCTTGTGTTGTTTGTTTGTTTGTTTGTTTGTGACGGAGTCTCGCTCTGTCGGCCAGGCTGGAGTGCAGTGGCGCGATCTCGGCTCACTGCAAGCCCCACCTCCCGGGTTCACGCCATTCTCCTGCCTCAGCCTCCCAAGTAGCTGGGACTACAGGCGCTGCCACCACGCCCGGCTAATTTTTTGTATTTTTAGTAGAGACAGGGTTTCACCGTGTTAGCCAGGACGGTCTCCATCTCCTGACCTCATGATCCGCCTGTCTCCGCCTCTCAAAGTGCTAGAATTACAGACCGTGCCTGGACTCTCCTAGGTTTATTGGTATTTGTCTTTTCCCTCTGTCTTCACATGGTCTTTCCTTTGTGTGTGTCTGTGTCCTAATCTCTTCAATATGACACCACTCATATTAGCTTCATATCCATCTCTATGACCTCATTTTACCTTGATTACTTCTTTAAACGTTCTTTCTTCAGATATCACATTATGAGGTACTGGGGGTCAGGACTTCAACCTGTGAATTTTAGAGATACACAGTTCGGCCCACAACATAAATGAACCTCGAAAACATTATGCTAAGTGAAATAAATGAGACATAAAAGGAGAGATATTGTATGATTACACTTACATGAGATACATGAATAGTCAAATTCAGAGACAAAAAGTAGAAGAATGGTTACCAAGTCCTGGGGAAAGGGTTGGAGGAATGCGGAGTTATTGTTTAATGTGCAGTTTTGGGATGACACGAAAGTTCTGAAGGTGGATAGTTATGATAATTGCACAATAATGTGAATACACTTAATGCCACTGAATTGAATATTTAAAAATCGTCAAAAAGATAAATTTTATGTTATGCATATTTTACCACAATAAGAAAGAAAACTCTAGAAATAAAAATATAGTAACAGAAATGAAGAATGCCTAGCAATGCATTGGAGAGGGAATAAATGGTATCAAAATTAAATCTTTTATTTTTCTTATTCTTAATATGTGTAAAGCATAACATTTAAAAATAATAGTATTACAATGTATTGCATGATTATCAAATATGAATAAGTGCGATTAATGATAGCAGTATTACAAGGGACATGAGAGAGAAGTTGAGAATATTCTGTATGAGGTACCTATACTGTACACAAAGTAATATAATGACATCTGAAAGTGGACTGAGAGTACAGAATCATATATTGTAAACTGTAGAGCAACAATTAAAAACCTTTTAAAGAGAAGTATAATTACTATTCTAAGAAAGGAAATAAAATGGAATCATATAAAATGATCAATTAAAAAGAAGACAGAAAAAGAGTAGGAAATAACAAACAGCAAATTCAATGAGCAGAAAACAATGACAAACATAGTAGATATCACTCCACCTATATCAATAATCACTTCAATTATGAATGGTTTAAAAATGCTATTGTAACTGTACTCCATTTGCTTAAGAAGGTAGATGAAAAGCTATATACATTAAGGAGAGACATGGAAGATACAAACACTAAAATAAAACTTCTAAAGGTAAAAATACAATATCTGATATAAAAATTCATTGGATTAGATTAACAGCAGATTAAACATTGCAAAGGAAAAGATTCATGAATAAAAATCATAGCAACTGAAACTATACAACATGTCACACACAGATTTAAAAAAAGACTGAAAATGATGAAGAGGGAATCTGTAAGCTAGATAAACTGCAAGCAGCTTAATATATGTAAGATTGGAGTTCCCAAAAAGTAGTAAAGAGGAGAATAATAAAAATGAGGGCCAGGTGCAGTGGCTCACACCTGTAATCCCAGCACTTTGGGAGGCTGAGGTGGGCGGATCATTTGAGGTCAGGAGTTCAAGACCAGCCTGGCCAACATGGTGAAACCCTGTCTCTAATAAAAATACAGAAATTAGCTGGGCGTAGTAGTGGGGGCCTGTAATACCAGCTACTTGGGAGGCTGAGGCATAAGAATTGCTTGAACCTGTGAGGTGGAGATTATAGTGAGCTGAGATTGTGCTAATTCAACTCTAGCCTGGGCAATACAGCGAGACTCAGTCTCAAAAAACAAACAAAAAAAAACAACAACGAATATTTGAGTACACAATGGCTGAATATTTACAAATTTCATGGTAACTACAAATTCACAATTCCAAAAATCTCAATAAACTCAAACATGAAAAAATTACAAGGCACATTAAAGTCAGATTGTTTAAGACTACTGATGGACAGCGTTAAATGCATCCAGATGTGGAGCACATGAGATACAAACTAACAAAGAATGAGAAAAGAATGAAAGCATATTCCTCATTGAAAGAAATGCAATCAAGAAAACAAGTATAGCTTTTCTAAAATACGGAAATAAAATAAAAGTACTGAAATAGTTCTATAGTATTTGTACTCAGGGAAATCAGATTTTCACAAATGAAGGCAAAATAAAGAGCTTTTCAGACATGCAAAAGCTAAAAGAAATCAGTAGCAGAACCATATCACAAAGAAATGCTAATGGAAATTCTTCAGGCGGAAGGAAATGACACCCAGTGAAATCTACCTCTATTCAAAGGAATGAAAAGCATCAGAAATTATAGCTACATGAGCAAATATTTGTTTCTTATTATGTAAATTTCTTTTTTATTATTACTATTATTTTTAAATTATAGTTTCAGTTCTGGGGTACATGTGCACAACATGCAGGTTTCTTAACATATGTATACATGTGCCATGTTGGTGTGCTGCACCCATTAACTTGTCATTTACATTAGGTATATCTCCTAATGCTCTCCCTCCCCTCTCCCCCCACCCCACAACAGGCCCCAGTGTGTGATGGGGGCCTGTGTCCAAGTGTTCTCATTGTTCAACTCCCACCTATGAGTGAGAACATGCGGTGCTTGGTTTTCTGTCCTTGCGATAGTTTGCTCAGAATGATGGTTTCCAGCTTCATCCATGTCCCTACAAAGGACATGAACTGATCCTTTTTTATGGCTGCATAGAATTCCATGGTGTGTATGTGCCACATTTTCTTAATCCAGTCTATCATTTTTGGACATTTCGGTTGGTTCCAAGTCTTTGCTATTGTGAATAGTGCCACAATAAACATACGTGTGCATGTGTCTTCATACCAGCATGATTTATAATCCTTTGGGTATATACCTAGTAATGGGATGGCTGGGTCAAATGGTATTTCCAGTTCTAGATCCTTGAGGAATCGCCACACTGTCTTCCACAATGGTTGAACTAGTTTACAGTCCCACCAACAGTGTAAAAGTGTTCCTATTTCTCCACATCCTCTCCAGCACCTGTTGTGTCCTGACTTTTTAATGATTGCCATTCTAACTGGTGTGAGATGGTGTCTCATTGTGGTTTTGATTTGCATTTCTCTGATGGCCAGTGATGGTGAGCATTTTTTCATGTGTCTGTTGGCTGCATAAAAGTCTTATTTGAGAAGTGTCTGTTCATATCCTTTGCCCACTTTTTGATGAGATTGTTTGATTCTTTCTTGTAAATTTAAGTTCTTTGTAGATTCTGGATATTAGCCCTTTGTCAGATGAGTAGATTGTAAAAATTTTCTCCCATTCTGTAGGTTGCCTGTTCACTCTGATGGTAGTTTCTTTTGCTGTGCAGAAGCTCTTTAGTTTAATTAGATCCCATTTGTCAATTTTGGCTTTTGTTGCCATTGCTTTTGGTATTTTAGTCATGAAGTCCTTGCCCATGTCTATGGCCTGAATGGTATTGCCTAGGTTTTCCTCTAGGGTTTTTATGGTTTTAGGCCTAACATTTAAGTCTTTAATCCATCTTGAATTAATTTTTGTATAAGGTGTAAGGAAGGGATCTACTTTCAGCTTTCTACATATGGCTAGCCAGTTTTCCCAGTACCATTTATTAAATAGGGAATCCTTTCCCCATTTCTTGTTTTTGTCAGATTTGTCAAAGATCAGATTGCTGCAGATGTGTGGTATTATTTCTGAGGGCTCTGCTCTGTTCCATTGGTCTCCATCTCTGTTTTGGTACCAGTACCATGCTGTTTTGGTTACTGTTGCCTTGTAGTATAGTTTGAAGTCAGGTGGTGTGATGCCTCCAGCTTTGTTCTTTGGGCTTAGGATTGTCTTGGCAATGCAGGCTCTTTTTTGGTTCCATATGAACTTTAAAGTAGTTTTTTCCAATTCTGTGAAGAAAGTCATTGGTAGCTCGATGGGGAAGGCATTGAATCTATAAATTACCTTGGGCACTATGGCCATTTTCACGATATTGATTATTCCTACCCATGAGCATGGAATGTTCTTCCATTTGTTTGTGTCCTCTTTTATTTTGTTGAACAGTGGTTTGTAGTTCTCCTTGAAGAGGTCCTTCACATCCCTTGTAAGTTGGATTCCTAGGTATTCTATTCTCTTTGAAGCAATTGTGAATGGGAGTTCACTCATGATTTGGCTCTCTGTTTGTCTGTTATTGGTGTATAGGAATGCTTGTGATTTTTGGACATTGATTTTGTATCCTGAGACTTTGCTGAAGTTGCTTATCAGCTTAAGGAGATTTGGGGCTGAGATGATGGGGTATTCTAAATATACAATCATGTCATCTGCAGACAGGGAAAATTGGACTTCCTCTTTTCCTAATTGAATACCCTTTATTTCTTTCTCCTGCCTGATTGCCCTGGCCAGAACTTCCAACACTATGTTGAATAGGAGTGGTGAGAGAGGGCATCCCTGTCTTGTGCCAGTTTTTGCCCATTCAGTATGATATTGGCTGTGTGTTTGTCATAAATAGCTCTTATTATTTTGAGATACATCCCATCAATCCTAGTTTATTGAGAGTTTTTAGCATGAAGGGCTGTTGAATTTTGTCGAAGGCCTTTTCTGCATCTATTGAGATAATCATGTGGTTTTTGTCTTTGGTTCTGTTTATATGATGAATTAAATTTATTGATTTGTATATGTTGAACCAGCCTTGCATCCCAGGGTTGAAGCCCACTTGATCATGGTGGATAAGCTTTTTGATGTGCTGCTGGATTTGGTTTGCCAGTATTTTATTGAGGATTTTTGCAATGATGTTCATCAGGGATATTGGTCTAAAATTCTCTTTTTTTGTTACGTCTCTGCGAGGCTTTGGTGTCAGGATGATGCTGGCCTCATAAAATGAGTTAGGGAGGATTCCCTCTTTTTCTATTGATTAGAATAGTTTCTGAAGGAATGGTACCAGCTCCTCTTTGTACCTCTGGTAGAATTTGGCTGTGAATCCATCTGGTCCTGGACTTTTTTTGGTTGGTAGGCTATTAATTATTGCCTCAATTTTAGAGCCTGTTATTGGTCTATTCAGGGATCCAACTTCTTCCTGGTTCAGTCTTGGGAGGGTGTATGTGTCCAGGAATTTATCCATTTCTTCTAGATTTTCTAGTTTATTTGCATAGAGGTGTTTATAGTATTCTCTGATGGTAGTTTGTATTTCTGTGGGATCAGTGGTGATATCCCCTTTATCATTTTTTATTGCATCTATTGGATTCTTCTCTCTTTTCTTCTTTATTAGTCTTGCTAGCGGTCTATTTTGTTAATCTTTTCAAAAAACCAGCTCTTGGATTCTTTGATTTTTTGAAGGGTTTTTTGTGTGTCTATTTCCTTCAGTTCTGCTCTGATCTTAGTTATTTCTTGCCTTCTGCTAGCTTTTGAATGTGTTTCTTGTTGCTTTTCTAGTTTTTTTTAATTGTGGTGTTAGGGTATCAATTTTAGATCTTTACTGCTTTCTCTTGTGGGCACTTAATGCTATAAATTTCCCTCTCCACACTGCTTTAAATGTGTCCCAGAGATTCTGGTATGTTGTATCTTTGTTCTCACTGGTTTCAAGGAACATCTTTATTTCTGCCTTCATTTTGTTATGTACCCAGTAGTCATTCAGGAGCAGGTTGTTCAGTTTCCATGTAGTTGAGCAGTTTTGACTGAGTTTCTTAATCCTGAGTTCTAGTTTGATTGCACTATGGTCTGAAAGACAGTTTGTTATAACTTCTGTTCTTTTACATTTGCTGAGGAGTGCTTCACTTCCAAGTATGTGGTCAATTTTGTAATAAGTGTGATGTGGTGCTGAGAAGAATGTATATTCTATTGATTTGGGGTGGAGAGTTCTGTAGATGTCTATTATGTCTGCTTGGTGCAGAGCTGAGTTCAATTCCTGGATATCTTTATTAACTTTCAGTCTCGTTGACAGAAAGTTTCTGTCAATTCCTGGATATCCTTGTTAACTTTCTGTCTCGTTGACAGTGGGTTGTTAAAGTGTCCCATTATTATTGTGTGGGAGTCTAAGTCTCTTTCTAGGTCTCTAAGGACTTGCTTTATGAATCTGGGTGCTCCTGTATTGGGTGCATATATATTTAGGTTAATTAGCTCTTCTTGTTGAATTGATCCCTTTACATTATGTAATGGCCTTCTCTGTCTCTTTTGATCTTTGTTGATTTAAAATCTGTTTTTTCAGCGACTAGGATTGCAACCCCTGCTTTTTTTTGTTTTCCATTTGCTTGGTAGATCTTCCTCCATCCCTTTATTTTGAGCCTATGTGTATCTCTGCACATGAGATGGGTCTCCTGAATACAGCACACTAATGGGTCTTGACTCTTTATCCAATTTGCCCCTCTGTGTCTTTTAATTGGAGCATTTAGCCCATTTACATTTAAGGTTAATATTGTTATGTGTGAATTTGATCATGTCATTATGATGTTAGCTGGTTATTTTGCTCATTAGTTGATGCAGTTTCTTCCTAGCCTCGATGGTCTTTACAATTTGGCATGTTTTTGCAGTGGCTGATACTGGTTGTTCCTTTCCATGTTTAGTGCTTCCTTCAGGAGCTCTTGTAAGGCAAACCTGGTGGTGTCAAAATCTCTCAGCATTTGTTTGTCTGTAAAGGATTTTATTTCTCCTTCAGTTATGAAGCTTAGTTTGGCTGGACATGAAATTCTGGGTTGAAAATTCTTTTCTTTAAGAATGTTGAATATTGGCCCCCATTCTCTTCTGCCTTGTAGAGTTTCTGCTGGGAGATCTGCTGTTAGTCTGATGGGCTTCCCTTTTTGCATAACCCGACCTTTCTCTCTGGCTGCCCTTCACATTTTTTCCTTCATTTCAACTTTGGTGAATCTGACAATTACATGTCTTGGAGTTGCTCTTCTCGAGGAGTATCTTTGTGGCATTCTCTGTATTTCCTGAATTTGCATATTGGCCTGCCTTGCTAGATTGGGGAAGTTCTCCTGGATAATATCCTGCAGAGTGTTTTCCAACTTGGTTCCATTCTCCCCGTCACTTTCAGGTACACCAATCAGATGTAGATTTGGTCTTTTCACATAGTCCCATATTATTTGGAGGCTTTGTTCATTTGTTTTTACTTTTTTCTCTAAACTTCTCTTCTCACTTCATTTCATTCATTTGATCTTCAATCACTGATACCCTTTCTTTCACTTGATTGAGTCAGCTACTGAAGCTTGTGCATGCATCACATAGTTCTCATGTCATGGTTTTCAGCTCCATCTGGTCATTGAAGGTCTTCTCTATGCTGTTTATTCAAGTTAGCCATTCATCTCATCTTTTTTCAAGGTTTTTAGCTTCTTTGATATGGGTTTGAATATCCTCCTTTAGCTTGGAGAAGTTTGTTATTACTGATCGATTGCAGAATGGCAAATGTTGCTGCCTGATCCTTCCTCTGGAAGCTTCATCTCAGAGGGGTACTAGGCTGTATGAGGTGTCAGTCGGCCCCTACTGGGAGGTGTCTCCCAGTTAGGCTACTCGGGGGTCAGGGACCCACTTGAGGAGGCAGTCTGTCCATTCTCAGATCTCCAGCTCCATACTGGGAGAACCACTACTCTCTTGAAAGCTGTCAGACGGGGACATTTAAGTCTGCAGAAGTTTCTGCTGCCTTTTGTTCAGCTATGCTCTGCCCCTAGAGGTGCAGTCTACAGAGGCAGGCAGGCCTCCTTGATCTGCAGTGGGCTCCACCCAGTTCGAGCTTCCTGGCCACTTTGTTTACGTACTCAAGCCTCAGCAATGGCAGACACCCCTCCCCCAGCCTTGCTGCCACCTTGCAGTTTGATCTCAGACTGCTGTGCTAGCAGCGAGCAAGGCTCCATGGGCGTAGGACCCTCCAAGCCAGGCACAGGATATAATCTCCTGCTGTGCCATTTGCTAAGGCCATTGGAAAAGCACAGTATTAGGGTTGGAGTGTCCTGATTTTCCAGGTACTGTCAGGGCTACCCTTGACTAGGAAAGGGAATTCCCCAGCCCCTTCTTCTTCCCAGGTGAGGCAATGCCCCGCCCTGCTTTGGCTCATGCTCCATGGGCTGCACCCACTGTCCAACAAGCCCCATTGAGATGAACCTGGTACCTCAGATGGAAATGCAGAAATCACTCATCTTCTGTGTCACTCACGCTGGGAGCTGTAGACTGGAGCTCTTCCTATTTGGCCATCTTGGAACCTCCCCTCATGTAAATTTCTTTTAAAGATAATTGATTAAACAGAATGATAACAATGTGTTGTTATTGCAACATATGTATATACAAATAAAGTATATGACAACAAAGCATAAAGACTGAGAGGGGAGAAATGCAAGTATACTGTTGTAAGGTTTGAATAGTATATGTGAAATGGTATAATTCACTTGAAGCTAGATTGTGATAAGTTTAAGATATATACTACTACTCCACAGCAAACACAAAATTAGCAAAATAAAGAATTATAATTTTAAGCCAAAAAATACCAGAGACAAGTCTCAATCAATTCAGAAGTTTATTTAGCCAAGGTTAAGGACATACCCGTGACATAGCCTTAGGAGGTCCTGAGAACATTTGCCCAAGGTGATCTGGCTACAGCTTGAATTTCCATGTTTTAGGGAGGTATAAGACATGAATCAGTACATGTAAGACATACACTGGTTAGGTCTGGAAAGGTGGGGTGTATTAGGGTTCTCTAGAGGGACAGGACTAATAGGATAAATGTATATGTGAAAGGGAGTTTATTAAGGAGTATACACTGTCACAAGGTGAAGTCCCAAAATAGGCCATCTGCAAGCTGAGGAGCAAGGAAGCCAGTCTGAATTCCCAAATCTCAAAAATAGGGAAGCCGACAGTGCAGCCTTCAGTCTGTGGCTGAAGGCCCAAGAGCCCCTGCCAAACCACTGGTGTAAGTCCAAAAGTCCAAAAGCCAAAGAACTTGGAGTCCAATGTTCAAAGCCAGGAAGCATACAGCATGGGAGAAAATGAAGGCCAGAACACTCAGCCAGTCTAGTCCTTCCACATTCTCCTGCCTGCTTTATTTTAGCTGTGCTGGCAGCTGATTAGATGGTGCCCACCCAGATTGAGGGTGGGTCTGCCTCTTCTAGTCCACTGATTCAAATGTCAGTCTTCTTTGGCAACACCCTCACACATACACCCAGGAACAACACTTTGCACCCTTCATTCCAATCAAGTTGACACTCAATATTAACCATCACATGGAGTAATGTGAAGGGGGAGGAAGGGGCAGTGGGGGGGTTGTGGACTGCAAGTCATAAGTGGATTAAAAGATTTCCTGATTGGCAATGGGTTGAAAGCTTTTATCTAAAGACCTGGAATTAATAGAAGGGTTAAAATAAGGGGCTGTGGAGACCAAGGTTTTTATTATGCAGATAAAGCCTCCAGGTAGCAGGCTTCAGAAAGAATAGATTGTAAATGTTTTTTATCAGACTTAAAAAGGTACCAAACTCAGTTAATTCTCTCCCGGATCAGGAAGAAGACCTGGAAATAAAAGGAGATTTTCTATAGAAGGTAGATTTTCCCACAAGAGACAGCTTTGCAGGGCCATTTCAAAATATGTTTAAGAAATATAGCCAGGCACGTTGGCTCATGCCTATAATCCTAGCACTTTGGGAGGCTGAAGCAGGCAGATCACTTGAGGTCAGGAGTTTGAGACCAACCTGGCCAACATGGCAAAACCACGTCTCTACAAAAAATACAAAAAAATAAGCCAGGAATGGTGGCGGGCACCTGTAATCCCAGCTATTCAAGAGGCTGAGGCAGGAGAATCACTTGAACCTGGGAGACGGAGGTTGTGGTGACTGAGCCAAGATCATGCCACTGCACTCCAGCCTGGGCAACAGAGGGAGACTCCATCTCAAAAAAAAAAAAAAAAAAAAAAAAAAAGAAGAAGAGGGAGAGAAAAGAAATATCTTTTGAGGTAAAATATTTTTATTTCTTTTAGGGCTTGCTGTCTGTCATGTTGGTATCTTAATGGCTACCAAGAGTCTGTTTCATCAGTCGTAAGGTCTCTGTTTTAATGTTAAATGCTGGTCAGCTGTGCCTGAATTCCAAAGGAAGGTGAGTATAGTGTGGCGTGTCTGACCTCTACTACCCATCATGGCCTGAACTGATTTTCCAGGTTAACTTAGGAATGCCCTTGTTTGAGAGGAGGGGTCCATTCAATTGGTTGATGGGCTTAGAATTTTACTTTTGATTTACATAGTTAATGAACCAGAAAGGAAGATGAAATGTAATAAAAATGTTTGATCCAAATGGAAAAAAAGAAGAAAAAAGAACAAAAATCAAAATTATCGACTCAAACCTAACTATATAAATAATCATATTAAATGTAAATGGTTTAAACACCTCAATTAAAAGTCAGGAATTGTCATATAATTTTTTTAGGAAGACCCAATTCTATGCTGCTTACAAGAAATACACTTTATATATAAAGAAACAAAGAGGTTAAAAAATACATACCATGTTAACAGAAATCAACAGAAAGCTGATAAATCTAGCCAGACTAATCAGGCATTAGAAGAAAAAAATGCCAGTAGCAGGAATGAGAAAGGTGACATGATTTTAGGTTTTACAGATGTTAAAAGAATCATAATAAAATATTATATATAACTTCATGTCAATGATTTCCACAATTGTCATAAAATAGATGAACTCCTTGAAATACACAAACTACCATATCTCACTCAAGAAGAAATACATAATCTGAATAGCCCTACATCTGTTAGAGAAATACAATTTGTAGTTACAAAACCTTCACATAAAGAAAATGCCAGGCCCAAGTGGTTTCACTAGTGAATTATATCAAATATTTAAGAAGTAATACTAATTTTACATGAACTCTTCATAGAAAATTTTTGAGAAGGTAATTATTTCCTACCTCATTCTATGAAATTAGCATTACCCTGATATAAATGTCAAAGACATTACAAGAAAAGTAAACTAGAGACAATATCTCTCATGACATTAGTTGAAAAAATGCAATTTTAGCAATTAAATTACAGCATTATGTAAACAGAATAACACACAAGGACCAAGGGGGCTTATCCTAAGAATGTGAAATTGTTTGAACATTTAAAAATCAAACAGTGTACTAAGAAGAAGGAAGACAAAAACAGAAATGAAAAAGACATTGCAACTGATGTCACAGAAATCCAAAGATCATAAGAAACTGCTGTGAGAAAAAATACACCAATAAACTCGATAACCTAGAATAAATGGATAAATTCCTAGAAACATACAACCTACCAAGAGTGCATCATGAAAGAAATAGGAAATTTAAACAGGCAAACAGTAAATAAGGAGATCGAATCAGTAATAAAAAAAACTCCCAACAAAGCAAAGCCTCCGACCTGATGACTCTGCTGCTGAAGTCTACCAAATATTTAAAGAAGAATTAATACCAATCATTTTAAAACTCTTCCCAAAAAATCAAAAAGGAGGGAATATTTCCAAACTCATTTCACGAGGCCAGCATTATGTGAATTTAAAGACAGACAAAGACACTACAAAAAGAAAACTACAGGTCGATGTCCCTGATTAATATAGATGCAAGGATCCTCAACAAAATAATTGCAAACCAAATTTAACAGCAAATTAATAGGATCATACACCAAGTGGGATTTATCCCTGAGTTGCAGGGATGGTTCAACATGTGAAAATCAATTAATGTGATACAGTTAATAGAATAAAAGATAAAAATCACAAAATCATCTCAATAGATTTAAAAATAATAATTTGATAAAATTCGACACTTTTTCATGTTAGAAACTCTCAACAAACTAGGAAGAGATGGAAGTTACCTCAACATATTGAGGCCAGATATGAAAATCCCACAGCTAACACCACACTCAGAGTAAAAAACTAAAAGCTTTTCCTCTAATATCAGGAAAAAGACAGGGATGTTCACTTTTACCACTTCTATTCAACATAGTAATGAAAGTCCTGCCCAGAATGATTATTCAAGATCAATACAAAAAATACATCAAGTTCAGAAGGAAGAAGTGAAATTGTACCTGTTTAAACATGATCTAATATACAGAAAACTCTAAAGACTCCACAAAAAACTGTTAGAATTAATAAGTCAATTCAGCAAAGTAGTATGATAAAAAACAATATGTAAAAATCAATTGCATTTCTATACACCAAAAATAAACTCTCTGAAAGAAAATTAGGAAACCAATCCCATTTACAACATTATCAAAAATAATCAAATACTTAGGAATAAACTTAGCCAAGGAGGTAAAAGACACACTGCAAACTGCAAAACATTAATTTAAGAAATTTAAAAGGACACAAGTAAATGGAAAGACATACTGTGTTCATAGATTGGAAGTCTTAATATCTACACTACTCAAAGCAATCTACAAATTCAATTCAATATCCATAAAAATCCTAATAGCATTTTTACAGACAGAGAAAAAACAATTCTAAGATTCATATATAATTGGAAAGTACCCTGAATAGCCAAAACAATCTTGAGAAGAAAGAGCAAGGCTAGAGGCATCACTTCCTAATTTCAAAATATATTGCAAAGCTATAGTAATTAAAATAATATGTTAACAGCATAAAGATAGACATTTAAGACCAATGGGTTAGAATAGGGAGCCAAGAAATAGATCTGTGTATATACAGTCAATTGATCTTTGACATGGGTGCCAAGAATGCACAATCAGGAAAGGACAGTCTCTTCAACAAATGCTGCTGGGAAAACTGGATATCTCCATGCAAGAGTAGAACTGGATCCTTGTCTTATACCATAAACAAAAATTAAATCAAAATGGATTAAAAACTTAAATGCAAGGTGAGACTGTAAAGCTTCTATAACAAAACACTGGGAAAAAGATTAATTTCCAAAATACGTTAGGAACTCAAACAACTCAGTAGATAAAACTAACAATCTGATTTTTTAAATGAGCAAAGGACTTGAATAGACATTTTTCCAAAGAAGAGAAATACCCACAGGTATATGAAAAGATGCTCAGTGTTACTAATCATCAGAAAAATGTAAATCAAAACCACAATGAAATATTTCCTCACACCTGTCAGGATGATTATTATTAAAAAAAAAAAAAGACAAGTGTTGGAAGGGATGTGGAGAAATGGAACCTGTGTACATTGTTTGTGGGAATACACGATGGTGCATTTACTATGGGAAAAAAGTACGAACGGTCTTCAAAAAGTTAAAAACAGAGCCATTATATTGCTCCAATAATCCCACTTCTGAGTATTTATCCAAAAGAATTGAAATCAGGATCTTGAAGTAATATTACCATTCCTATGTTCATTGCAACACTATTCGTAATAGCTCAGATGTAGAAACAACATTAATGTCCATTAACAGATAAATTCATAAAGCAAATGTGGTATAGACATACAATGGAAATAATATTCAGCATTAAAAAAGAAATTCTGCAATATGCACAACATGAATAAACCTTGAGGATATTATTCCAAGTGAAATAAGCCAATCACAGAAAGACAAATCCCGTATAATTTGCTTATTTTAGATAGTGAAAATATTAACAGTACAATTCATAGAATCAAAGAGTGGAATGGTGGTTGCCAGGATGGGAGTGAAAGGGAAGTGAGGAGTTGCTTATCAATGGGTATAAAATTTCATTAATGCAAGATGAATTAGCTTTAGAGATCTGCTGTGTAATACTGTGCCTATAGTTAACAATATTTTATTGTATACTGAAAAATCTCATAAGAGAGTAGATCTCATGTTATATTCTTACCACAATAAAATAAAAATTTTAAAAATCAAGCACTGTAGTTCACCAAATAGAGAAATTAAAAAAGAAAAGATCTTATCTCAGTATAATCAGAAGAAAATAACTCTCAGCAAACTGGCACTAGCAGGAAACTTCTTCAACCTGATTAAGGTAATTTACAAAAAACCTACAGGTAATGTCACGCTTAGTGAGTTTTCTCACATTTTTTCAACATTTCCAGAAAGATGGTTGACTTTGCTGGGTTTTCTTTCCTTTTCTTAACCTATAAGAACAATCTCTGTAACCTGCATCCTTTGCCCACGAATGAACTCTGACTTCCTGAAACTCTAAGTGAGCAACTTGGTTGTTACTTCTGGAGGTATCAGCCTTCTGCTAATTGCATTTAAGATGCCATTGTAGAAAGTTTTGGCCACAGGACCTGGCTGGAAAACACTGGCCCCACTGGACTGTACTCTGTACTCAAACTTTCCTTAAGTATAAAGATTTGATAGAGAATGGCTTTTACATAGGAAGATCCTGGGGATGGTTAAGCACATGAGAAATGATTATTGGGGTTCTCTGAGAAAGAAAATTGTCAGAAGAGGCAATTGAATCACCGAGATCTACGAACTAATGTAGAATAAGTCACTGCAAGCATCAGCTTAGTTTCTCTCCAAATGAGAAAGCAGTCGTCAAACTCCTTCACATATCCTTGAAACATACGAACAATCTGGGCATCTGTTGTCTACACAGGGGTTGCTTCTCTTGAATTCTCTAAACATAATTTGGTACAATAGAGTATTAGTCTTTTGCATTTGTGTGTGTGTGTGTGTGTCTGTGTGTATACACACACAGACATACACACATATGCCATACAATATTTTTTGAAGTTTTATTAAGTTTAATAATTGAATGACTAATACTGCAGCTATGTCTAGCATATTGTGTTAGAAAACATGCTTAGCCTCTCTGTAAGAGAGAGCCCCAGAGAACTGGGAACGTTTATCTATGTAGAACCATATATCTAGTAGAACCATAGAACATTTATCTATGTAGGCTGAATGTGCGATTTATCATATTCTCAACAATAATCCTATGCTTGGTGAAATGTATAAGGGACCTTTGCGTACCTTTTTTTCTTTTTGCAACTTCATGTGAATCTACAATTATTTCAAAATAAAAAAATTTAAAAAGTACATGTGTCAAAAGAAATCTCTTGATAAACATAAAACAATAAAAAAGGAACCTTTGTCAGAAACACATGGATAGGCTCTCTGTGATTGTCTCTCATGGCTGTTGCTTAACTTGAATAAAAATTCACATCATGTCAAATATTACAAGCAACATTATCTGTGACATAGTCTATTGAAGCAGTCACATTGGCATTGGGGAGATACACAAACAAAGCAAACCATAGCCATCTGGTATTCTCAGCTTGTTTACAAAATCACTTAACAAGGCTAAGTTGAAGATGTGGAAATAGAGGTTCATCTGGGAGTGAATGGTCTCACCTGTCCCCGACTTACTTTTCTCTCTCTCCATTTCCCTCAGGGCTCAATGAAGAGGGAGTCATGAAGAATTTGGATGAGCAAGTGCCCCAGTCCTATGTATTTATGTCTCCCCACTGATGTACAGTGCTCCATCTGCCATAAATATCTATCGACTCAATTCTGAGTCATTTACTGGACTTCTATTTTTTTTCCTTTGGGCTATTTCATCTATCAGGAGATTTGCCCCATGCTGTCTTGAAGGCTAACATTATGAATTTTGATTGGTGGTACGGCAGTTCCTTACATCTTATTATTATTATTTTTATTCTACAGATTTGTTTTCAATTCTTCGGCCTTTGACTTTTTTTGTACGAAGGTAAGAATTATTAATAGTTGTTTAAATACTCAAAAAACACAGTGAAAATTTTTAGGGGAAATGCACTGAATATATCTATCAATTTGAAAATGGAGGCTGGGTGCAGTGGCTCACGCCTGTAATCCCAGCACTTTGGGAGGCAAAGGCAGGCAGATCACGAGGTCAGGAGATTCAGACCATCCTGGCTAATATGGTGAAACCCCGTCTCTACTAAAAATAAAAAAAATTAGCCGGGCGCGGTGGCGGGCGCCTGTAGTCCCAGCTACTGGGGAGGCTGAGGCAGGAGAATGGCGTGAACCCGGGAGGCGGAGCTTGCAGTGAGCCGAGATCGTGCCACAGCACTCCAGCCTGGGCGACAGAGTGAGACTCCGTCTTAAAAAAAAAGAAAAGAAAATGGAAAAGCTTAAAATCATGAGTTATATAGTATTATCTTACATATTACTATATACATAATTCAGTGAATTATAGTATTCAAGAATATAGAATGAATTTTCATTTAGTTTTATAAATTTCCATGTTTCTTGATCTTATTGAGCATTCAAGGCAATCAATAAAATATACTCCTGATACTAGAAATTCCTTATATTTTCTGGATATTTTTTGTGGCATCTGTACATTGCAAATACTTTCTACCAGTCTGAAGATTGGTTGTCACTTTGTTAGGTTTTCTTTAAGATGTTTTTTCTTTCTGGCCGGGCGCGGTGGCTCACGCCTGTAATCCCAGCATTTTGGAAGGCCAAGGCGGGCGGATCACTAGGTCAGGAGATCGAGACCATCCTGGCTAACACGGTGAAACCCCCTCTCTACTAAAAATACAAAAAATTAGCCGGGCGTGGTGGCAGGTACCTGTAGTACCAGCTACTCAAGAGGCTGAGGCAGGAGAATGGCGTGAACCCGGGGTCTGAGCTTGCAGTGAACCTAGATTGCGCCACTGCAGTCCAGCCTGGGTGACAGAGCGAGACTCTATTCAAAAAAAAAAAAAAGAGATTTTTTTCTTTTCAATGTGGAAGAGTTAAATTATCTTTTCCTATTGTGGTTTTGTTTCAGACAGTATTCATAAGAAAATTCTCTTATTCTTTTTACTAAATGACTCACATATTTTGTTTCAAATTTAAGTTTTTAATCCCACTGGGATGAATTTAGTGTAAGGCGTAAGTACGGATCCACAATGTTTCCATATGGATATCTGAATGGTTTAACTGCTTTTATTTTATTTTATTTATTTATTTATTTATTTATTTTGAGATGGAGTCTCGCTCTGTCACCCAGGCTGGAGTGCAATGGTGTGATCTTGGCTCACTGCAACCTCCGCCTCCCGGGTTCAAGCGATTCTCCTGCCTCTGCCTCCCAAGTAGCTGGGATTACAGGCGCCCACCACCACGCCAGGCTACTTTTTTGTATTTTTAGTAGAGAGGGGGTTTCACCATGTTGGTCAGGCTGGTCTTGAATTCCTGACCTCAAGTGATCCGCCCGAGTGATCTGCCCGCCTCCGCCTCTCAAAGTGCTGGGATTACAGGCGTGAGCCACAGCGCCCGGCCTTGACTGCTTTTAAAATAGTCATCTTTCTAAATTGCCCTGCTGTTTCCACTTTCTCGTAGGTATCTGTTTCCATTTTGTTTCTTCAGTTTCATTGGCTTGTCTCTATTTTTTCCAATACAAAGCTATCTTAATTAATTTATTTTCATCATAAATTGTAAGGTCCAGTAGATAATTTCTCTTATGTTATTACTGCATGAGAGTGTCTTTGGTTTTCTTTGGTGTGAGGTTTATTTTTTCATATTAATTTTGCGTCAGCTTATGAAGGACATTAGGAAATCTGGTTGAGGTTTTGGCTGGAATTAACATTGACAATTTGGGTGGAATTGATATTTTTTATGATTTTGACTTTTCCTATTGATATTTGCAGTATAAATCTCCATTTATTTGCTTTTATTTTTTTTCTCTTATGAATAAGTTCACCTTTAAAATGGTGAAACCATAGTATTCATCTCTCAGGGTAGGTTAAATTTCTTACAATAGTGAGGGGACTATAAAATACTTTTTATCTTTGGTGAAATTTACCCCTAAGTTCATAGCATTTGAGTTTGCTATTGAAAAATTTGTTATTTATATTTTTAAATTAACAATTACACATTTTTTTAAAACCAGTTAATCACCAAGTATGCTAATCCTAAATTACATTTTCTCTCCTCACTGATGTGTGTGTCCCCTCTGTAAGACACCATGTGGATATAAATGCTAAGTATGATTCTGGGCCTCTGGTCTTTTCCTGTGAGCTACTTTGTCTCTCACTGTGCCTATACCACTGTCTTGATGAGTCTGGCTTTCTAAAACCTTGATTGGTAGTAAGGCACGTGCTCCAAATGTATTTGTTTCTTTTACAGATATTTTTGAGTTTTCTTACCTCTCTTTTTTTCAAATATATATGAAAATCTGGTTATCGATGTCCTCACTCAACCTAGTGGATATTTTAAGTGGAAAAATATTGTATATAGATAGCATATTGAACTGTGAGATGCTTCATGTATGGAACTATCTTATGCATGAACATAGACCTGATTAAGTTATGTGCATTGACAGGTTGGAAAGATGCATTTAAGATTTAAGAACAATCAATGACTTCCTCTGTTTCCACTAGAGTCCCCACAAAATTGAAACACATTAGGGGAAAAACGTAGATGAAGTCCAAAATATTTTTAAAAATAGCTCACAGATAATGACTCATAGGACAAAACATTCAGGGTTGGAGCTCAGCCAGCTTTAAGTTCTCAGAGCTTAAAGGGTCAGGGTCACTAGCTCAAACCTGAGGCCCCTAATCAGCCTGGCACCTGTCCTAAGGTTGGAATGGGCTGATACTTTGCACTGGACACTCTTGTTCCCTGAGAGATGCCCACTTTGCTCTACTTGCCTCATTTGTTCTAATAAGATCCTATACTGGTGATGTCAGCAGGTGTCTGATACAAGGAAATATGTTGTATGGAGTGGGAGAGGTGAAGAGTAGTGAGGTAGTGATTTCATGGTGTGGGATACATTAGGACCAACCCACTTAGAAAAAAATGACCTTAGCAACAATTTTTTACCACTAATGCCCTTGGCAAAAACATCCTTAAGAACAATTGCCCTTGGCACCAACACTTTTAAAAATATGCCTATCACAACAATGACTCTTATTAATAATGGCCCTTAGCAACAAATCCCATAGCAACAATACCCTTAGCATAGACACCATCAGGAATAATGCTTTAAGACAACATTGTTAATATTAACCCTTTTAGCCAAAAGACTCTTGGCAACATAATCTAAGCAACAGTAACATTAGAAAAATGCCCTCAGCTATAACACTATTTGCCACAGTTGTTCTTAGCAACACCTTTGACTGACATCAACACTCCTAGAAGCAATATCTTACATTAGCAATCATAGACCTTAACAACCACCCCAAACAACAATGACCTTAGCAACAAATAGCTTGACATGAATACCTTTACCAAAATGTCGTTTAAAAAAATGGCCTTTAGCATCAAGACCCTTAACAAAAATGGCCCTTAGGAAAAATGACCCTAGAGACAACACTCATAACATAACAACAATGGTCCCTAACAACAATGTCCTTAGCAGCAACATCATTAGCAATGGTGCACCTTACTGACAAATCTCTAAGCAACAACAACCTTAGCATAATTGCCTGTAGAAATAGTGGGAATTATGCCAATTGCAACAATGCCATTGGCAACAATGTCTTTAAAATCAATGTCCATAGCAACAATGCCCTTAGGAACAATGGTATGTCCATTTACCTCTATAAATTGCCATGGTACTTTGGAAATGGTCAAACCATGGCCTGTTAGTGTATCTTAGCAAAAACACCCTTAGAAATAATACCTTCAAAAACCATGGCCCTTAGCAATAACAAAATTAGAAATAAAGCAATTAGCAACAATGCCCTTACAAAAATGTCCTTTATAGTGGCATTAACAACAGCACTCTTACCAATGGCACCTTAGTAAAAATGCTTTTAGTATCAACTCCTTAGCAATAATGACATCAGCAACAGTGTTGTTGGCAACAGCACACTTTACAGCAATGTCCTAGCTACAAAATACATAATATCAATGAACTTAGCAAGAATGGCTCTTGGAGACAATGCTCCGAATGGTAATACTCATAGAATCAACACTCTTAACATCAGTACCATTAGCAAGAAAGGGGTAAACAACCGACCTTAGAAATGACATTCTTAATAATGTCCTTAGTAAAAAAATCATGAGCATCACCCCTATAACCAGTGCCCTTAGCAACAGTGCTCTTATCCAAACTTGCCTTACCAAGAGTTTACCATTGTTTACCTTATAAACAATGGCCCTTAGCAACCACACTCTTTGCAACAATGTCCTAACAATATTACTATTAGCAAAAATCCCCTAAGACCAGCATTCTTGACAACAGCCCTCTTGGCCCTTAGAAGCAATGACTTTAGCAACCAACGTTGAGCCATAAAAATAAAGCCTTGGTAATAATGCTCTTAGCATTGACCTTAGTAAAATGGTCTTAGCAACAGTCTTTAGCAAGAGTGACTCTAGAAATGTCCCCTTCCCAACAATGCCCTTTGAAGAAAATACCTGTAACAACAATGCCTTTAGTCACAATGCCTTCAGCAAAAATGTCCCTTGCCAACATTAACACCCTAGGAACAATGATCTGAGAAACAGTGTCCTTAACAATAATATACAAAAACATTCTAAGCAATAGTACCCTAAGCAACAATATACTTAGCAGTAATACCCTCAGTAACAATACTCTTAGCAACACGAGATTTAGGATCAGTGCTGGTAGAAACAGCATCATGAGAAACACTAGCAATAGTAATAATGCCTTTAGCCACAATGACCTTCAACAGTTCTCTTATGAACATCACCCATAACTACAATGGCTCCAGGAACAATGCACTTAGAAATAACTTCCTTAGCAACAGTGACCTTACTATCGATGCCAATTGAAATATCATCCTTAGGCACGTGTTCCATGGAAGCAACATCATTAGTAACCACAGCTTTTGTAACAATGACTTTTAGCAAAAACATTAGCATAGTGCCTTAACAAAGGCCCTTAGAAACAATGCAACTACAGGCCGGGCAAGGTGGCTCATGCCTGTAATCCCAAGCACATTGGGAGGCTGAGGTGGGTGGATCACTTGAGGTCAGGAGTTTGAGACCAGCCTGGCCAACATGATGAAACCCCATCTCTACCAAAAATACAAGAATTAGCTGGGCATGGTAGTGCACGCCTGTAATCCCAGCTACTCGGGAGGCTGAGGCAGGAGAATCACTTGAACCCGGGAGGCGGAGGTTGCAGTGAGCTGAGATCATGCCACCACACTCCAGCCTGGGCAACAGAGGGAGAATCCATCTAAAAAAAAAAAAATAAAAAAAATAAGAAAAGAAAAGAAAAAAGAAACAATGCAATTATCATCAATTCCCTTAGCAACGGATCCTTTAGAATATAATGCTCTTAACAACAGCACTCTTAGCAACAACATCCTTGACAACAGTGTACTTAGCAACAGTGCCTTTAGCTAAAATGGCCTTTAGTAAAATCAACTTTAGCAACAATGCCCTTATAAAAGATGCCCCTTGTAACAGTGTCCTTAGCCAGAATCTCTTTAGGAACAATGCCTTTACCAAAATGCATTTAAGTTCAACGGCCTTAGCAACACTGTCCTTGGCAATATTAGATCTTAGTGGCAATGCTCTCAGCAGCAGTGGTACTCAGCAATGATTTCTCTTACAACACCCTTAACAACAATACCCATAACAGCAGCACACTTTAAAAAACAGGCTTAGCAACAATGTCCTTAACATCAATGCCTTTTGGAACATCAACCTTAGCGACAACTGCACTTACTAAGAGTGCCTTTAGCATCAGTCCCCTTAGCAATACCACCATTCAAACCAATACCCCTTAGCCAAAATGATTCTAATAACGGCACACTTTATTTTCTTTTTGACAGAGTTTCCTTCTTGTTGCCCAGGCTGGAGTGCAATGGCATGATCTCGGCTCACTGTAACCTCCGCCTCCCAGGTTTAAGCCATTCTCCTGCCTCAGCCTCCCAAGAAGCTGGGATTACAGGTGTGCACCACTAAGCCCAGCTGATTTTGTAATTTTAGTAGAGATGGGGTTTCACCATGTTGGTTGGTCAGGCTGGTCTCAAACTCCTGACCTCAAGTGATCCACCGGCCTCGGCCTTCCAAAGTGCTGGGATTACAGGCGTGAGCCAGCGTGCCCGGCCAACAGCACACTTTCAAACAACACCTTAACATCAACATCCTTAACTCTCTTTGCAACAATACCCTTAGGATTAAGTCCCTGAGCAATAGAGTCATTAACAGCAGTGTATTTAGTAGCAATGCTTCTTTACTGTAATACACTTAACAATAATGAACATAGTAACAATGCCCTTAGCCATAAAGGACTTTACAACAACAACCTTAGCAACGACACTCACAGTGACAGTGTCCTTCAAATGAGTTTCTTAGAAACAGTGGTCTTAGGATCAACATTTTAGCATGAATGCTCTTTGCAACAATTATTCTAGGAAAAGTGCTTCTAGCAACTAGCCCTTTAGCAACAACACACTGAACAAGAATGCTCTAGCAAAAATGTACTTAATAACAACATCCTTAGCAAAAATACCCTTAGCAAAAATGAGTCTTAGTAACAGAGCCTTAATGTCAATGTCCTTAGCTACAATGCCCCTAATATCATTGTCAGAGTGACAATATCCTTAGCAACAATAGGCCACATCAACAAAACACCTAGCAGCAAGTTCCTCAGTGACAATGTGCTTAATATAAATATCCTTACTCACAATGTCCTTTAGCAACTCTTATAGGCAATGGCCTTAACAATAATATTCATAATAATATTTTCCTTACAACAGTACTTAACAACCTTTGCACAGCACCCTTGGAAAAAAGCCAATTTAGCAAAACCTTTCTTGGCTACCAACCATAGCAACAATGCCCTAAGCAATAACACCTTTAGTATCATTTCCCATAGAAACAGTGGCTATAAAACAAGGCCATCAGCAACAGCATGCTTAGCAAAAATATCTTTAGAAACAATACTCTTGGCATCAACACCTTAAAAACAACCTCATTATTATAACTGCCTTTAATAAAAATGCCATGAACAACCAGGCCCTTAGCATTGGTGCAGTATCAACAGTGACCTTAGAAACAGCACCATTAACAACAACTCTGTGAGCAGCACTATTTGCAACAATGTCCTTATTAACAATGCATTTAGCTAGAGTACCCTTAGCAATTGGCTCTTAGCAACATCACATTTGGAAACAGTACTCATAGCAGCAGCTCCCTTATCAACATCACTCATAGCAAAATCTGTTTTATTTTCAACACTCTTACTATCAAGGCCTTTAAGAACAATGACTCTAAGAAAATAGCCCATAACAACAATTTCCTTAAATTCAACACTCTTTCCTTAGGAACAGCACCTTTAGCACCAATGATCTTAGCAACAGTAGCCTCTGCAATAGTGGCCATGGCCACAATGTTCTTAGTAACAGCACCTTTAGCAAAAACATCCAACAACAACATTAACATCAATGCCTTTGGCTGGGCACAGTGGCTCATGCCTATAATTCCAGCACTTTGAGAGGTGGGATCGGGAGGATTGCTTTAGACCAAGGGTTCAAGACCAGGTTGGGCAATGTAGTGAGATCTCATCTCTACAAAAAGAAAAATTAAAAAAATTAAAAAGCTAGCTACATGATATGGTTTGGCTGTATCCCCATCCAAATCTCATCTTGCATTGTAGCTCCCATAATTCCCACGTGTTATGGGAGGGACCCGATGGAAGGTAATTGAATCATGGGGGTGGGTCTTTCCCATGCTGTTCTCATAATAGTGAATAAGTCTCATGAAATTTGATGGTTTTATAAAAGGGAGTTTCCCTGCACAAGCTCTCTTGCCTGCTGCCATGTAAGATGTGACTTTGCTCCTCTTTTGCCTTCTGCCATGATTGTGAGGCCTCTCCAGCCATGGGAACTGTGAGTCAATTAAATGTCTTTCCTTTAAAAATTACCCAGTCTTGGGTATGTCTGTATTAGCAACATGAGAACAGTCTAATACACTAGGCATGGTGGTGTGTGCTTGTTGTCCCAGTTGCTTTGGAGACTGAGGCAGGAGGATCACTTTGAGCACAGGAGTTCAAGCCTGCAGTGAGCTGTGATCATGCAACTGCACTCCAGCTTGGGTGACAGAGTGAGACCCTGTCTCAAAACAAAACAAAACAAAACAAAAATGCCTTTAAGAACAGCATGTTTAACAAAAGAACCTCAGCAATGACTTCCTTAGCCACAACAACCTTGGCAAAAATATTATTACTACCATTCTCTTAGCAATTAAGTCCTTAGGAATAATGCTCTGAGAAAAAAAGTGCTTTTAGCAACAGTTTCCTTAGAAACACTAGTCATAGCAATAACACCCTTAGCAAAACTTTCTTTGCACAATAACTTCAAGGCCTTAAAGAACAATGCCCTTACAAAACTTTTTTGACATCAACACCTGCCTTATACCATTTTGTGTTGCTCAAAATAAATACCTGAGGATGGGTAATTTATACAGAAAAACCATTTAGTTGGTTCTCAATTCTGATGGCTGGGAAGTTCAAGATTGGACATCTGTGTCAGGTGAGGGCCTCAGGCTGCTTCCACTCATGGCAGAAGATGAAGGGGAGCTGGTGTGTGCAGAGCTCACATGATGAGAGAGAGAAAGAGAGCAGAAAGGTCTCAGGCTCTTTTTAACGACCAGCTCTGGCAGGAGCTGATAGACGACACACTCAGCCTCAAGGAAGGAGATTAATCTGTTAATACGGGATTTGGTCATATGACCCAAACACTTCCCATTAGGCCCCATCTCCAACATTGGGGATCAAATTTCAACATGAGGTTTAGAGGGGACAAACATCCAAACCATAGCAATACCCTTAAGAACAATAACCTTACCAATAGTACCCTTATCAAAAATGCCCTTAACAACAGCTTTCTTAGCAACAGTACAGTTACTAACAGCACTCATAGCAAAACCTTAATCTTCAATAACACTTTTAATATCAATGCCTTTAAGAATGACAATCTTGACCAGATATGGTGACTAATGTCTGTAATCCCAGCACTTTGAAAGGTTGAGGCAGGAAGTTTGCTTGAGGCCGGCAGTTTGAGGTCAGTCTGGGCAATATAGTGAGATGCTGTCTCTACAAAAAATTTTTTTAAAAAGTCCGGTATGGTGACCTGTGCTCGTAGTCCTAGCTACTTGGGAGGCTGAGGTGAGAAAATTGCTGGAGCACAAGAGTTTGAGGTTAGTGAACCATGATCATACCACTGCACTCCAGCTTGGGCGACAGAGCTAGACTCTGCCTGTTTTTTTTTTAAAAAAAAAAAAAAAAAAAAAAAAGAGGACCTTCAAAATTGCTTCCATCAACAATTACCTTTGCAAACTTTCCATCAACAGCAATGCTCCTAGCAAGAACATCTTTTGCAACAATGCTTTTAACATATCTCATTTTGCAACATAGAAACAAATGCAGTTAGGAACAGCATCCTTAACAACAACTTTCTTTACAACGATATTAACACAAGAGTCTTGCAACACCCTTAACAACAAGTTTCCTTTGCAACAGGGCCATAACATCAACACTCTTGGTAATTGCATTGGTACCAAAACTTATCTGTGACAATATCTTGAACATTAATGCCTTTAAGAGAAATGCTCTTAAAAATATCTTTAGCAAGCATTTCCTTAGCAAACACGCTCCTAGCAACAGAGAGTAAGTTTTGTAAGGGCATGTGAATATGAAGGCAGAGACTGGAGTGATGCCAAGAAATGTGAAAGATTTCCAGGAACCATCAGAAGCAAGGAAAAACGCACGGAAAAGATTCAGAGTGCTCAGAAGGAAGCAACCCTACCACCACCTGATTTGGACTTCTAAGCTCCAGAACTGTAAGATAAATTTCTTTTGTTTTAAGCCACCTCGTTTTTGGTACTTTGATGTGACAGCCCTAGGAAACTAATACAATTCTCTTAACAAAAAGGCAACAATTTCCTTAGCAATAATAAACTTAGAAATAATGCCTTCTCAATAATGACTTTGCCAACAATGGCCATAGCAGCCACACCCTCAGCAAAAGCAACTTAGTGCAGATTTCTTAGCAAAGCACGCCAAAACACACTAACAAACATACTAAGAAAACACAAAACACACTAATACTAACAAAGAAAGTGCCTTTCTAAAAACTGCCTAACATCAACAATCTTATCAACACATTTCATAGCAAAAATTTCCTTAGCACCTTTGCCCCTAGCAATGTTGTCTTTAGCAACAGTTTTCGTGGCAGTAGTGACCATCCAACCTTGATTTAGCAAATGCATCCTTAGCAAAAACTTTCTTGCAACACCACCCTTAATACTAACACCTTTAAGAACGATGTCTTTAGCATAAGGGCCCTCTCAACAATATCATTAGCAAAAGCTTGGCAAAATGTGCTTAGCAACCGCACTCTTTGAAAAAGTTCCATTAATAGCAACATACTTAATAACAATGTCTTTAGCAACGGTGGCCATAGGAATTGCTCCTTCTGCAAGAGTGGCTACTGTAATTGTGACCAGAGCAATAATGGCCATATCAGCCATGCATTTAGTTACAGTGGCAGTAACAACTATGTCCTTGGTGGCAGTATGTGTGGGGAACATTTCTTAGCAACAACACCCTTATCTAAGAGGCCCTAGGAGCAAAATCCATTGCAACACTATATGCAGCAACAATGTCCTTAATTATTAGGTTGATGCAAAGGTAATTGCGATTTTTGCCATTTCAGTGGCAAAAACCGCAATCACCTTTGTACCAACCTAATACAATTCCCTTGGCGACAATCTTCTTAGCAACAACACCCTTGGCAACAAAGCTCTTAGCAATATCCTTAGAAACATTGTCTTTAGCAACATTTCTTAGCAATGGTGCCCATAGCAACAGTTCCCTAGTAACAGCAACCTTAGGAGAAACTCCCTTTGCAAGAGCACATTTAACATCACTGCCTTTAATGAAAAACCACTTAATAAAGAAGTCCTGGCTGGGCGCGCTGGCTCACGCCTGTAATCCCAGCACTTTGGGAGGCCGAGGTGGGCAGATCACGAGGTCAGGAGATCAAGACCATCCTGGCTAACATGGTGAAACCCCGTCTCCACTAAAAATACAAAAAATTACCTGGGCGTGGTGGCAGGTGCCTGTAGTCCCAGTACTCGGGAAGCTGAGGCAGGAGAATGGCGTAAACCCGGGAGGCGGAGCTTGCAGTGAGCGGAGATTGCGCCACTGCACTCCAGCCTGGGCGACAGAGCGAGACTCCATCGATGGCCTGATGGCCTGCAGGTGTCTGTTGGCCTGCTCTTCCGCCAGTGTGCTTTCGATGACCAGCTGCTTGTGTCTTCTTCTGCTGATGTGTTCCTTATGATGTCCAGCTGCTTGTGTCCATGCCTTGCTAAGGTCTCTGGTTTTTATAGGCCCATGATGGGGGCACAGCAGGCCAGGGTGGTCTTGGAAAATGCTACATTTCGGCATGAAAGCAGAAGTGCCTGTCCTTACCTAGGTCTGTGGGGGTGGAGCCCTAGCCAGGGACCACGCCCTCCTCTACCCAGCACTTCCCTTCTCCCCTTCCCTATCATTTAAAGGGACCACGCTCTTCCCTTCCCAGCACTTCCATATCAGTTTGGTACACAGGTAAACTCGTGTCATCGAGGTTTGTTGTACAGATTGTTTCATCACCCAGGTATTAAGCCTAATGCCCATTTGTTATTTTCCCCGTTCTTCTCTCTCCTCCTATCCTCCACCCTCATGTTTCCCTCTGTGTGTCCATATGCTCTCATCGTTTAGCTCCCACTATAAGTGAGAACATGCTGTATTTGGTTTTCTGTTCCTGTATTAGTTTGCTAAGGATAATGGCCTCCAGCTCCATTAATGTTTGCGCAAAGGACATGATCTTATTCTTTTTTATAGCTGCATAGTTTTCCATGGTGTATATGTACTACATTTTCTTTATCCAGTCTATCATTGTTGGGCATTTAGGGTGATTCCATGTCCTTGCTGTTATGAATAGTGCTGCAGTGAACATACGTGTGTATGTGGCTTTATAATAGAATGATTTATGTTCTTTTGGGTATATGCCCAGTAATGGGATTGCTGGGCTGAATGACATTTCTGTCTTCAGGTCTTTGAGGAATCATCACACTGTCTTCCAAAATAGTAGAACTAATTTACACTCCCACCAACATTGTATAATTGTTCCTTTTTCTCCACAACTTCACCAGCATCTGTTTTTTTTTTTTTTTTTTTTTTTGCTTTTTGCTTTTTAATAATAGCCATTCTGATGAGAACACATGGACACATAGAGGGTAGCAACACACACTGTGGTATCTCAAAGGGTGGAGGGTGGGAGGAGGGAGAAGGTCAGGAAAGATAACTAATGAGTACTAGGCTTAATACCTGGGAGATGAAATAATCTGTACAATAACTCCCCATGTCACAGGTTTACCTGTGTAACAAACCTTCACATGTAACCCTGAACTTAAAATAAAAGTTAAAAAAATAATTACCAATTAAAAGAAGAAATTTCAGGTTTTTAAAAAGAAATTGTAACAGTTCTGCTGAACAATGTTTCAGGATATCATTTTCTTTTAGAAAAACATGTATTGTGCTGCTGTAGGGTGGAGTG